>NC_000005.10:48287263-48613289 GCF_000001405.40 Homo sapiens
TCGTTGGAAACGGGATTTCTTCATATTCTGCTAGACAGAAGAATTCTCAGTAACTTCCTTGTGTTGTGTGTATTCAACTCACAGAGTTGAACGATCCTTTACACAGAGCAGTCTTGAAACACTCTTTTTGTGGAATTTGCAAGTGGAGATTTCTGCCGCTTTGGGGCCAAAGGCAGAAAAGGAAATATCTTCGTATAAAAACTAGACAGAATGATTCTCAGAAACTCCTTTGTGATGTGTGTGTTCAACTCACAGAGTTTAACCTTTCTTTTCATAGAGCAGTTAGGAAACACTCTGTTTGTAAAGTCTGCAAGTGGATATTCAGACCTCCTTGAGGCCTTCGTTGGAAACGGGATTTCTTCATATTATGCCAGACAGAAGAATTCTCAGTAACTTCCTTGTGTTGTGTTTATTCAACTGACAGAGTTGAACTTTCATTTAGAGACAGCAGATTTGAAACACTGTTTTTGTGGAATTTGCAAGTGGAGATTTCAAGCGCTTTGGGGCCAAAGGCAGAAAACGAAATATCTTCGTATAAAAACTAGACAGAATCATTCTCAGAAACTGCTGCGTGATGTGTGCGTTCAACTCTAAGAGTTTAACTTTTCTTTTCATTCAGCGGTTTGGAAACACTCTGTTTGTAAAGTCTGCACGTGGATATTTTGACCACTAAGAGGCCTTCGTTGGAAACGGGTTTTTTTCATGTAAGGCTAGACAGAAGAATTCCCAGTAACTTCCTTGTGTTGTGTACATTCAACTCACAGAGTTGAAAGTTCCCTTAGACAGAGCAGATTTGAAACACTCTTTTTGTGCCATTGGCAAGTGGAGATTTCAAGCGCTTTAAGGTCAATGGCAGAAAAGGAAATATCTTCGTTTCAAAACTAGACAGAATCATTCCCACAAACTGCGTTGTGATGTGTTCGTTCATCTCACAGAGTTTAACCTTTCTTTTCATAGAGCAGTTAGGAAACACTCTGTTTGTAAATTCTGTAAGTGGATATTCTGACATCTTGTGGCCTTCGTTGGAAAAGGGATTTCTTCATCTTCTGCTAGACAGAAGAATTCTCAGAATCTTCCTTGTGTTGTGTGTATTCAACTCACACAGTTGAACGATGGTTTACACAGAGCAGATTTGAAACACTCTTTTTGTGGAATTTGGAAGTGGAGATTTCAGCCGCTTTGAGGTCAATGGTAGAAAAGGAAATATCTTCGTATAAAAACTAGACAGAATGATTTTCATGAACTCCTTTGTGATGTGTGCGTTCAACTAACAGAGTTTAACCTTTCTTTTCATAGAGCAGTTAGGAAACACTCTGTTTGTAAAGTCTGCAAGTGGATATTCAGACCTCCTTGAGGCCTTCGTTGGAAACGGGATTTCTTCATATTCTGCTAGACAGAAGAATTCCCAGTAACTTCCTTGTGTTGTGTGTGTTCAACTCACAGAGTTGAACTTTCATTTACACAGAGCAGATTTGAAACACTCTTTTTGTGGAATTTGCAAGTGGAGATTTCAAGCGCTTTGAGGCCAAAGGCAGAAAAGTAAATATCTTCGTATAAAAACTAGACAGAAATCATTCTCAGAAACTGCTCTGCGATGTGTGCGTTCAACTCTCAGGAGTTTAACTTTTCTTTTCATTCAGCAGTTTGGAAACACTCTGTTTGTAAAGTCTGCACGTGGATATTTTGACCACTTAGAGGCCTTCGTTGGAAACGGGTTTTTTTCCTGTAAGGCTAGACAGAAGAATTCCCAGTAACTTCCTTGTGTTGTGTGCATTCAACTCACAGAGTTGAACTTTCCCTTAGACAGAGCAGATTTGAAACACTCTATTTGTGCAATTTGCAAGTGTAGATTTCAAGCGCTTTAAGGTCAATGGCAGAAAAGGAAATATCTTCGTTTCAAAACTAGACAGAATCATTCCCACAAACTGCGTTGTGATGTGTTCGTTCAACTCACAGAGTTTAACCTTTCTGTTCATAGAGCAGTTAGGAAACACTCTGTTTGTAAAGTCTGTAAGTGGATTTTCTGACATCTTGTGGCCTTCGTTGGAAACGGGATTTCTTCATATTCTGCTACACAGAATAATTCTCAGTAACTTCCTTGTGTTGTGTGTATTCAACTCACAGAGTTCAACGATCCTTTACACAGAGCAGACTTGAAACACTCTTTTTGTGGAATTTGCAAGTGGAGATTTCAGCCGCTTTGAGGTCAATGGTAGAAAAGGAAACTATCTTCGTATAAAGACTAGAAAGAATGATTCTCAGAAACTCCTTTGTGATGTGTGCGTTCAACTCACAGAGTTTAACCTTTCTTTTCATAGAGCAGTTAGGAAACACTCTGTTTGTAAACTCTGCAAGTGGATATTCACACCTCTTTGAGGCCTTCGTTGGAAACGGGATTTCTTCATACTGTGCTAGACAGAAGAATTCTCAGTAACTTCCTTGTGTTGTGTGTATTCAACTCACAGAGTTGAACGATCCTTTACACAGAGCGGAGTTGAAACACTCTTTTTGTGGAATTTGCAAGTGGAGATTTCAGCCGCATTGAGGTCAATGGTAGAAAAGGAAATATCTTCGTATAAAAACTAGACAGAATCATTCTCAGAAACTGCTCTGCGATGTGTGCGTTCAACTCTCAGAGTTCAACTTTTCTTTTCATTCAGCAGTTTGGAAACACTCTGTTTGTAAAGTCTGCACGTGGATAATTTGACCACTTAGAGGCCTTCGTTGGAAACGGGTTTTTTTCATGTAAGGCTAGACAGAAGAATTCCCAGTAACTTCCTTGTGTTGTGTACATTCAACTCACAGAGTTGAACGTTCCCTTAGATAGAGCAGATTTGAAACACTCTTTTTGTGCAATTGGCAAGTGGAGATTTCAAGCGCTTTAAGGTCAATGGCAGAAAAGGAAATATCTTCGTTTCAAAACTAGACAGAATCATTCCCACAAACTGCGTTGTGAGGTGTTCGTTCAACTCACAGAGTTTAACCTTTCTTTTCATAGAGCAGTTAAGAAACAGTCTGTTTGTAAATTCTGTAAGTGGATATTCTGACATCTTGTGGCCTTCGTTGGAAACGGGATTTCTTGATATTCTGCTAGACAGAAGAATTCTCAGTAACTTCCTTGTGTTGTGTGTATTCAACTCACAGAGTTGAACGATCCTTTACACAGAGCAGACTTGAAACACTCTTTTTGTGGAATTTGCAAGTGGAGATTTCAGCCGCTTTGAGGTCAATGTTAGAATAGGAAATATCTTCCTATAAAAACTAGACAGAAAGATTCTCAGAAACTCCTTTGTGATGTGTGCGTTCAACTCACAGAGTTTAACCTTTCTTTTCATAGAGCAGTTAGGAAACACTCTGTTTGTAAAGTCTGCAAGTGGATATTCAGACCTCTTTGAGGCCTTCGTTGGAAACGGGTTTTTTTCATATAAGGCTAGAGAGAAGAATTCTCAGTAACTTCCTTGTGTTGTGTGTATTCAACTGACAGCGTTGAACTTTCATTTAGAGAGAGCAGATTTGAAACACTGTTTTTGTGGAATTTGCAAGTGGAGATTTCAAGCGCTTTGGGGCCAAAGGCTGAAAAGGAAATATCTTCGTATAAAAACTAGACAGAATGATTCTCAGAAACTCCTTTGTGATGTTTGCTTTCAAATCACAGAGTTTAACCTTTCTTTTCATAGAGCAGTTAGGAAACACTCTGGTTGTAAAGTCTGCAAGTGGATATTTTGACCACTTAGAGGTCTTCGTTGGAAACGGGTTTTTTTCATGTAAGGCTAGACAGAAGAATTCCCAGTAACTTCCTTGTGTTGTGTGCATTCAACTCACAGAGATGAACGTTCCCTTAGACAGAGCAGATTTGAAACACTCTATTTGTGCAATTTGCAAGTGTAGATTTCAAGCGCTTTAAGGTCAATGGCAGAAAAGGAAATATCTTCGTTTCAAAACTAGACAGAATGATTCTCAGAAACTCCTTTGTGATGTGTGCGTTCAACTCACAGAGTTTAACCTTTCTTTTCATAGAGCAGTTAGGAAACACTCTGTTTGTAAAGTCTGCAAGTGGATATTCAGACATCTTTGAGGCTTTCGTTGGAAACGGGATTTCTTCACATTCTGCTAGACAGAAGAATTCTCAGAAACTTCGTTGTGTTGTGTGTTTTCAACTCACAGAGTTCAACGATCCTTTACACAGAGCAGACTTGAAACACTCTTTTTGTGGAATTTGCAAGTGGAGATTTCAGCCATTTTGAGGTCAACGTTAGAAAAGGAAATATCTTCGTATAAAAACTAGACAGAATGATTCTCAAAAACTCCTTTGTGATGTGTGCGTTCAACTCACAGAGTTCAACCTTTCTTTTCCTAGAGCAGTTGGGAAACACTCTGTTTGTAAAGTCTGCAAGTGGATATTCAGACATCCTTGAGGCTTTCGTTGGAAACGGGATTTCTTCATATTCTGCTATACAGAAGAATTCCCAGTAACTTCCTTGTGTTGTGTGTGTTCAACTCACAGAGTTGAACTTTCATTTACACAGAGCAGATTTGAAACACTCTTTTTGTGGAATTTGCAATTGGAGATTTCAAGCGCTTTGAGGCCAAAGGCAGAAAAGGAAATATCTTCGTTTCAAAACTAGACAGAATCATTCCCAGAAACTGCTCGGCGATGTGTGCTTTCCACTCTCAGAGTTTAACTTTTCTTTTCATTCAGCAGTTTGGAAACACTCTTTTTTTAAAGTCTGCACGTGGATATTTTGACCTCTTAGAGTCCTTCGTTGGAAACGGGTTTTTTTCCTGTAAGGCTAGACAGAAGAATTCCCAGTAACTTCCTTGTGTTGTGTACATTCAACTCACAGAGTTGAACGTTCCCTTAGACAGAGCAGATTTGAAACACTCTTTTTGTGCAATTGGCAAATGGAGATTTCAAGGGCTTTAAGGTCAATGGCAGAAAAGGAAATATCTTCGTTTCAAAACTAGACAGAATCATTCCCACAAACTGCGTTGTGATGTGTTCGTTCAACTCACAGAGTTTAACCTTTCTGTTCATAGAGCAGTTAGGAAACACTCTGTTTGTAAAGTCTGTAAGTGGATATTCTGACATCTTGTGGCCTTCGTTGGAAACGGTATTTCTTCCTCTTCTGCTAGACAGAAGAATTCTCAGTAACTTCCTTGTGTTGTGTGTATTTAACTCACAGAGTTGAACGATCCTTTACACAGAGCAGACTTGAAACACTCTTTTTGTGGAATTTGCAAGTGGAGATTTCAGCCGCTTTGAGGTCAATGGTAGAAAAGGAAACTATCTTCATATAAAGACTAGACAGAATGATTCTCAGAAACTCCTTTGTGATGTGTGCGTTCAACTCACAGAGTTTAACCTTACTTTTCATAGAGCAGTTAGGAAACACTCTGTTTGTAAAGTCTGCAAGTGGATATTCAGACATCTTTGAGGCCTTCGTTTGAAACGGGATTTCTTCATGTTCTGCTAGACAGAAGAATTCCCAGTAACTTCCTTGTGTTGTGTGTGTTCAACTCACAGAGTTGAACTTTCATTTACACAGAGCAGATTTGAAACACTCTTTTTGTGGAATTTGCAAATGGAGATTTCAAGCGCTTTGAGGCCAAAGGCAGAAAAGGAAATATGTTCGTATAAAAACTAGACAGAATCATTCTCAGAAACTGCTCTGCGATGTGTGCGTTCAACTCTCAGAGTTTAACTTTTCTTTTCATTCAGTAGTTTGGAAACACTCTGTTTGTAAAGTCTGCACGTGGATAACTTGACCACTTAGAGGCCTTCGTTGGAAACGGGTTTTTTTCATGTAAGGCTAGACAGAAGAATTCCCAGTAACTTCCTTGTGTTGTGTGCATTCAACTCACAGAGTTGAACGTTCCCTTAGACAGAGCAGATTTGAAAAACTCTATTTGTGCAATTTGCAAGTGTAGATTTCAAGCGCTTTAAGGTCAACAGGCAGAAAAGGAAATATCTTCGTTTCAAAACTAGACAGAATGATTCTCAGAAACTCCTTTGTGATGTGTGCGTTCAACTCACAGAGTTCAACCTTTCTTTTCATAGAGCAGTTGGGAAACACTCTGTTTGTAAAGTCTGCAAGTGGATATTCAGGCTTCTTTGAGGCCTTCGTTGGAAGCGGGATTTCTTCATATTCAGCTAGACAGAAGAATTCTCAGTAACTGCCTTGTGTTGTGTGTATTCAACTCACAGAGTTGAACGATCCTTTACACAGAGCAGACCTGAAACACTCTTTTTGTGGAATTTGCAAGTGGAGATTTCAGCCGCTTTGAGGTCAATGGTAGAATAGGAAATATCTTCCTATAGAAATTAGACAGAATGATTCTCAGAAACTCCTTTGTGATGTGTGTGTTCAACTCACAGAGTTTAACCTTTCTTTTCATAGAGCAGTTAGTAAACACTCTGTTTATAAAGTCTGCAAGTGGATATTCAGACCCCTTTGAGGCCTTCGTTGGAAACGGTATTTCTTCATATTATGCTAGACAGAAGAATTCCCAGTAACTTCCTTGTGTTGTGTGTGTTCAACTCACAGAGTTGAACTTTCATTTACACAGAGCAGATTTGAAACACTCTTTTTGTGGAATTTGCAAGTGGAGATTTCAAGCGCTTTGAGGCCAAAGGCAGAAAAGGAAATATCTCCGTTTCAAAACTAGACAGAATCATTCTCAGAAACTGCTCTGCGATGTGTGCGTTCAACTCTCAGAGTTTAACTTTTCTTTTCATTCAGCAGTTCGGAAACACTCTGTTTGTAAAGTCTGCACGTGGATATTTTGACCACTTAGAGGCCTTCGTTGGAAACGGGTTTTTTTCCTGTAAGGCTAGACAGAAGAATTCTCAGTAACTTCCTTGTGTTGTGTGTATTCAACTCACAGAGTTGAACAATCTTTTACACAGAGCAGACTTGAAACACTCTTTTTGTGGAATTTGCAAATGGAGATTTCAGCCGCTTTGAAGTCAAAGGTAGAAAGGGAAATATCGTCGTATAAAAACTAGACAGAATGATTCTCAGAAACTCCTTTGTGATGTGTGCGTTCAACTCACAGAGTTTAACCTTTCTTTTCATAGAGCAGTTAGGAAACACTCTGTTTGTAAAGTCTGCAAGTAGATATTCAGACCTCTTTGAGGCCTTCGTTGGAAACGGGTTTTTTTCATATAAGGCTAGACAGAAGAATTCCCAGTAACATCCTTGTGTTGTGTGTATTCAACTCACAGAGTTGAACTTTCATTTACACAGAGCAGATTTGAAACACTCTTTTTGTGGTATTTGCAAGTGGAGATTTCAGTCGCTTTGATGTGAATGATAGAAAAGGAAATATCTTCGTATAA
Organism: Homo sapiens; assembly: GCF_000001405.40. Classification (NCBI taxonomy): domain Eukaryota; kingdom Metazoa; phylum Chordata; class Mammalia; order Primates; family Hominidae; genus Homo; species Homo sapiens. The sequence continues at coordinate 48,294,603 of NC_000005.10, forward strand.
AAACTAGACAGAATGATTCTCATAAACTCCTTTGTGATGTGTGCGTTCAACTCACCGAGTTTAACCTTTCTTTTCATAGAGCAGTTAGGAAACACTCTGTTTGTAAAGTCTGCAAGTGGATATTCAGACCTCTTTGAGGCATTCATTGGAAACGGGATTTCTTCATATTCTGCTAGACAGAAGAATTCCCAGTAACTTCCTTGTGTTGTGTGTGTTCAACTCACAGAGTTGAACTTTCATTTACACAGAGCAGATTTGAAACACTCTTTTTGTGGAATTTGCAAGTGGAGATTTCAAGCGCTTTGAGGCCAAAGGCAGAAAAGGAAATATCTTCGTATAAAAACTCGACAGAATCATTCTCAGAAACTGCTCTGCGATGTGTGCGTTCAACTCTCAGAGTTTAACTTTTCTTTTCATTCAGCAGTTTGGAAACACTCTGTTTGTAAAGTCTGCACGTGGATATTTTGACCACTTAGAGGCCTTCGTTGGAAACGGGTTTCTTTCCTGTAAGGCTAGACAGAAGAATTCCCAGTAACTTCCTTGTGTTGTGTGCATTCAACTCACAGAGTTGAACGTTCCCTTAGACAGAGCAGATTTGAAACACTCTATTTGTGCAATTTGCAAGTGTAGTTTTCAAGCTCTTTAAGGTCAACGGCAGAAAAGGAAATATCTTGGTTTCAAAACTAGACAGAATCATTCCCACAAACTGCGTTGTGATGTGTTCATTCAACTCACAGAGTTTAACCTTTCTGTTCATAGAGCAGTTAGGAAACACTCTGTTTGTAAAGTCTGTAAGTGGATATTCTGACATCTTGTGGCCTTCGTTGGAAACGGGATTTCTTCATATTATGCTAGACAGAAGAATTCTCAGTAACTTCCTTGTGTTGTGTGTATTCAACTCACAGAGTTGAACGATCCTTTACACAGAGCAGACTTGAAACACTCTTTTTGTGTAATTTGCAAGTGGAGATTTCAGCCGCTTTGAGGTCAATAGTAGAAAAGGAAATATCTTCATAGAAAAACTAGACAGAATGATTCTCAGAAACTCCTTTGTGATGTGTGCGTTCAACTCACAGAGTTTAACCTTTCTTTTTATAGAGCAGTTAGGAAACACTCTCTAAAGTCTGCAAGTGGATATTCAGACCTCCTTGAGGTCTTCGTTGGAAACGGGATTTCTTCATATTATGCTAGACAGAAGAATTCTCAGTAACTTCCTTGTGTTGTGTGTATTCAACTGACAGAGTTGAACTTTCATTTAGAGAGAGCAGATTTGAAACACTGTTTTTGTGGAATTTGCAAGTGGAGATTTCAAGCGCTTTGGGGCCAAAGGCAGAAAAGGAAATATCTTCGTGTAAAAACTACACAGAATCATTCTCAGAAACTGCTCTGCGATGTGTGCGTTCAACTCTCAGAGTTTAACTTTTCTTTTCATTCAGAAGTTTGGAAACACTCTGTTTGTAAAGTCTGCACGTGGATAACTTGACCACTTAGAGGCCTTCGTTGGAAACGGGTTTTTTTCATGTAAGGCTAGACAGAAGAATTCCCAGTAACTTCCTTGTGTTGTGTGCATTCAACTCACAGAGTTGAACGTTCCCTTAGACAGAGCAGATTTGAAACACTCTATTTGTGCAATTTGCAAGTGTAGTTTTCAAGCTCTTTAAGGTCAACGGCAGAAAAGGAAATATCTTCGTTTCAAAGCTAGACAGAATGATTCTCATAAACTCCTTTGTGATGTGTGCGTTCAACTCACAGAGTTTAACTTTTCTTTTCATATAGCAGTTAGGAAACACTCTGTTTGTAAAGTCTGAAAGTGGATATTCAGACCTCTTTGAGGCCTTCGTTGGAAATGGGATTTCTTCATATTATGCTAGACAGAAGAATTCTCAGAATCTTCCTTGTGTTGTGTGTATTCAACTCACAGAGTTGAACGATCCTTTACACAGAGCAGACTTGAAACACTCTTTTTGTGGAATTTGCAAGTGGAGATTTCAGCCGCTTTGAGGTCCATGGTAGAAAAGGAAATATCTTCGGATAAAAACTAGACAGAATGATTCTCAGAAACTCCTTTGTGATGTGTGCGTTGAACTCACAGAGTTTAACTTTTCTTCTCATAGAGCAGTTAGGAAACACTCTGTTTGTAAAGTCTGCAAGTGGATATTCAGACCTCCTTGAGGCCTTCGGGGAAAACGGGATTTCTTCATATTCTGCTAGACAGAAGAATTCCCAGTAACTTCCTTGTGTTGTGTGTGTTCAACTCACAGAGTTGAACTTTCATTTACACAGAGCAGATTTGAAACACTCTTTTTGTGGAATTTGCAAGTGGAGATTTCAATCGCTTTGAGGCCAAAGGCAGAAAAGGAAATATCTTCGTTTCAAAACTAGACAGAAATCATTCTCAGAAACTGCTCTGCGATGTGTGCGTTCAACTCTCAGGAGTTTAACTTTTCTTTTCATTCAGCAGTTTGGAAACACTCTGTTTGTAAAGTCTGCACGTGGATATTTTGACCACTTAGAGGCCTTCGTTGGAAACGGGTTTTTTTCCTGTAAGGCTAGACAGAAGAATTCCCAGTAACTTCCTTGCGTTGTGTACATTCAACTCACAGAGTTGAACGTTCCCTTAGACAGAGCAGATTTGAAACACTCTTTTTGTGCAATTGGCAAGTGGAGATTTCAAGCGCTTTAAGGTCAATGGCAGAAAAGGAAATATCTTCGTTTCAAAACTAGACAGAATGATTCTCAGAAACTCCTTTGTGATGTGTGCGTTCAACTCACAGAGTTTAACCTTTCTTTTCATAGAGCAGTTAGGAAACACTCTGTTTGTAAAGTCTGCAAGTGGATATTCAGACCTCCTTGAGGCCTTCGTTGGAAACGGGATTTCTTCATACTATGCTAGACAGAAGAATTCTCAGTAACTTCCTTGTGTTGTGTGTATTCAACTCACAGAGTTGAACGATCCTTTACACAGAGCAGACTTGTAACACTCTTTTTGTGGAATTTGCAAGTGGAGATTTCAGCCGCTTTGAAGTCAAAGGTAGAAAAGGAAATATCTTCCTATTAAAACTAGACAGAATGATTCTCAGAAACTCCTTTGTGATGTGTGCGTTCAACTCACAGAGTTTAACTTTTCTTTTCATAGAGCAATTAGGAAACACTCTGATTGTAAAGTCTTCAAGTGGATATTCAGACCTCTTTGAGGCCTTCGTTGGAAACGGGATTTCTTCATATTCTGCTAGACAGAAGAATTCTCAGTAACTTCCTTGTGTTGTGTGTATTCAACTGACAGAGTTGAACTTTCATTTAGAGAGAGCAGATTTGAAACACTGTTTTTGTGGAATTTGCAAGTGGAGATTTCAAGCGCTTTGGGGCCAAAGGCAGAAAAGGAAATATCTTCGTATAAAAACTAGACAGAATCATTCTCAGAAACTGCTGCGTGATGTGTGCGTTCAACTCTCAGAGTTTAACTTTTCTTTTCATTCAGCTGTTTGGAAACACTCTGTTTGTAAAGTCTGCACGTGGAAATTTTGACCACTTAGAGGCCTTCGTTGGAAACGGGATTTTTTCATGTAAGGCTAGACAGAAGAATTCGCAGTAACTTCCTTGTGTTGTGTACATTCAACTCACAGAGTTGAACGTTCCCTTAGACAGAGCAGATTTGAAACAGTCTTTTTGTGCAATTGGCAAGTGGAGATTTCAAGCGCTTTAAGGTCAATGGCAGAAAAGGAAATATCTTCGTTTCAAAACTAGACAGAATGATTCTCAGAAACTCCTTTGTGATGTGTGCGTTCAACTCACAGAGTTTAACCTTTCTTTTCATAGAGCAGTTAGGAAACACTCTGTTTGTAAAGTCTACAAGTGGATATTCGGACCTCCTTGAGGCCTTCTTTGGAAACGGGATATCTTCTTATTATGCTACACAGAAAAATTCTCAGTAACTTCCTTGTGTTGTGTGTATTCAACTCACAGAGTTGAATGATCCTTTACACAGAGCAGACTTGAAACACTCTTTTTGTGGAATTTGCAAGTGGAGATTTCAGCCGCTTTGAGGTCAATGGTAGAATAGGAAATATCTTCCTATAGAAACTAGACAGAATGATTCTCAGAAACTCCTTTGTGATGTGTGTGTTCAACTCACAGAGTTTAACCTTTCTTTTCATAGAGCAGTTAGTAAACACTCTGTTTATAAAGTCTGCAAGTGGATACTCAGACCCCTTTGAGGCCTTCGTTGGAAACGGGATTTCTTCATATTATGCTAGACAGAAGAATTCCCACTAACTTCCTTGTGTTGTGTGTGTTCAACTCACAAGAGTTGAACTTTCATTTACACAGAGCAGATTTGAAACACTCTTTTTGTGGAATTTGCAAGTGGAGATTTCAAGCGCTTTGAGGCCAAAGGCAGAAAAGGAAATATCTTCGTTTCAAAACTAGACAGAATCATTCTCAGAAACTGCTCTGCGATGTGTGCATTCAACTCTCAGAGTTTAATTTTTCTTTTCATTCAGCAGTTTGGAAACACTCTCTTTGTAAAGTCTGCACGTGGATATTTTGACCACTTAGAGGCCTTCGTTGGAAACGGGTTTTATTCCTGTAAGGCTAGACAGAAGAATTCCCAGTAACTTCCTTGTGTTGTGTACATTCAACTCACAGAGTTGAACGTTCCCTTAGACAGAGCAGATTTGAAATACTCTTTTTGTGCAATTGGGAAATGGAGATTTCAAGCGCTTTAAGGTCAATGGCAGAAAAGGAAATATCTTCGTTTCAAAACTAGACAGAATGATTCTCAGAAAGTTCTTTGCGATGTGTGCGTTCAACTCACAGAGTTTAACCTTTCTTTTCATACAGCAGTTAGGAAACACTCTGTAAACTCTGCAAGTGGATATTCAGACCTCTTTGAGGCCTTCGTTGGAAACGGGATTTCTTCATACTATGCTAGACAGAAGAATTCTCAGTAACTTTCCTTGTGTTGTGTGTATTCAACTCACAGAGTTGAACGATCCTTTACACAGAGCAGACTTGTAACACTCTTTTTGTGGAATTTGCAAGTGGAGATTTCAGCCGCTTTGAAGTCAAAGGTAGAAAAGGAAATATCTTCCTATAAAACGACATAGACAGAATGATTCTCAGAAACTCCTTTGTGATGTGTGCGTTCAACTCACAGAGTTTAACCTTTCTTTTCATAGAGCAGTTAGGAAACACTCTGTTTGTAAAGTCTGCAAGTGGATATTCAGACATCCTTGAGGCTTTCGTTGGAAACGGGATTTCTTCATGTTCTGCTAGACAGAAGAATTCCCAGTAACTTCCTTGTGTTGTGTGTGTTGAACTCACAGAGTTGAACTTTCATTTACACAGAGCAGATTTGAAACACTCTTTTTGTGGAATTTGCAAATGGAGATTTCAAGCGCTTTGAGGAAAAAGGCAGAAAAGGGAATATCTTCGTATAAAAACTAGACAGAATGATTCTCAGAAACTCCTTTGTGATGTGTGTGTTCACCTCACAGAGTTTAACTTTTCTTTTCATTCAGCGGTTTGGAAACACTCTGTTTGTAAAGTCTGCACGTGGATATTTTGACCACTTAGAGGCCTTCGTTGGAAACGGGTTTTTTTCATGTAAGGCTAGACAGAATAATTCCCAGTAACTTCTTTGTGTTGTGTACATTCAACTCACAGAGTTGAACGTTCCCTTAGACAGAGCAGATTTGAAACACTCTTTTTGTGAAATTGGCAAGTGGAGATTTCAAGCGCTTTAAGGTCAGTGGCAGAAAAGGAAATATCTTCGTTTCAAAACTAGACAGAATCATTCCCACAAACTGCGTTGTGATGGTTCGTTCAACTCACAGAGTTTAACCTTTCTTTTCATAGAGCAGTTAGGAAACAGTCTGTTTGTCAATTCTGTAAGTGGATATTCTGACATCTTGTGGCCTTCGTTGGAAACGGGATTTCTTCATATTCTCCTAGACAGAAGAATTCTCAGTAACTTCCTTGTGTTGTGTGTATTCAACTCACACAGTTGAACGATTCTTTACACAGAGCAGACTTGTAACACTCTTTTTGTGGAATTTGCAAGTGGAGATTTCAGCCGCTTTGAAGTCAAAGGTGGAAAAGGAAATATCTTCCTATAAAAACTAGACAGAATGATTCTCAGAAACTCCTTTGTGATGTGTGCGTTCAACTCACAGAGTTTAACCTTTCTTTTCATAGAGCAGTTAGGAAACACTCTGTTTGTAAAGTCTGCAACTGGATAATCAGACCTCTTTGAGGCCTTCGTTGGAAACGGGATTTCTTCATATTTTGCTAGACAGAAGAATTCTCAGTAACTTCCTCGTGTTGTGTGTATTCAACTCACAGAGTTGAGCGACGCTTTACACAGAGCAGACTTGAAACACTCTTTTTGTGGAATTTGCAAATGGAGATTTCAGCCGCTTTGAGGTCAATGGTTGAAAAGGAAATATCTTCATATAAAAATTTGACAGAATCATTCTCAGAAACTGCTCTGCGATGTGTGCGTTCAACTCTCAGAGTTTAACTTTTCTTTTCATTCAGCAGTTTGGAAACACTCTGTTTGTAAAGCCTGCACGTGGATATTTTGACCACTTAGAGGCCTTCGTTGGAAACGGGTTTTTTTCCTGTAAGGCTAGACAGAAGAATTCCCAGTAACTTCCTTGTGTTGTGTGCATTCAACTCACAGAGTTGAACGTTCCCTTAGACAGAGCAGATTGGAAACACTCTACTTGTGCAATTTGCAAGTGTAGATTTCAAGCGCTTTAAGGTCAATGGCAGAAAAGGAAATATCTTCGTTTCAAAACTAGACAGAATCATTCCCACAAACTGCGTTGTGATGTGTTCGTTCAACTCACAGAGTTTAACCTTTCTGTTCATAGAGCAGTTAGGAAACACTCTGTTTGTAAAGTCTGTAAGTGGATATTCTGACATCTTGTGGCGTTCGTTGGAAACGGGATTTCTTCATATTCTGCTAGAGAGAAGAATTCTCAGTAACTTCCTTGTGTTGTGTGTATTCAACTCACAGAGTTGAATGATGCTTTACACAGAACAGACTTGAAACACTCTTGTTGTGGAATTTTAAAGTGGAGATTTCAGCCGCTTTGAGGTCAACGGTAGAATAGGTAATATCTTCCTATAGAAACTAGACAGAATGACTCTCAGAAACTCCTTTGTGATGTGTGCGTTCAACTCACAGAGTTTAACCTTTCTTTTCATAGAGCAGTTAGGAAACACTCTGTTTGTAATGTCTGCAAGTGGATATTCAGACCTCTTTGAGGCCTTCGTTGGAAACGGGATTTCTTCATATTATGCTAGACAGAAGAATTCCCAGTAACTTCCTTTTGTTGTGTGTGTTCAACTCACAGAGTTGAACTTTGATTTACACAGAGCAGATTTGAAACACTCTTTTTGTGGAATTTGCAAGTGGAGATTTCAAGCGCTTTGAGGCCAAAGGCAGAAAAGGAAATATCTTCGTATAAAAACTAGACAGAATGATTCTCAGAAACTCCTTTGTGATGTGTGCGATCAACTCACAGAGTTTAACCTTTCTTTTCATAGAGCAGTTAGGAAACACTCTGTTTGTAAAGTCTGCAAGTGGATATTCAGACCTCTTTGAGGCCTTCGTTGGAAACGGGTTTTTTTCATATAAGGCTAGACAGAAGAATTCCCAGTAACTTTCCTTGTGTTGTGTGCGTTCAACTCACAGAGTTGAACTTTCATTTACACAGAGCAGATTTGAAACACTCTTTTTGTGGAATTTGCAAATGGAGATTTCAAGCGCTTTGAGGCCAAAGGCAGAAAAGGAAATGTACTTCGTTTCAAAACTAGACAGAGTGATTCTCATCAACTCCTTTGTGATGTGTGCGTTCAACTCACAGAGTTTAACCTTTCTTTTCATAGAGCAGTTAGGAAACACTCTGTTTGTAAAGTCTGCAAGTGGATATTCAGACCTCCTTGAGGCCTTCTTTGGAAACGGGATTTCTTCATATTCTGATAGACAGAAGAATTCTCAGTAACTTCCTTGTGTTGTGTGTATTCAACTCACAGAGTTGAACGATCCTTTACACAGAGCAGACTTGAAACACACTTTTTATGGAATTTGCAAGTGGAGATTTCAGCCGCTTTGAGGTCAAAGGTAGAAAAGGAAACTATGTTCGTATAAAGAGTAGACAGAATGATTCTCAGAAAATCCTTTGTGATGTGTGCGTTCAACTCACAGAGTTTAACTTTTCTTTTCATAGAGCAGTTAGGAAACACTCTGTTTGTAAAGTCTGCAAGTGGATATTCAGACCTCTTTGAGGCCTTCGTTGGAAACGGGATTTCTTCATATTATGCTAGACAGAAGAATTCTCAGTAACTTCCTTGTGTTGTGTGTATTCAACTGACAGAGTTGAACTTTCATTTAGAGAGAGCAGATTTGAAGCACTGTTTTTGTGGAATTTGCAAGTGGAGACTTCAAGTGCTTTGGGGCCAAAGGCAGAAAAGGAAATACCTTCGTATAAAAACTAGACAGAATCATTCTCCGAAACTGCTCTGCGATGTGTGCCTTCAGCGCTCAGAGTTTAACTTTTCTTTTCATTCAGCAGTTTGGAAACACTCTGTTTGTAAAGTCTGCACGTGGATATTTTGACCACTTAGAGGCCTTCGTTGGAAACGGGTTTTTGTCATGTAAGGCTAGACAGAAGAATTCCCAGTAACTTCCTTGTGTTGTGTGCATTCAACTCACAGAGTTGAACGTTCCCTTAGACAGAGCAGATTTGAAACACTCTATTTGTGCAATTTGCAAGTGTAGTTTTCAAGCTCTTTAAGGTCAACGGCAGAAAAGGAAATATCTTCGTTTCAAAACTAGACAGAATCATTCCCACAAACTGCGTTGTGATGTGTTCGTTCAACTCACAGAGTTTAACCTTTCCGTTCATAGAGCAGTTAGGAAACACTCTGTTTGTAAAGTCTGTAAGTGGATATTCTGACATCTTGTGGCCATCGTTGGAAACGGGATTTCTTCATATTCTGCTAGACAGAAGAATTCTCAGTAACTTCCTTGTGTTGTGTGTATTCAACTCACAGAGTTGAACGATCCTTTACACAGAGCAGACTTGAAACACTCTTTTTGTGGAATTTGCAAGTGGAGATTTCAGCCGATTTGAGGTCAATGGTAGAAAAGGAAATATCTTCGTAGAAAAACTAGACAGAATGATTCTCAGAAACTCCTTTGTGATGTGTGCGTTCAAATCACAGAGTTTAACTTTTCTTTTCATAGAGCAGTTAGGAAACACTCTGTTTGTAAAGTCTGCAAGTGGATATTCAGACCTCTTTGAGGCCTTCGTTGGAAACGGGATTTCTTCATATTATGCTAGACAGGAAAATTCCCAGTAACTTCCTTGTGTTGTGTGTGTTCAACTCACAGAGTTGAACTTTCATTTACACAGAGCAGATTTGAAACACTCTTTTTGTGGAATTTGCAAGTGGAGATTTCAAGCGCTTTGAGGCCAAAGGCAGAAAAGGAAATATCTTCGTATAAAAACTAGACAGAATCATTCTCAGCAACTGCTGCGTGATGTGTGCGTTCAACTCTCAGAGTTTACCTTTTCTTTTCATTCAGCGGTTTGGAAACACTATGTTTGTAAAGTCTGCACGTGGATATTTTGACCACTTAGAGGCCTTCGTTGGAAACGGGATTTTTTCATCTAAGGCTAGACAGAAGAATTCCCAGTAACTTCCTTGTGTTGTGTGCATTCAACTCACAGAGTTGAACGTTCCCTTAGACAGAGCAGATTTGAAACACTCTATTTGTGCAATTGGCAACTGTAGATTTCAAGCGTTTAAGGTCAATGGCAGAAAAGGAAATATCTTCGTTTCAAAACTAGACAGAATGATTCTCAGAAACTCCTTTGTGATGTGTGCGTTCAACTCACAGAGTTTAACCTTTCTTTTCATAGAGCAGTTAGGAAACACTCTGTTTGTAAAGTCTGCAAGTGGATATTCAGACATCTTTGAGGCTATAGTTGGAAACGGGATTTCTTCATGTTCTGCTAGACAGAAGAATTCTCAGAAACTTCCTTGTGTTGTGTGTTTTCAACTCACAGAGTTGAACGATGATTTACACAGAGTAGACTTGAAACACTCTTTTTGTGTAATTTGCAAGTGGAGATTTCAGCCGCTTTGAGGTCAATGGTAGAAAAGGAAATATCTTCGTATAAAAACTAGACAGAATGATTCTCAGAAACTCCTTTGTGATGTGTGCGTTCAACTCACAGAGTTTAACCTTTCTTTTCATAGAGCAGTTAGGAAACACTCTGTTTGTAAAGTCTGCAAGTGGATATTCAGACCTCTTTGAGGCCTTCGTTGGAAGCGGGATTTCTTCATGTTCAGGTAGACAGAAGAATTCTCAGTAACTTCCTTGTGTTGTGTGTATTCAACTCACAGAGTTGAACGATCCTTTCCACAGAGCAGACTTGAAACACTCTTTTTGTGGAATTTGCAAGTGGAGATTTCAGCCGCTTTGAGGTCAATAGTAGAAAAGGAAATATCTTTACAGAAAAACTAGACAGAATCATTCTCAGAAACTGCTGCGTGATGTGTGCGTTCAACTCTCAGAGTTTAACTTTTCTTTACATTCAGCGGTTTGGAAACACTCTGTTTGTAAAGTCTGCACGTGGATATTTTGACCACTTAGAGGCCTTCGTTGGAAACGGGATTTTTTCATGTAAGGCTAGACAGAAGAATTCCCAGTAACTTCCTTGTGTTGTGTACATTCAACTCACAGAGTTGAAAGTTCCCTTAGACAGAGCAGATTTGAAACACTCTTTTTGTGCAATTGGCAAGTGGAGATTTCAAGCGCTTTAAGGTCAATGGCAGAAAAGGAAATATCTTCGTTTCAAAACTAGACAGAATCATTCCCACAAACTGCGTTGTGATGTGTTCTTTCAACTCACAGAGTTTAACCTTTCTTTTCATAGAGCAGTTAGGAAACAGTCTGTTTGTAAATTCTGTAAGTAGATATTCTGACATCTTGTGGCCTTCGTTGGAAACGGGATTTCTTCATATTCTGCTAGACAGAAGAATTCTCAGTAACTTCCTTGTGTTGTGTGTATTCAACTCACCGAGTTGAACGATCCTTTACACAGAGCAGACTTGAAACACTCTTTTTGTGGAATTTGCAAGTGGAGATTTCAGCCGCTTTGAGGTCAATGGCAGAAAAGGAAATATCTTCCTATAGAAACTAGACAGAATGATTCTCAGAAAATCTTTTGTGATGTGTGCGTTCAACTCACAGAGTTTAACTTTTCTTCTCATAGAGCAGTTAGGAAAGACTCTGTTTGTAAAGTCTGCAAGTGGATATTCAGACCTCTTTGAGGTCTTCGTTGGAAACGGGATTTCTTCATATTATGCTAGACAGAAGAATTCCCAGTAACTTCCTTGAGTTGTGTGTATTGAACTCACAGAGTTGAACTTTCATTTACACAGAGCAGATTTGAAACACTCTTTTTGTGGTATTTGCAAGTGGAGATTTCAGCGGCTTTGGTGTCAATGATAGAAAAGGAAATATCTTCGTATAAAAACTAGACAGAATCATTCTCAGAAACTGCTGCGTGATGTGTGCGTTCAACTCTCAGAGTTTAACTTTTCTTTTCAGTCAGCGGTTTGGAAACACTCTGTTTGTGAAGTCTGCACGTGGATATTTTGACCACTTAGAGGCCTTCGTTGGAAACGGGTTTTTTGCATGTAAGGCTAGACAGAAGAATTCCCAGTAACTTCCTTGTGTTGTGTGTATTCAACTCACAGAGTTGAACGATCTTTTACACAGAGCAGACTTGAAACACTCTATTTGTGCAATTTGCAAGTGTAGATTTCAAGCGCTTTAAGGTCAATGGCAGAAAAGGAAATATCTTCGTTTCAAAACTAGACAGAATCATTCTCAGAAACTGCTCTGTGATGTGTGCGTTCAACTCTCAGAGTTAAACTTTTCTTTTCATTCAGCAGTTTGGAAACACTCTGTTTGTAAAGTCTGCACGTGGATAATTTGACCACTTAGAGGCCTTCGTTGGAAACGGGTTTTTTTCATGTAAGGCTAGACAGAAGAGTTCTCAGTAACTTCCTTGTGTTGTGTGTATTCAACTCACACAGTTGAACGATCCTTTACAGAGAGCAGACTTGTAACACTCTTTTTGTGGAATTTGCAAGTGGAGATTTCAGCCGCTTTGAAGTCAAAGTAGAAAAGGAAATATCTTCCTATAAAAACTAGACAGAATGATTCTCAGAAACTCCTTTGTGCTGTGTGCGTTCAACTCACAGAGTTTAACCTTTCTTTTCATAGAGCAGTTAGGAAACACTCTGTTTGTTAAGTCTGCAGGTGGATATTCAGACCTCTTTGAGGCCTTCGTTGGAAGCGGGATTTCTTCATATTATGCTAGACAGAAGAATTCCCAGTAACTTCCTTGTGTTGTGTGTGTTCAACTCACAGAGTTGAACTTTGATTTACACAGAGCAGATTTGAAACACTCTTTTTGTGGAATTTGCAAGTGGAGATTTCAAGCGCTTTGAGGCCAAAGGCAGAAAAGGAAATATCTTCGTATAAAAACTGGACAGAATCATTCTCAGAAACTGCTCTGCGATGTGTGCGTTCAACTCTCAGAGTTTAACTTTTCTTTTCATTCAGCAGTTTGGAAACACTCTGTTTGTAAAGTCTGCACGTGGATAACTTGACCAGTTAGAGGCCTTCGATGGAAACGGGTTTTTTTCATGTAAGGCTAGACAGAAGAATTCCCAGTAACTTCCTTGTGTTGTGTGCATTCAACTCACAGAGTTGAACGTTCCCTTCGACAGAGCAGATTTGAAACACTCTATTTGTGCAATTTGCAAGTGTAGATTTCAAGCGCTTTAAGGTCAACGGCAGAAAAGGAAATATCTTCGTTTCAAAACTAGACAGAATGATTCTCAGAAACTCCTTTGTGATGTGTGCGTTCAACTCACAGAGTTTAACCTTTCTTTTCATAGAGCAGTTAGGAAACACTCTGTTTGTAAAGTCTGCAAGTGGATATTCAGAAATCTTTCAGGCTTTCGTTGGAAAAGGGATTTCTTCATATTCTGCTAGACAGAAGAATTCTCAGAAAGTTCGTTGTGTTGTGTGTTTTCAACTCACAGAGTTCAACGATCCTTTACACAGAGTAGACTTGAAACACCCTTTTTGTGGAATTGGCAGGGTGGAGATTTCAGCCGCTTTGAGGTCAATGGTAGAATAGGAAATATCTTCGTATAAAAACTAGACAGAATGATTATCAGAAACTCCTTTGTGATGTGTGCGTTCAACTCACAGAGTTTAACCTTTCTTTTCATAGAGCAGTTAGGAAACACTCTGTTTGTAAAGTCTGCAAGTGGATATTCAGACCTCCTTGAGGCCTTCGTTGGAAACGGGATTTCTTCATATTATGCTAGACAGAAGAATTCCCAGTAACTTCCTTGTGTTGTGTGTGTTCAACACACAGAGTTGAACTTTCATTTACCCAGAGCAGATTTGAAACACTCTTTTTGTGGAATTTGCAAGTGGAGATTTCAAGCGCTTTGAGGCCAAAGGCAGAAAAGGAAATATCTTCGTTTCAAAACTAGACAGAATCATTCTCAGAAACTGCTGCGTGATATGTGCGTTCAACTCTCAGAGTTTAACTTTTCTTTTCATTCAGCGGTTTGGAAACACTCTGTTTGTAAAGTCTGCACGTGGATATTTTGACCACTTAGAGGCCTTCGTTGGAAACGGGTTTTTTTCATGTAAGGCTAGACAGAAGAATTCCCAGTAACTTCCTTGTGTGGGGTGCATTCAACTCACAGAGTTGAACGTTCTCTTAGACAGAGCAGATTTGAAACACTCTATTTGTGCAATTTGCAAGAGTAGATTTCAAGCGCTTTAAGGTCAATGGCAGAAAAGGAAATATCTTCGTTTCAAAACTAGACAGAAATCATTCCCACAAACTGCGTTGTGATGTGTTCGTTCAACTCACAGAGTTTAACCTTTCTTTTCATAGAGCAGTTAGGAAACAGTCTGTTTGTAAATTCTGTAAGTGGATATTCTGACATCTTGTGGCCTTCGTTGGAAACGGGATTTCTTCATATTCTGCTAGACAGAAGAATTCTCAGTAACTTCCTTGTGTTGTGTGTATTCAACTCACAGAGTTGAACGATCCTTTACACAGAGCAGACTTGAAACACTCTTTTTGTGGAATTTGCAAGTGGAGGTTTCAGCCGCTTTGAGGTCAATAGTAGAAAAGGAAATATCTTCCTAGAAAAACTAGACAGAATGATTCTCAGAAACTCCTTTGTGATGTGTGCGTTCAACTCACACAGTTTAACCTTTCTTTTCATAGAGCAGTTAGGAAACACTCTGTTTGTAAAGTCTGCAAGTGGATATTCAGACCTCCTTGAGGCATTCGTTGGAAACGGGATTTCTTCATATTCTGCTAGACAGAAGAATTCTCAGTAACTTCCTTGTGTTGTGTGTATTCAACTCACAGAGTTGAACGATCCTTTACACAGAGCAGACTTGAAACACTCTTTTTGTGGAATTTGCAAGTGGAGATTTCAGCCGCTTTGAGTTCAATGGTAGAATAGGAAATATCTTCATATAGAAACTAGACAGAATCATTCTCAGAAACTGCTCTGCGATGTGTGCGTTCAACTCTCAGAGTTTAACTTTTCTTTTCATTCAGCAGTTTGGAAACACTCTGTTTGTAAAGTCTGCACGTGCATAATTTGACCACTTAGAGGCCTTCGTTGGAAACGGGTTTTTTTCATGTAAGGCTAGACAGAAGAATTCTCAGTAACTTCCTTGTGTTGTGTGTATTCAACTCACAGAGTTGAACGATCCTTTACACAGAGCAGACTTGTAACACTCTTTTTGTGGAATTTGCAAGTGGAGATTTCAGCCGCTTTGAAGTCAAAGGTAGAAAAGGAAATATCTTGCTATAAAAACTAGACAGAATCATTCCCACAAACTGCTTTGTGATGTGTTGGTTCAACTCACAGAGTTTATCCTTTCTGTTCATAGAGCAGTTAGGAAACACTCTGTTTGTAAAGTCTGTAAGTGGTTATAATGATATCTTGTGGCCTTCGTTGGAAACGGGATTTCTTCATATTCTGCTAGACAGAATAATTCTCAGTAACTTCCTTGTGTTGTGTGTATTCAACTCACAGAGTTGAACGATCCTTTACACAGAGCAGACTTGAAACACTCTTTTTGTGGAATTTGCAACTGGAGATTTCAGCCGCTTTGAGGTCAATGGTAGAATAGGAAATATCTTCCTATAGAAACTAGACAGAATGATTCTCAGAAACTCCTTTGTGATGTGTGCGTTCAACTCACAGAGTTCAACCTTTCTTTTCATAGAGCAGTTGGGAAACACTCTGTTTGTAAAGTCTGCAAGTGGATATTCAGACTTCTTTGAGGCCTTCGTTGGAAGCGGGGTTTCTTCATGTTCTGCTAGACAGAAGAATTCCCAGTAACTTCCCTGTGTTGTGTGTGTTCAACTCACAGAGTTGAACTTTCATTTACACAGAGCAGATTTGAAACACTCTTTTTGTGGAATTTGCAAATGGAGATTTCAAGCGCTTTGAGGCCAAAGGCAGAAAAGGAAATATCTTCGTTTCAAAACTAGACAGAATCATTCTCAGTAAACTGCTGCGTGATGTGTGCGTTCAACTCTCAGAGTTTAACTTTTCTTTTCATTCAGCGGTTTGGAAACCCTCTGTTTGTAAAGTCTGCACGTGGATATTTTGACCACTTAGAGGCCTTCGTTGGAAACGGGTTTTTTTTCATGTAAGGCTAGACAGAAGAATTCCCAGTAACTTCCTTGTTTTGTGTACATTCAACTCACAGAGTTGAACGTTCCCTTAGACAGAGCAGATTTGAAATACTCTTTTTGTGCAATTGGCAAGTGGAGATTTCAAGCGCTTTAAGGTCAATGGCAGAAAAGGAAATATCTTCGTTTCAAAACTAGACAGAATCATTCCCACAAACTGCGTTGTGATGTGTTCGTTCAACTCACAGAGTTTAACCTTTCTTTTCATAGAGCAGTTAGGAAACAGTCTGTTTGTAAATTCTGTAAGTGGATATTCTGACATCTTGTGACCTTCGTTGGAAACGGGATTTCTTCATATTCTGCTAGACAGAAGAATTCTCAGTAACTTCCTTGTGTTGTGTGTATTCAACTCACAGAGTTGAACGATCCTTTACACAGAGCAGACTTGAAACACTCCTTTTGTGGAATTTGCAAGTGGAGATTTCAGCCGCTTTGAGGTCAATGGTAGAACAGGAAATATCTTCCTATAGAAACTAGACAGAATGATTCTCAGAAACTCCTTTGTGATGTGTGCGTTCAACTCACAGAGTTTAACCTTTCTTTTCATAGAGCAGTTAGGAAACACTCTGTTTGTAAAGTCTGCAAGTGGATATTCAGACCTCCTTGATGGCCTTCGTTGGAAAAGGGATTTCTTCATATTATGCTAGACAGAAGAATTCCCAGTAACTTCTTTGTGTTGTGTGTGTTCAACTCACACAGTTGAACTTTCATTTACACAGAGCAGATTTGAAACACTCTTTTTGTGGAATTTGCAAGTGGAGATTTCAAGCGCTTTGAGGCCAAAGGCAGAAAAGGAAATATCTTCGTTTCAAAACTAGACAGAATCATTCTCAGAAACTGCTGCGTGATGTGTGCGTTCAACTCTCAGAGTTTAACTTTTCTTTTCATTCAGCGGTTTCGAAACTCTCTGTTTGTAAAGTCTGCACGTGGATATTTTGACCACTTAGAGGCCTTCGTTGGAAACGAGTTTTTTTCATGTAAGGCTAGACAGAAGAATTCCCAGTAACTTCCTTGTGTTGTGTGCATTCAACTCACAGAGTTGAACGTTCCCTTAGACAGAGCAGATTTGAAACACTCTATTTGAGCAATTTGCAAGTGTAGATTTCAAGCGCTTTAAGGTCAATGGCAGAAAAGGAAATATCTTCGTTTCAAAACTAGACAGAATCATTCCCACAAACTGCGTTGTGATGTGTTCGTTCAACTCACAGAGTTTAACCTTTCTTTTCATAGAGCAGTTAGGAAACAGTCTGTTTGTAAATTCTGTAAGTGGATATTCTGACATCTTGTGGCCTTCGTTGGAAACGGGATCTCTTCATATTCTGCTAGACAGAAGAATTCTCAGTAACTTCCTTGTGTTGTGTGTATTCAACTCACAGAGTTGAACGATCCTTTACACAGAGCAGAATTGAAACATTCTTTTTGTGGAATTTGCAAGTGGAGATTTCAGCCGCTTTGAGGTCAATGGTAGAATAGGAAATATCTTCCTATAGAAACTAGACAGAATGATTCTCAGAAACTCCTTTGTGATGTGTGTGTTCAACTCACAGAGTTTAACCTTTCTTTTCATAGAGCAGTTAGGAAACACTCTGTTTGTAAAGTCTTCAAGTGGATATTCAGACCTCTTTGAGGCCTTCGTTGGAAACGGGTTTTTTTCATATAAGGCTAGACAGAAGAATTCCCAGTAACTTCCTTGTGTTGTGTGTGTTCAACTCACAGAGTTGAACTTTCATTTACACAGAGCAGATTTGAAACACTCTTTTTGTGGAATTTGCAAATGCAGATTTCAGCCGCGTTGAGGTCAATGGTAGAAAAGGAAATATCTTCGTTTCAAAACTAGACAGAATCATTCTCAGAAACTGCTCTGCGATGTGTGCGTTCAACTCTCAGAGTTTAACTTTTCTTTTCATTCAGCAGTGTGGAAACACTCTGTTTGTAAAGTCTGAAGGTGGATATTTTGACCACTTAGAGGCCTTCGTTGGAAACGGGTTTTTTTCCTGTAAGGCTAGACAGAAGAATTCTCAGTAACTTCCTTGTGTTGTGTACATTCAACTCACAGAGTTGAACGTTCCCTTAGACAGAGCAGATTTGAAACACTCTTTTTGTGCAATTGGCAAGTGGAGATTTCAAGCGCTTTAAGGTCAATGGCAGAAAAGGAAATATCTTCGTTTCAAAACTAGACAGAATCATTCCAACAAACTGCGTTGTGATGTGTTCGTTTAACTCACAGAGTTTAACCTTTCTTTTCATAGAGCAGTTAGGAAACAGTCTGTTTGTAAATTCTGTAAGTGGATATTCTGACATCTTGTGGCCTTCGTTGGAAACGGGATTTCTTCATATTCTGCTAGACAGAAGAATTCTCAGAATCTTCCTTGTGTTGTGTGTATTCAACTCACAGCAGTTGAACGATGGTTTACACAGAGCAGATTTGAAACACTCTTTTTGTGGAATTTGCAAGTGGAGATTTCAGCCGCTTTGAGGTCAATGGTAGAAAAGGAAATATCTTCGTATAAAAACTAGACAGAGAGAGATTCTCAGAACTCCTTTGTGATGTGTGCGTTCAACTCACAGAGTTCAACCTTTCTTTTCATAGAGCAGTTGGGAAACACTCTGTTTGTAAAGTCTGCAAGTGGATATTCAGACTTCTTTGAGGCCTTCGTTGGAAGCGGGATTTCTTCATATTCTGCTAGACAGAGAATTCTCAGTAACTTCCTTGTGTTTTGTGTATTCAACTGACAGAGTTGAAGTTTCATTTAGAGAGAGCAGATTTGAAACACTGTTTTTGTGGAATTTGCAAGTGGAGATTTCAAGCGCTTTGGGACCAAAGGCAGAAAAGGAAATATCTTCGTATATAAACTAGACAGAATCATTCTCAGAAACTGCTGCGTGATGTGTGCGTTCAACTCTCAGAGTTTAACTTTTCTTTTCATTCAGCCGTTTGGAAACACTCTGTTTGTAAAGTCTGCACGTGGAAATTTTGACCACTTAGAGGCCTTCGTTGGAAACGGGTTTTTTTCATGTAAGGCTAGACAGAAGAATTCCCAGTAACTTCCTTGTGTTGTGTGCATTCAACTCACAGAGTTGAACGTTCCCTTAGACCGAGCAGATTTGAAACACTCTATTTGTGCAATTTGCAAGTGTAGTTTTCAAGCTCTTTAAGGTCAACGGCAGAAAAGGAAATATCTTCGTTTCAAAACTAGACAGAATGATTCTCAGAAACTCCTTTGTGATGTGTGCGTTCCACTCACAGAGTTCAACCTTTCTTTTCATAGAGCAGTTGGGAAACACTCTGTTTGTAAAGTCTGCAAGTGGATATTCAGACTTCTTTGAGGCCTTCGTTGGAAGCGGGATTTCTTCATATTCTGCTAGACAGAAGAATTCTCAGTAACTTCCTTGTGTTGTGTGTATTCAACTCACAGAGTTGAATGATCCTTTACACAGAACAGACTTGAAACACTCTTGTTGTGGAATTTGCAAGTGGAGATTTCAGCCGCTTTGAGGTCAACGGTAGAATAGGAAATATCTTCCTATAAAAACTAGACAGAATGATTCTCAGAAACTCCTTTGTGATGTGTGCGTTCAACTCACAGAGTTTAACCTTTCTTTTCATAGAGCAGTTAGGAAACACTCTGTTTGTAAAGTCTGCAGGTGGATATTCAGACATCTTTGAGGCTTTCGTTGGAAACGGCATTTCTTCATATTCTGCTATACAGAAGAATTCCCAGTAACTTCCTTGTGTTGTGTGTGTTGAACTCACAGAGTTGAACTTTCATTTACACAGAGCAGATTTGAAACCCTCTTTTTGTGGAATTTGCAAGTGGAGATTTCAAGCGCTTTGAGGCCAAAGGCAGAAAAGGAAATATCTTCGTTTCAAAACTAGACAGAATGATTCTCAGAAACTCCTTTGTGATGTGTGCGTTCAACTCACAGAGTTTAACCTTTCTTTTCATAGAGCAGTTAGGAAACACTATGTTTGTAAAATCTGCACGTGGATATTTTGACCACTTAGAGGCCTTCGTTGGAAACGGGTTTTTTCATGTAAGGGTAGACAGAAGAATTCCCAGTAACTTCCTTGTGTTGTGTACATTCAACTCACAGAGTTGAACGTTCCCTTAGACAGAGCAGATTTGAAACACTCTTTTTGTGCAATTGGCAAATGGAGATTTCAAGCGCTTTAAGGTCAATGGCAGAAAAGGGAATATCTTCGTTTCAAAACTAGACAGAATCATTCCCACAAACTGCGTTGTGATGTGTTCGTTCAACTCACAGAGTTTAACCTTTCTTTTCATAGAGCAGTTAGGAAACACTCAGTTTGTAAAGTCTGCAAGTGGATATTCAGACCTCTTTGAGGCCTTCGTTGGAAACGGGATTTCTTCATACTGTGCTAGACAGAA
The DNA here is from genome assembly GCF_000001405.40 of Homo sapiens. Taxonomy (NCBI): domain Eukaryota; kingdom Metazoa; phylum Chordata; class Mammalia; order Primates; family Hominidae; genus Homo; species Homo sapiens. The sequence continues at coordinate 48,314,839 of NC_000005.10, forward strand.
GAATTCTCAGTAACTTCCTTGTGTTGTGTGTATTCAACTCACAGAGTTGAACGATCCTTTACAAAGAGCAGACTTGTAACACTCTTTTTGTGGAATTTGCAAGTGGAGATTTCAGCCGCTTTGAAGTCAAAGGTAGAAAAGGAAATATCTTCCTATAAAAACTAGACAGAATGATTCTCAGAAACTCCTTTGTGATGTGTGCGTTCAACTCACAGAGTTTAACCTTTCTTTTCATAGAGCAGTTAGGAAACACTCTGTTTGTAAAGTCTGCACGTGGATATTTGGACTTCTTTGAGGCCTTCGTTGGAAACGGGGTTTTTTCATGTAAGGCTAGATAGAAGAATTCCCAGTAACTTCCTTGTGTTGTGTGTCTTCAACTCACAGAGTTGAACTTTCATTTACACAGAGCAGATTTGAAACACTCTTTTTGTGGAATTTGCAAATGGAGATTTCAAGCGCTTTGAGGCCAAAGGCAGAAAAGGAAATATCTTCGTATAAAAACTAGACAGAATCATTCTCAGAAACTGCTGCGTGATGTGTGCGTTCAACTCTCAGAGTTTAACTTTTCTTTTCATTCAGCGGTTTGGAAACACTCTGTTTGTAAAGTCTGCACGTGGATATTTTGACCACTTAGAAGCCTTCGTTGGAAACGGGTTTTTTCATGTAAGGCTAGACAGAAGAATTCCCAGTAACTTCCTTGTGTTGTGTGCATTCAACTCACAGAGTTGAACGTTCCCTTAGACAGAGCAGATTTGAAACACTCTATTTGTGCAATTTGCAAGTGTAGATTTCAAGCGCTTTAAGGTCAAAGGCAGAAAAGGAAATATCTTCGTTTCAAAACTAGACAGAATGATTCTCAGAAACTCCTTTGTGATGTGTGTGTTCAACTCACAGAGTTTAACCTTTCTATTCATAGAGTAGTTAGGAAACACTCTGTTTGTAAAGTCTGCAAGTGGGTATTTTGACCTCTTTGAGACCTCCTTTGGAAACGGGTTTTTTTCATGTAAGGCTAGACAGAAGAATTCTCAGTAACTTCCGCGTGTTGTGTGTATTCAACTCACAGAGTTGAACGATCCTTTACACAGAGCAGACTTGTAACACTCTTTTTGTGGAATTTGCAAGTGGAGATTTCAGCCGCTTTGAAGTCAAAGGTAGAAAAGGAAATATCTTCCTATAAAAAATAGACAGAATGATTCTCAGAAACTCTTTTGTGGTGTGTGCGTTCAACTCACAGAGTTTAACCTTTCTGTTCATAGAGCAGTTAGGAAACACTCTGTTTGTAAAGTCTGCAAGTGGATATTCAGACCTCCTTGAGGCCTTCGTTGGAAACCGGATTTCTTCATATTCTGCTAGACAGAAGAATTCTCAGTAATTTCCTTGTGTTGTGTGTATTCAGCTGACAGAGTTGAACTTTCATTTAGAGAGAGCAGATTTGAAACACTGTTTTTGTGGAATTTGCAAGTGGATATTTCAAGCGATTTGAGGCCAAAAGCAGAAAAGGAAATATCTTCGTATAAAAACTAGACAGAATCATTCTCAGTAAACTGCTCTGCGATGTGTGCGTTCAACTCTCAGAGTTTAACTTTTCTTTTCATTCAGCAGTTTGGAAACACTCTGTTTGTAAAGTCTGCACGTGGATATTTTGACCATTTAGAGGCCTTCGTTGGAAACGGGTTTTTTTCTTGTAAGGCTAGACAGAAGAATTCTCAGTAACTTCCTTGTGTTGTGTGTATTCAACTCACAGAGTTGAATGATCCTCTACACAGAGTAGACTTGAAACACTCTTTTTGTGTAATTTGCAAGTGGAGATTTCAGCCGCTTTGAGGTCAATGGTAGAAAAGGAAATATCTTCGTATAAAAACTAGACAGAATGATTATGAGAAACTCCTTTGTGATGTGTGCGTTCAACTCACAGAGTTTAACCTTTCTTTTCATAGAGCAGTTAGGAAACACTCTGTTTGTAAAGTCTGCAAGTGGATATTCAGACCTCCTTGAGGCCTTCGTTGGAAACGGGATTTCTTCATATTATGCTAGACAGAAGAATTCTCAGTAACTTCCTTGTGTTGTGTGTATTCAACTCACAGAGTTGAACGATCCTTTACACAGAGCAGACTTGAAACACTCTTTTTGTGGAATTTGCAAGTGGAGACTTCAGCCGCTTTGAGGTCAATGGTAGAATAGGAAATATCTTCCTATAGAAACTAGACAGAATGATTCTCAGAAACTCCTTTGTGATGTGTGCGTTCAACTCACACAGTTTAACCTTTCTTTTCATAGAGCAGTTAGGAAACACTCTGTTTGTAAAGTCTGCAAGTGGATATTCAGACCTCCTTGATCCATTCGTTGGAAATGGGAATTCTTCATATTATGCTAGACAGAAGAATTCTCAGTAACTTCCTTTTGTTGTGTGTATTCAACTGACAGAGTTGAACTTTCATTTAGAGAGAGCAGATTTGAAACACTGTTTTTGTGCAATTTGCAAGTGGAGATTTCAAGCGCTTTGGGGCAAAAGGCAGGAAAGGAAATATCTTCGTATAAAAACTAGACAGAATCATTCTCAGAAACCGCTCTGTGATGTGTGCGTTCAACTCTCAGAGTTTAACTTTTCTTTTCATTCAGCAGTTTGGAAACACTCTGTTTGTAAAGTCTCCACGTGGATATTTTGACCACTTAGAAGCCTTCGTTGGAAACGAGTTTTTTTTCATGTAAGGCTAGACAGAAGAATTCCCAGTAACTTCCTTGTGTTGTGTGCATTCAACTCACAGAGTTGAACGTTCCCTTAGACAGAGCAGATTTGAAACACTCTATTTGTGCAACTTGCAAGTGTAGATTTCAAGCGCTTTAAGCTCAATGGCAGAAAAGGAAATATCTTCGTTTCAAAACTAGACAGAATCATTTCCACAAACTGCGTTGTGATGTGTTCCTTCAACTCACAGAGTTTAACCTTTCTTTTCATAGAGCAGTTAGGAAACACTCTGTTTGTAAACTCTGCAAGTGGATATTCAGACCTCTTTGAGGCCTTCGTTGGAAACGGGATTTCTTCATACTATGCTAGACAGAAGAATTCTCAGTAACTTCCTTGTGTTGTGTGTATTCAACTCACAGAGTTGAACGATCCTTTATACAGAGCAGACTTGAAACACTCTTTTTGTGGAATTTGCAAGTGGAGATTTCAGCCGCGTTGAGGTCAATGGTAGAAAAGGAAATATCTTCGTATAAAAACTAGACAGAATGATTCTCAGAAAATCTTTTGTGATGTGTGCGCTCAACTCACAGAGTTTAACTTTTCTTCTCATAGAGCAGTTAGGAAACACTCTGTTTGTAAAGTGTGCAAGTGGATATTCAGACCTCTTTGAGGCCTTCGTTGGAAACGGGATTTCTTCATATTATGCTAGACAGAAGAATTCTCAGTAACTTCCTTGTGTTGTGTGTATTCAACTGACAGAGTTGAACTTTCATTTAGAGAGAGCAGATTTGAAACACTGTTTTTGTGGAATTTGCAAGTGGAGATTTCAAGCGCTTTGGGGCCAAAGGCAGCAAAGGAAATATCTTCGTATAAAAACTAGACAGAATCATTCTCAGAAACTGCTGCGTGATGTGTGCGTTCAACTCTCAGAGTTTAACTTTTCTTTTGATTCAGCGGTTTGGAAACACTCTGTTTGTAAAGTCTGCACGTGGATATTTTGACCACTTAGAGGCCTTCGTTGGAAACGGGTTTTTTTCATGTAAGGCTAGACAGAAGAATTCCCAGTAACTTCCTTGTGTTGTGTACATTCAACTCCCAGAGTTGAACGTTCCCTTAGACAGAGCAGATTTGAAACACTCTTTTTGTGCAATTGGCAAGTGGTGATTTCAGCCGCTTTGGGGTCAATGGTAGAAAAGGTAATATCTTCGTATAAAAACTAGACAGAATCATTCCCACAAACTGCGTTGTGATGTGTTCGTTCAACTCACAGAGTTTAACCTTTCTGTTCACAGAGCAGTTAGGAAACACTCTGTTTGTAAAGTCTGTAAGTGGATATTCTGACATCTTGTGGCCTTCGTTGGAAACGGGATTTCTTCATATTCTGCTAGACAGAAGAATTCTCAGTAACTTCCTTCTGTTGTGTGTATTCAACTCACAGAGTTGAACGATCCTTTACACAGAGCAGTCTTGAAACACTCTTTTTGTGGAATTTGCAAGTGGAGATTTCAGCCGCTTTGTGGTCAATGGTAGAATAGGAAATATCTTCCTATAGAAACTAGACAGAATGATTCTCAGAAACTCCTTTGTGATGTGGGCGTTCAACTCACAGAGTTTAACCTTTCTTTTCATAGAGCAGTTAGGAAACACTCTGTTTGTAAAGTCTGCATGTGGATATTTGGACTTCTTTGAGGCCTTCGTTGGAAACGGGTTTTTTTCATGTAAGGCTAGACAGAAGAATTCCCAGTAACTTCCTTCTGTTGTGTGTGTTCGACTCACAGAGTTGAACTTTCATTTACACAGAGCAGATTTGAAACACTCTTTTTGTGGAATTTGCAAGTGGAGATTTCAAGCGCTTTGAGGCCAAAGGCAGAAAAGGAAATATCTTCGTTTCAAAACTAGACAGAATCATTCTCAGAAACTGCTGCGTGATGTGTGCGTTCAACTCTCAGAGTTTAACTTGTCTTTTCATTCAGCGGTTTGGAAACACTCTGTTTGTAAAGTCTGCACGTGGATATTTTGACCACTTAGAGGCCTTCGTTGGAAACGGGTTTTTTTCATGTAAGGCTAGACAGAAGAATTCCCAGTAACTTCCTTGTGTTGTGTGCATTCAAGTCACAGAGTTGAACGTTTCCTTAGACAGAGCAGAATTGAAACACTCTATTTGTGCAATTTGCAAGTGTAGATTTCAAGCGCTTTAAGGTCAATGGCAGAAAAGGAAATATCTTCGTTTCAAAACTAGACAGAATCATTCCCACAAACTGCGTTGTGATGTGTTCGTTCAACTCACAGAGTTTAACCTTCCTTTTCATAGAGCAGTTAGGAAACAGTCTGTTTGTAAATTCTGTAAGTGGATATTCTGACATACTTGTGGCCTTCGTTGGAAACGGGATTTCTTCATATTCTGCTAGACAGAGAGATTCTCAGTAACTTCCTTGTGTTGTGTGTATTCAACTCACAGAGTTGCACGATCCTTTACACAGAGCAGACTTGAAACACTCTTTTTGTGGAATTTGCAAGTGGAGATTTCAGCCGCGTTGAGGTCAATGGTAGAAGAGGAAATATCTTCGTATAAAAACTAGACAGAATGATTCTCATAAACTCCTTTGTGATGTGTGCGTTCAACTCACAGAGTTTAACCTTTCTTTTCATAGAGCAGTTAGGAAACACTCTGTTTGTAAAGTCTGCAAGTGGATATTCAGACCCCTTTGAGGCCTTCGTTGGAAACGGGATTTCTTCATATTCTGCCAGACAAAAGAATTCCCAGTAACTTCCTTGTGTTGTGTGTGTTCAACTCACAGAGTTGAACTTTGATTTACACAGAGCAGATTTGAAACACTCTTTTTGTGGAATTTGCAAATGGAGATTTCAAGCGCTTTGAGGCCAAAGGCAGAAAAGGAAATATCTTCGTATAAAAACTAGACAGAATCATTCTCAGAAACTGCTCTGCGATGTGTGCGTTCAACTCTCAGAGTTTAACTTTTCTTTTCATTCAGCAGTTTGGAAACACTCTGTTTGTAAAGTCTGCACGTGGATATTTTGACCACTTAGAGGTCTTCGTTGGAAACGGGTTTTTTTCCTGTAAGGCTAGACAGAAGAATTCCCAGTAACTTCCTTGTGTTGTGTGCATTCAACTCACAGAGTTGAACGTTCCCTTAGACAGAGCAGATTTGAAACACTCTATTTGTGCAATTTGCAAGTGTAGTTTTCACGCTCTTTAAGGTCAACGGCAGAAAAGGAAATATCTTCGTTTCAAAACTAGACAGAATCATTCCCACAAACTGCGTTGTGATGTGTGCGTTCAACTCACAGAGTTTAACTTTTCTTTTCATAGAGCAGTTAGGAAACACTCTGTTTGTAAAGTCTGCAAGTGGATATTCAGACCTCTTTGAGGCCTTCGTTGGAAACGGGATTTCTTCATATTCTGCTAGACAGAAGAATTCTCAGTAACTTCCTTGTGTTGTGTGTATTCAACTCACAGAGTTGAACGATCCTTTACACAGAGCAGACTTGAAACACTCTTTGTGTGGAATTTGCAAGTGGAGATTTCAGCCGCTTTGAGGTGAATGGTAGAAAAGGAAATATCTTCGTATAAAGACTAGACAGAATGATTCTCAGAAACTCCTTTGTGATGTGTGCGTTCAACTCACAGAGTTCAACCTTTCTTTTCATAGAGCAGTTGGGAAACACTCTTTTTGTAAAGTCTGCAAGTGGATATTCAGACTTCTTTGAGGCCTTCGTTGGAAGCGGGATTTCTTCATATTCTGCTAGACAGAAGAATTCCCAGTAACTTCCTTGTGTTGTGTGTGTTCAACTCACAGAGTTGAACTTTCATTTACACAGAGCAGATTTGAAACACTCTTTTTGTGGAATTTGCAAGTGGAGATTTCAAGCGCTTTGAGGCCAAGGCAGAAAAGGAAATATCTTCGTATAAAAACTAGACAGAATCATTCTCAGAAACTGCTCTGCGATGTGTGTGTTCACCTCTCAGAGTTTAACTTTTCTTTTCCTTCAGCAGTTTGGAAACACTCTGTTTGTAAAGTCTGCACGTGGATAATTTGACCACTTAGAGGCCTTCGTTGGAAACGGGTTTTTTTCATGTAAGGCTAGACAGAAGAATTCCCAGTAACTTCCTTGTGTTGTGTACATTCAACTCACAGAGTTGAACGTTCCCTTAGACAGAGCAGATTTGAAACACTCTTTTTGTGCAATTGGCAAGTGGAGATTTCAAGCGCTTTAAGGTCAATGGCAGAAAAGGAAATATCTTCGTTTCAAAACTAGGCAGAATGATTCTCAGAAACTTCATTGTGATGTGTGCGTTCAACTCACAGAGTTTAACCTTTCTTTTCATAGAGCAGTTAGGAAACACTCTGTTTGTAAACTCTGCAAGTGGATATTCTGACCTCATTGAGGCCTTCGATGGAAACGGGATTTCTTCATACTATGCTAGACAGAAGAATTCACAGTAACTTCCTTGTGTTGTGTGTATTCAACTCACAGAGTTGAACGATCCTTTACACAGAGCAGACTTGAAACACTCTTTTTGTGGAATTTGCAAGTGGAGATTTCAGCCGCTTTGAGGTCAATGGTAGAAAAGGAAATATCTTCGTATAAAAACTAGACAGAATGATTCTCAGAAACTCCTTTGTGATGTGTGCGTTCAACTCACAGAGTTTAACCTTTCTTTTCATAGAGCAGTTAGGAAACACTCTGTTTTTATAGTCTGCAAGTGGATATTCAGACATCTTTGAGGCCTTCGTTGGAAGCGGGATTTCTTCATATTCTGCTATACAGAAGAATTCTCAGTAACTTCCTTGTGTTGTGTGTATTCAACTGACAGAGTTGAACTTTCATTTAGAGAGAGCAGATTTGAAACACTGTTTTTGTGGAATTTGCAAGTGGAGATTTCAAACGCTTTGGGGCCAAAGGCAGAAAAGGAAATGTCTTCGTATAAAAACTAGACAGAATCATTCTCAGAAACTGCTCTGCGATGTGTGTGTTCAACTCTCAGAGTTTAACTTTTCTTTTCATTCAGCAGTTTGGAAACACTCTGTTTGTAAAGTCTGCACGTGGATATTTTGACCACTTAGAGGCCTTCGTTGGAAACGGGTTTTTTTCTTGTAAGGCTAGACAGAAGAATTCCTAGTAACTTCCTTGTGTTGTGTACATTCAACTCACAGAGTTGAACGTTCCCTTAGACAGAGCAGATTTGAAACACTCTTTTTGTGCAATTGGCAAGTGGTGATTTCAGCCGCTTTGAGGTCAATGGTATAAAAGGAAATATCTTCGTATTAAAACTAGACAGAATCATTCCCACAAACTGCGTTGTGATGTGTTCGTTCAACTCACAGAGTTTAACCTTTCTGTTCATAGAGCAGTTAGGAAACACTCTGTTTGTAAAGTCTGTAAGTGGATATTGTGACATCTTGTGGCCTTCGTTGGAAACGGGATTTCTTCATATTCTGCTAGACAGAAGAATTCTCAGTAACTTCCTTGTGTTGTGTGTATTCAACTCACAGAGTTGAATGATCCTTTACACAGAACAGTCTTGAAACACTCTTTTTGTGGAATTTACAAGTGGAGATTTCAGCCGCTTTGAGGTCAATGGTAGAATAGGAAATATCTGCCTATAGAAACTAGACAGAATGATTCTCAGAAACTCCTTTGTGATGTGTGCGTTCAACACACAGAGTTTAACTTTTCTTTTCATAGAGCAGTTAGGAAACACTCTGTTTGTAAGGTCTGCAAGTGGATATTCAGACCTCTTTGAGGCCTTCGTTGGAAACGGGATTTCTTCATATTCTGCTAGACAGAAGAATTCTCAGTAACTTCCCTGTGTTCTGTGTATTCAACTCAGAGAGTTGAACGATCCTTTACAGAGAGCAGACTTGAAACACTCTTTTTGTGGAATTTGCAAGTGGAGATTTCAGCCGCTTTGAGGTCAATGGTAGAAAAGGAAATATCTTCGTATAAAGACTAGACAGAATCATTCTCAGAAACTGCTCTGCGATGTGTGCGTTCAACTCTCAGAGTTTAACTTTTCTTTTCATTCAGCAGTTTGGAAACACTCTGTTTGTAAAGTCTGCACATGGATATTTTGACCACTTAGAGGCCTTCGTTGGAAACGGGTTTACTTTACCTGTAAGGCTAGACAGAAGAATTCCCAGTAACTTCCTTGCGTTGTGTACATTCAACTCACAGAGTTGAACGTTCCCTTAGACAGAGCAGATTTGAAACACTCTTTTTGTGCAATTGGCAAGTGGAGATTTCAAGCGCTTTAAGGTCAATGGCAGAAAAGGAAATATCTTCGTTTCAAAACTAGACAGAATCATTCCCACAAACTGCGTTGTGATGTGTTCGTTCAACTCACAGAGTTTAACCTTTCTGTTCATAGAGCAGTTAGGAAACACTCTGTTTGTAAACTCTGTAAGTGGATATTCTGACATCTTGTGGCCTTCGTTGGAAACGGGATTTCTTCACATTCTGCTAGACAGAGGAATTCTCAGAAACTTCCTTGTGTTGTGTGTATTCAACTCACAGAGTTGAACGATCCTTTACACAGAGCAGACTTGAAACACTCTTTTTGTGGAATTTGCAAGTGGAGATTTCAGCCGCTTTGAGGTCAATGGTAGAAAAGGAAATATCTTCGTATAAAAACAAGACAGAATGATTCTCAGAAACTCCTTTGTGATGTGTGCGTTGAACTCACAGAGTTTAACCTTTCTTTTCATAGAGCAGTTAGGAAACACTCTGTTTGTAAAGTCTGCAAGTGGATATTCATTCCTCTTTGAGGCCTTCGTTGGAAACGGGATTTCTTCATATTATGCTAGACAGAAGAATTCCCAGTAACTTCCATGTGTTGTGTGTGTTCAACTCACAGAGTTGAACTTTCATTTACACAGAGCAGATTTGAAACACTCTTTTTGTGGAATTTGCAAATGGAGATTTCAAGCGCTTTGAGGCCAAAGGCAGAAAAGGAAATATCTTCGTATAAAAATTAGACAGATTCATTCTCAGAAACTGCTCTGCGATGTGTGCGTTCAACTCTCAGAGTTTAACTTTTCTTTTCATTCAGCAGTTTGGAAACACTCTGTTTGTAAAGTCTGCACGTGGATAATTTGACCACTTAGAGGTCTTCGTTGGAAACGGGTTTTTTTCATGTAAGGCTAGACAGAAGAATTCCCAGTAACTTCCTTGTGTTGTGTGCATTCAACTCACAGAGTTGAACGTTCCCTTAGACAGAGCAGATTTGAAACACTCTATTTGTGCAATTTGCAAGTGTAGATTTCAAGCGCTTTAAGGTCAACGGCAGAAAAAGGAAATATCTTCGTTTCAAAACTAGACAGAACGATTCTCAGTAAACTCCTTTGTGATGTGTGCGTTGAACTCACAGAGTTTAACCTTTCTTTTCATAGAGCAGTTAGGAAACACTCTGTTTGTAAAGTCTGCAAGTGGATATTCAGACCTCTTTGAGGCCTTCGTTGGAAACGGGATTTCTTCATATTCTGCTAGACAGAAGAATTCTCAGAATCTTCCTTGTGTTGTGTGTATTCAACTCACACAGTTGAACGATGGTTTACACAGAGCAGATTTGAAACACTCTTTTTGTGGAATTTGCAAGTGGAGATTTCAGCCGCTTTGAGGTCCATGGTAGAAAAGGAAATATCTTCGTATAAAAACTAGACAGAATGATTCTCAGAAACTTCTTTGTGATGTGTGCGTTCAACTCACAGAGTTTAACCTTTCTTTTCATAGAGCATTTAGGAAACACTCTGTTTGTAAACTCTGCAAGTGGATATTCAGACCTGTTTGAGGCCTTCGTTGGAAACGGGATTTCTTCATACTATGGTAGACAGAAGAATTCTCAGTAACTTCCTTGTGTTATGTGTATTCAACTGACAGAGTTGAACTTTCATTTAGAGAGAGCAGATTTGAAACACTGTTTTTGTGGAATTTGCAAGTGGAGATTTCAAGCGCTTTGGGGCCAAAGGCAGAAAAGGAAATATCTTCGTATAAAAACTAGACAGAATAATTCTCAGAAACTGCTGCGTGATGTGTGCGTTCAACTCTCAGAGTTTAACTTTTCTTTTCATTCAGCGGTTTGGAAACACTCTGTTTGTAAAGTCTGCACGTGGATATTTTGACCACTTAGAGGCCTTCGTTGGAAACGGGTTTTTTTCATGTAAGGCTAGACAGAAGAATTCCCAGTAACTTCCTTGTGTTGTGTATGTTCAACTCACAGAGTTGAACTTTCATTTACACAGAGCAGATTTGAAACACTCTTTTTGTGGAATTTGCAAATGGAGATTTCAAGCACTTTGAGGCCAAAGGCAGAAAAGGAAATGTCTTCGTTTCAAAACTAGACAGAATCATTCCCACAAACTGCGTTGTGATGTGTTCGTTCAACTCACAGAGTTTAACCTTTCTGTTCATAGAGCAGTTAGGAAACACTCTGTTTGTAAAGTCTGTAAGTGGATATTCTGACATCTAGTGGCCTTCGTTGGAAACGGGATTTCTTCATATTCTGCTGGACAGAATAATTCTCAGTAACTTCCTTGTGTTGTGTGTATTCAACTCACAGAGTTGAACGATCCTTTACACGGAGCAGACTTGAAACATTCTTTTTGTGGAATTTGCAAGTTGAGATTTCAGCCGCTTTGAGGTCAATGGTAGAATAGGAAATATCTTCCTATAGAAACTAGACAGAAAGATTCTCAGAAACTCCTTTGTGATGTGTGTGTTCAACTCACAGAGTTTAACCTTTCTTTTCATAGAGCAGTTAGTAAACACTCTGTTTATAAAGTCTGCAAGTGGATATTCAGACCCCTTTGAGGCCTTCGTTGGAAACGGGATTTCTTCATATTATGCTAGACAGAAGAATTCTCAGTAACTTCCTTGTGTTGTGTGTATTCCACTCACAGAGTTGAACGATCATTTACACAGAGCAGATTTGAGACACTCTTTTTGTGGAATTTGCTAATGGAGATTTCAAGCGCTTTGAGGCCAAAGGCAGAAAAGGAAATATCTTCGTATAAAAACTAGACAGAATCATTCTCAGAAACTGCTCTGCGATGTGTGCGTTCAACTCTCAGAGTTTAACTTTTCTTTTCATTCAGCAGTTTGGAAACACTCTGTTTGTAAAGTCTGCACGTGGATAATTTGACCACTTACAGGCCTTCATTGGAAACGGGTTTTTTTCCTGTAAGGCTAGACAGAAGAATTCCCAGCAACTTCCTTGTATTGTGTGCATTCAACTCACAGAGTTGAACGATCCTTTACACAGAGCAGATTTGAAACACTCTATTTGTGCAATTTGCAAGTGTAGATTTCAAGCGCTTTGAGGTCAATGGCAGAAAAGGAAATATCTTCGTTTCAAAACTAGACAGAATCATTCCCACAAACTGCGTTGTGATGTGTTCGTTCAACTCACAGAGTTTAACCTTTCTGTTCATAGAGCAGTTAGGAAACACTCTGTTTGTAAAGTCTGTAAGTGGATATTCTGACATCTTGTGGCCTTCGTTGGAAACGGGATTTCTTCATATTATGCTAGAAAGAAGAATTCCCAGTAGCTTCCTTGTGTTGTGTGTATTCAACTCACAGAGTTGAATTTTCATTTACACAGCACAGATGTGAAACACTCTTGTTGTGGTATTTGCAATTGGAGATATCAGCCGCTTTGATGTCAATGATAGAAAAGGAAATATCTTCGTATAAAAACTAGACAGAATGATTCTCAGAAACTCCTTTGTGATGTGTGCGTTCAACTCACAGAGTTTAACCTTTCTTTTCATAGAGCAGTTAGGAAACACTCTGTTTGTAAAGTCTGCAAGTGGATATTCAGACCTCTTTGAGGCCTTCGTTGGAATCGGGATTTCTTCATATTATGCTAGACAGAAGGATTCCCAGTAACTTCCTTGTGTTGTGTGTGTTCAACTGACAGAGTTGAACTTTCATTTACAAAGAGCAGATTTGAAACACTCTTTTTGTGGAATTTGCAATTGGAGATTTCAAGCGCTTTGAGGCCAAAGGCAGAAAAGGAAATATCTTCGTATAAAAACTAGACAGAATCATTCTCAGAAACTACTGTGTGATGTGTGCGTTCAACTCTCAGAGTTTAACTTTTCTTTTCATTCAGCAGTTTGGAAACACTCTGTTTGTAAAGTCTGAACGTGGATATTTTGACCACTTAGAGGCCTTCGTTGGAAACGGGTTTTTTTCCTGTAAGGCTAGACAGAAGAATTCTCAGTAACTTCCTTGTGTTGTGTACATTCAACTCACAGAGTTGAACGATCCTTTACACAGAGCAGACTTGTAACACTCTTTTTGTGGAATTTGCAAGTGGAGATTTCAGCCGCTTTGAAGTCAAAGGTAGAAAATGAAATATCTTCCTATAAAAACTAGACAGAATGATTCTCAGAAACTCCTTTGTGATGTGTGCGTTCAACTCACAGAGTTCAACCTTTCTTTTCATAGAGCAGTTGGGAAACACTCTGTTTGTAAAGTCTGCAAGTGGATATTCAGACTTCTTTGAGGCCTTCGTTGGAAGCGGGATTTCTTCATGTTCTGTTAGACAGAAGAATTCTCAGTAACTTCCTTGTGTTGTGTGTATTCAACTCACAGAGTTGAACGATCCTTTACACAGAGCAGACTTGAAAGACTCTTTTTGTGGAATTTGCAAGTGGAGATTTCAGCCGCTTTGATGTCAATGGTAGAAAAGGAAATATCTTCGTATAAAGACTAGATAGAATGATTCTCAGAAACTCCTTTGTGATGTGTGCGTTCAACTCACAGAGTTTAACCTTTCTTTTCATAGAGCAGTTAGGAAACACTCTGTTTGTAAAGTCTGCAAGTGGATATTCAGGCATCCTTGAGGCTTTCGTTGGAAACGGGATTTCTTCATATTCTGCTAGAAAGAAGAATTCCCAGTAACTTCCTTGTGTTGTGTGTGTTCAACTCACAGAGTTGAACTTTCATTTACACAGAGCAGATTTGAAACACTCTTTTTGTGGAATTTGCAAGTGGAGATTTCAAGCGCTTTGAGGCCAAAGGCAGAAAAGAAGGAAATATCTTCGTATAAAAACTAGACAGAATCATTCTCAGAAACTGCTCTGTGATGTGTGCGTTCAACTCTCAGAGTTTAACTTTTCTTTTCATTCAGCAGTTTGGAAACACTCTGTTTGTAAAGTCTGCACGTGGATAATTTGACCACTTAGAGGCCTTCGTTGGAAACGGGTTTTTTTCATGTAAGGCTAGACAGAAGAATTCTCAGGAACTTCCTTGTGTTGTGTGTATTCAACTCACAGAGTTGTACGATCTTTTACACAGAGCAGACTTGAAACACTCTTTTTGTGGAATTTGCAAGTGGAGATTTCAGCCGCTTTGAAGTCAAAGGTACAAAAGGAAATATCGTCGTAAAAAAACTAGACAGAATCATTCCCACAAACTGCGTTGTGATGTGTTCGTTCAACTCACAGAGTTTAACCTTTCTGTTCATAGAGCAGTTAGGAAACACTCTGTAACGTCTGTAAGTGGATATTCTGACATCTTGTGGCCTTCGTTGGAAACGGGATTTCTTCATATTCTGCTAGAAAGAAGAATTCTCAGAATCTTCCTTGTGTTGTGTGTATTCAACTCACCGAGTTGAACGATCCTTTACACAGAGCAGACTTGAAACACTCTTTTTGTGGAATTTGCAAGTGGAGATTTCAGCCGCTTTGAGGTCCATGTTAGAAAAGGAAATATCTTCGTATAAAAACTAGACAGAATGATTCTCAGAAACTCCTTTGTGATGTGTGCGTTCAACTCACAGAGTTTAACCTTTCTTTTCATAGAGCAGTTAGGAAACACTCTGTTTGTAAAGTCTGCAAGTGGATATTCAGACCTCTTTGAGGCCTTCGTTGGAAACGGGTATTTTTCATATAAGGCTAGACAGAAGAATTCTCAGTAACTTCCTTGTGTTGTGTGTATACAACTCACAGAGTTGAACTTTCATTTAGAGAGAGCAGATTTGAAACACTGTTTTTGTGGAATTTGCAAGTGGAGATTTCAAGCGCTTTGGGGCCAAAGGCAGAAAAGGAAATATCTTCGTATAAAAACTAGACAGAATCATTCTCAGAAACTGCTCTGCGATGTGTGCGTTCAACTCTCAGAGTTTAACTTTTCTTTTCATTCAACAGTTTGGAAACACTCTGTTTGTAAAGTCTGCACGTGGATATTTTGACCACTTAGAGGCCTTCGTTGGAAACAGGTTTTTTTCATGTAAGGCTAGACACAAGAATTCCCAGTAACTTCCTTGTGTTGTGTACATTCAACTCACAGAGTTGAACGTTCCCTTAGACAGAGCAGATTTGAAACACTCTTTTTGTGCAATTGGCAAGTGGAGATTTCAAGCGCTTTAAGGTCAATGGCAGAAAAGGAAATATCTTCGTTTCTAAACTAGACAGAATGATTCTCAGAAACTCCTTTGTGCTGTGTGCGTTCAACTCACAGAGTTTAACCTTTCTTTTCATAGAGCAGTTAGGAAACACTCTGTTTGTAAAGTCTGCAAGTGGATATTCAGACATCTTTGAGGCTTTCGTTGGAAACGGGATTTCTTCATATTCTGCCAGACAGAAGAATTCTCAGAAACTTCCTTGTGTTGTGTGTATTCAACTCACAGAGTTGAACGATCGTTTACACAGAGCAGACTTGAAGCACTCTTTTTGTGGAATTTGCAAGTGGAGATTTCAGCCGCTTTGAGGTCAATGGTAGAAAAGGAAATATCTTCGTATAAAAACTAGACAGAATGATTCTCAGAAACTCCTTTGTGATGTGTGCGTTCAGCTCACAGAGTTTAACCTTTCTGTTCATAGAGCAGTTAGGAAACACTCTGTTTGTAAAGTCTGCAAGTGGATATTCAGACCTCCTTGAGGCCTTCGTTGGAAACGGGATTTCTTCATATTCTGCTAGACAGAAGAATTCTCAGTAACTTCCTTGTGTTGTGTGTAGTCAACTCACAGAGTTGAACGATCCTTTACACAGAGCAGACTTGAAACATTCTTTTTGTGGAATTTGCAAGTGGAGATTTCAGCCGCTTTGAGGTCAATGGTAGAATAGGAAATATCTTCCTATAGAAACTAGACAGAACGATTCTCAGAAACTCCTTTGTGATGTGTGCGTTCAACTCACAGAGTTTAACTTTTCTTTTCATAGAGCCGTTAAGAAACACTCTGTTTGTAAAGTCTGCAAGTGGATATTCAGACCTCTTTGAGGCCTTCGTTGGAAACGGGATTTCTTCCTATTCTGCTAGACAGAAGAATTCTCAGTCACTTCCTTGTGTTGTGTGTATTCAACTCACAGAGTTGAACGATCCTTTACAGAGAGCAGACTTCAAACACTCTTTTTGTGGAATTTGCAAGTGGAGATTTCAGCCGCTTTGAGGTCAATAGTAGAAAAGGAAATATCTTCGTATAAAAACTAGACAGAATCATTCTCAGAAACTGCTGCGTGATGTGTGCGTTCAACTCTCAGAGTTTAACTTTTCTTTTCATTCAGCGGTTTGGAAACACTCTGTTTGTAAAGTCTGCACGTGGATATTTTGACCACTTAGAGGCCTTCGTTGGAAACGGGTTTTTTTTCATATAAGGCTAGACAGAAGAATTCCCAGTAACTTCCTTGTGTTGTGTGCATTCAACTCACAGAGTTGAACGTTCCCTTAGACAGAGGAGATTTGAAACACTCTATTTGTGCAATTTGCAAGTGTAGATTTCAAGCGCTTTAAAGTCAATGGCAGAAAAGGAAATATCTTCGTTTCAAAACTAGACAGAATCATTCCCACAAACTGCGTTGTGATGTGTTCGTTCAACTCACAGAGTTTAACCTTTCTGTTCATAGAGCAGTTAGGAAACACTCTGTTTGTAAAGTCTGCAAGTGAATATTCAGACCTCCTTGAGGCCTTCGTTGGAAACGGGATTTCTTCATATTCTGCTAGACCGAAGAATTCTCAGTAACTTCCTTGTGTTGTGTGTATTCAACTCACAGAGTTGAATGTTCCTTTACACAGAGCAGACTTGAAACACTCTTTTTGTGGAATTTGCAAGTGGAGATTTCAGCCGCTTTGAGGTCAATGGTAGAAAAGTAAATATCTTCGTATGAAGACTAGACAGAATGATTCTCAGAAACTCCTTTGTGATGTGTGCGTTCAACTCACAGAGTTCAACCTTTCTTTTAATAGAGCAGTTGGGAAACACTCTGTTTGTAAAGTCTGCAAGTGGATATTCAGACTTCTTTGAGGCCTTCGTTGGAAGCGGGATTTCTTCATATTCTGCTAGACAGAAGAATTCTCAGTAACCTCCTTGTGTTGTGTGTATTCAACTCACAGTGTTGAACGACCCTTTACACAGAGCAGACTTGAAACACTCTTTTTGTGGAATTTGCAAGTGGAGATTTCAGCCGCTTTGAGGTCAATGGTAGAATAGGAAATATCTTCCTATAGAAACTAGACAGAATGATTCTCAGAAACTCCTTTGTGATGTGTGCGTTCAACTCACAGAGTTTAACCTTTCTGTTCATAGAGCAGTTAGGAAACACTGTGTTTGTAAAGTCTGCAAGTGGATATTCAGACCTCCTTGAGTCCTTCGTTGGAAACGGGATTTCTTCATATTCTGCTAGACAGAAGAATTCCCAGTAACTTCCTTGTGTTGTGTGCATTCAACTCACAGAGTTGAACGTTCCCTTAGACAGAGCAGATTTGAAACACTCTATTTGTCCAATTTGCAAGTGTAGATTTCAAGCGCTTTAAGGTCAACGGCAGAAAAGGAAATATCTTCGTTTCAAAACTAGACAGAATCATTCCCACAAACTGCGTTGTGATGTGTTCGTTCAACTCACAGAGTTTAACCTTTCTGTTCATAGAGCAGTTAGGAAACACTCTGTTTTTAAAGTCTGTAAGTGGATATTCTGACATCTTGTGGCCATCGTTGGAAACGGGATTTCTTCATATTCTGCTAGACAGAAGAATTCTCGGTAACTTCCTTGTGTTGTGTGTATTCAACTCACAGAGTTGAACGATCCTTTACACAGAGCAGACTTGAAACACTCTTTTTGTGGAATTTGCAAGTGGAGATTTCAGCCGCTTTGAGGTCAATGGTAGAAAAGGAAATATCTTCGTATGAAGACTAGACAGAATGATTCTCAGAAACTCCTTTGTGATGTGTGCGTTCAACTCACAGAGTTTAACTTTTCTTTTCATAGAGCAGTTAGACAACACTCTGTTTGTAAAGTCTGCAAGTGAATATTCAGACCTCTTTGAGGCCTTCGTTGGAAACGGGATTTCTTCATATAATGCTAGACAGAAGAATTCTCAGTAACTTCCTTGTGTTGTGTGTATTCAACTCACAGAGTTGAACGATCCTTTACACAGAGCAGACTTGTAACACTCTTTTTGTGGAATTTGCAAGTGGAGATTTCAGCCGCTTTGAAGTCAAAGGTAGAAAAGGAAATATCTTCCTATAAAAACTAGTCAGAATGATTCTCAGAAACTGCTTTGTGATGTGTGCGTTCAACTCACAGAGTTTAACCTTTCTTTTCATAGAGCAGTTAGGAAACACTCTGTTTGTAAAGTCTGCATGTGGATATTGAGACTTCTTTGAGGCCTTCGTTGGAAACGGGTTTTTTTCATGTAAGGCTAGACAGAAGAATTCTCAGTAACTTCCTTGTGTTGTGTGTATTCAACTCACAGAGTTGAACTTTCATTTAGAGAGAGTAGATTTGAAACACTGTTTTTGTGGAATTTGCAAGTGGAGATTTCAAGCGCTTTGGGGCCAAAGGCAGAAAAGGAAATATCTTCGTATAAAAACTAGACAGAATCATTCTCAGAAACTGCTGCGTGATGTGTGCGTTCAACTCTCAGAGTTTAACTTTTCTTTTCATTCAGCGGTTTGGAAACACTCTGTTTGTAAAGTCTGCACGTGGATATTTTGACCACTTAGAGGCCTTCGTTGGAAACGAGTTTTTTTCATGTAAGGCTAGACAGAAGCATTCCCAGTAACTTCCTTGTGTTGTGTGCATTCAACTCACAGAGATGAACGTTCCCTTAGACAGAGAAGATTTGAAACACTCTATTTGTGCAATTTGCAAGTGTAGATTTCAAGCGCTTTAAGGTCAATGGCAGAAAAGGAAATATCTTCGTTTCAAAACTAGACAGAATGATTCTCAGAAAATTCTTTGTGATGTGTGCGTTCAACTCACAGAGTTTAACCTTTCTTTTCATAGAGCAGTTAGGAAACACTCTGTTTGTAAACTCTGCAAGTGGATATTCAGACCTCTTTGAGGCCTTCGTTGGAAACGGGATTTCTACATACTATGCTAGACAGAAGAATTCTCAGTAACTTCCGCGTGTTGTGTGTATTCAACTCACAGAGTTGAACGATCCTTTACACAGAGCAGACTTGAAACACTCTTTTTGTGGAATTTGCAAGTGGAGATTTCAGCCGCTTTGAGGTCAATGGTAGAAAAGGAAATATCTTCCTATAAAAACTAGACAGAATGATTCTCAGAAACTCCTTTGTGATGTGTGCGTTCAACTCACAGAGTTCAACCTTTCTTTTCATAGAGCAGTTAGGAAACACTCTGTTTATAATGTCTGCAATTGGATATTCAGACCTCTTTGAGGCCTTCGTTGAAAACGGGATTTCTTCATATTCTGCTAGACAGAAGAATTCCCAGTAACTTCCTTGTGTTGTGTGTGTTCAACTCACAGAGTTGAACTTTCATTTACACAGAGCAGATTTGAAACACTCTTTTTGTGGAATTTGCAAATGGAGATTTCAAGCGCTTTGAGGCCAAACGCAGAAATGGAAATATCTTCGTATAAAAATTAGACAGAATCATTCTCAGAAACTGCTCTGCGATGTGTGCGTTCAACTCTCAGAGTTTAACTTTTCTTTTCATTCAGCAGTTTGGAAACACTCTGTTTGTAAAGTCTGCACATGGATAATTTGACCACTTAGAGGCCTTCGTTGGAAACGGGTTTTTTTCATGTAAGGCTAGACAGAAGAATTCCCAGTAACTTCCTTGTGTTGTGTGCATTCAACTCATAGAGTTGAACGTTCCTTAGAGAGAGCAGATTTGAAACACTCTATTTGTGCAATTTGCAAGTGTAGATTTCAAGCGCTTTAAGGTCAATGGCAGAAAAGGAAATATCTTCGTTTCAAAACTAGACAGAATGATTCTCAGAAACTTCTTTGTGATGTGTGCATTCAACTCACAGAGTTTAACCTTTCTTTTCATAGAGCAGTTAGGAAACACTCTGTTTGTAAACTCTGCAAGTGGATATTCAGACCTCTTTGAGGCCTTCGTTGGAAACGGGTTTTTTTCATATAAGGCTAGACAGAAGAATTCCCAGTAACTTCCTTGTGTTGTGTGTATTCAACTCACAGAGTTGAACGATCCTTTACACAGAGCAGACTTGTAACACTCTTTTTGTGGAATTTGCAAGTGGAGATTTCAGCCGCTTTGAAGTCAAAGGTAGAAAAGGAAATATCTTCCTATAAAAACTAGACAGAATGATTCTCGGAAACTCCTTTGTGATGTGTGCGTTCAACTCACAGAGTTTAACCTTTCTTTTCATAGAGCAGTTAGGAAACACTCTGTTTGTAAAGTCTGCAAGTGGATATTCAGACCTCTTTGAGGCCTTCGTTGGAAACGGGATTTCTTCATATTCTGCTAGACAGAAGAATTCCCAGTAACTTCCTTGTGTTGTGTGTGTTCAACTCACAGAGTTGAACTTTCATTTACACAGAGCAGGTTTGAAACACTCTTTTTGTGGTATTTGCAAATGGAGATTTCAAGCGCTTTGTGGCGAAATGCAGAAAAGGAAATATCTTCGTATAAAAACTAGACAGAATCATTCTCAGAAACTGCTCTGCGATGTGTGCGTTCAACTCTCAGAGTTTAACTTTTCTTTTCGTTCAGCAGTTTGGAAACACTCTGTTTGTAACGTCTGCACGTGAATAATTTGACCACTTAGAGGCCTTCGTTGGAAACGGGTTTTTTTCATGTAAGGCTAGACAGAAGAATTCCCAGTAACTTCCTTGTGTTGTGTACATTCAACTCACAGAGTTGAACGTTCCCTTAGACAGAGCAGATTTGAAACACTCTTTTTGTGCAATTGGCAAGTGGAGATTTCAAGCGCTTTGAGGTCAATGGCAGAAAAGGAAATATCTTCGTTTCAAAACTAGACAGAATGATTCTCAGAAACTCCTTTGTGATGTGTGCGTTCAACTCACAGAGTTTAACCTTTCTTTTCATAGAGCAGTTAGGAAACACTCTGTTTGTAAAGTCTGCAAGTGGATATTCAGACCTCCTTGAGGCCTTCGTTGGAAGCGGGATTTCTTCATATTATGCTAGACAGAATAATTCTCAGTAACTTCCTTGTGTTGTGTGTATTCAACTCACAGAGTTGAACGATCATTTACACAGAGCAGACTTGAAACACTCTTTTTGTGGAATTTGCAAGTGGAGATTTCAGCCGCTTGAGGTCAATGGTAGAAAAGGAAACTATCTTCGTATAAAGACTAGACAGAATGATTTTCAGAAACTCCTTTGTGATGTGTGCGTTCAACTCACAGAGTTTAACCTTTCTTTTCATAGAGCAGTTAGGAAACACTCTGTTTGTAAAGTCTGCAAGTGGATATTCAGACCTCCTTGAGGCCTTCTTTGGAAACGGGATTTCTTCATATTCTGATAGACAGAAGAATTCTCAGTAACTTCCTTTTGTGGTGTGTATTCAACTCACAGAGTTGAATGATCCTTTACACAGAACAGTCTTGAAACACTCTTTTTGTGGAATTTGCAAGTGGAGATTTCAGCCGCTTTGAGGTCAATGGTAGAATAGGAAATATCTTCCTATAGAAACTAGACAGAATTATTCTCAGAAACTCCTTTTTGATATGGGTGTTCAACTCACCGAGTTTAACCTTTCCTTTCATAGAGCAGTTAGGAAACACTCTGTTTGTAAAGTCTGCAAGTGGATATTTCCACCTCTTTGAGGCCTTCGTTGGAAACGGGTTTTTTTTCATGTAATTCTAGACAGAAGAATTCTCAGTAACTTCCTTGTGTTGTGTGTATTCAACTGACAGAGTTGAACTTTCATTTAGAGAGAGCAGATTTGTAACACTGTTTTTGTGGAATTTGCAAGTGGAGATTTCAAGAGCTTTGGGGCCAAAGGCAGAAAAGGAAATATCTTCGTATAAAAACTAGACAGAATCATTCTCAGAAACTGCGGCGTGATGTGTGCGTTCAACTCTCAGAGTTTAACTTTTCTTTTCATTCAGCGGTTTGGAAACACTCTGTTTGTAAAGTCTGCACGTGGATATTTTGACCACTTAGAGGCCTTCGTTGGAAACGGGTTTTTCTCATGTAAGGCTAGACAGAAGAATTCCCAGTAACTTCCTTGTGTTGTGTGCATTCAACTCACAGAGTTGAACGTTCCCTTAGACAGAGCAGATTTGAAACACTCTATTTGTGCAATTTGCAAGTGTAGATTTCAAGCGCTTTATGGTCAACGGCAGAAAAGGAAATATCTTCGTTTCAAAACTAGACAGAATGATTCTCAGAAACTGCTTTGTGATGTGTGCGTTCAACTCACAGAGTTCAACCTTTCTTTTCATAGAGCAGTTGGGAAACACTCTGTTTGTAAAGTCTGCAAGTGGATATTCAGACATCCTTGAGGCTTTCGTTGGAAACGGGATTTCTTCATATTCTGCCAGAAAGAAGAATTCTCAGAAACTTCCTGGTGTTGCGTGTTTTCAACTCACAGAGTTCAACGATCCTTTACACAGAGTAGACTTGAAAAACTCTTTTTGTTGAATTGGCCAGTGGAGATTTCAGCCGCTTTGAGGTCAATGGTAGAAAAGGAAATATCTTCGTATAAAAACTAGACTGAATGATTCTCAGAAACTCCTTTGTGATGTGTGCGTTCAACTCGCAGAGTTTAACCTTTCTTTTCATAGAGCAGTTAGGAAACACTCTGGTTGTAAAGTCTGCAAGTGGATATTCAGACCTCGTTGAGGCCTTCGTTGGAAACGGGATTTCTTCATATTATGCTAGACAGAAGAATTCCCAGTAACTTCCTTGTGTTGTGTGTGTTCAACTCACAGAGTTGAACTTTCATTTACACAGAGCAGATTTGAAACACTCTTTTTGTGGAATTTGCAAGTGGAGATTTCAAGCGCTTTGAGGCCAAAGGCAGAAAAGGAAATATCTTCGTTTCAAAACTACACAGAATCATTCTCAGAAACTGCTGCGTGATGTGTGCGATCAACACTCAGAGTTTAACTTTTCTTTTCATTCAGCGGTTTGGAAACACTCTGTTTGTGAAGTCTGCACGTGGAAATTTTGACAACTTAGAGACCTTCGTTGGAAACGGGATTTTTTCATGTAAGGCTAGACAGAAGAATTCCCAGTAACTTCCTTGTGTTGTGTGCATTCAACTCACAGAGTTGAACGTTCCCTTAGACCGAGCAGATTTGAAACACTCTATTTGTGCAATTTGCAAGTGTAGTTTTCAAGCTCTTTAAGGTCAACGGCAGAAAAGGAAATATCTTCGTTTCAAAACTATACAGAATCATTCCCACAAACTGCGTTGTGATGTGTTCGTTCAACTCACAGAGTTTAACCTTTCTGTTCATAGAGCAGTTAGGAAACACTCTGTGTGTAAAGTCTGCAAGTGGATATTCAGACCTCTTTGAGGCCTTCGTTGGAAACGGTATTTCTTCATATTATGCTAGACAGAATAATTCTCAGTAACTTCCTTGTGTTGTGTGTATTCAACTCACAGAGTTGAAGGATCCTTTGCAGAGAGCAGGCTTGAAACACTCTTTTTGTCGAATTTGCAAGTGGAGATTTCAGCCGCTTTGAGGTCAATGGTAGAATAGGAAATATCTTCTTATAGAAACTAGACAGAATGATTCTCAGAAACTCCTTTGTGATGTGTGAGTACAACTCACAGAGTTTAACCTTTCTTTTCATAGAGCAGTTAGGAAACACTCTGTTTGTAAAGTCTGCAAGTGGATATTCAGACCTCTTTGAGGCCTTCGTTGGAAACGGGTTTTTTTCATGTAAGGCTAGACAGAAGAATTCTCAGTAACTTCCTTGTGTTGTGTGTATTCAACTGACAGAGTTGAACTTTCATTTAGAGAGAGCAGATTTGAAACACTGTTTTTGTGGAATTTGCAAGTGGATATTTCAAGCGCTTTGGGGCCAAAGGCAGAAAAGGAAATATCTTCGTATAAAAACTAGACAGAATCATTCTCAGAAACTGCTCTGTGATGTGTGCGTTCAACTCTCAGAGTTTAACTTTTCTTTTCATTCAGCAGTTTGGAAACACTCTGTTTGTAAAGTCTGCACGTGGATAATTTGACCACTTAGAGGCCTTCGTTGGAAACGGGTTTTTTTCATGTAAGGCTAGACAGAAGAATTCCCAGTAACTTCCTTGTGTTGTGTGCATTCAACTCACAGAGTTGAACGTTCCCTTAGACAGAGCAGATTTGAAACACTCTATTTGTGCAATTTGCAAGTGTAGATTTCAAGCGCATTAAGGTCAATGGCAGAAAAGGAAATATCTTCGTTTCAAAATTAGACAGAAATCATTCCCACAAACTGCGTTGTGATGTGTTCGTTCAACTCACAGAAGTTTAACCTTTCTTTTCATAGAGCAGTTAGGAAACAGTCTGTTTGTAAATTCTGTAAGTGGATATTCTGACATCTTGTGGCCTTCGTTGGAAACGGGATTTCTTCATATTCTGCTAGACAGAACAATTCTCAGTAACTTCCTTTTGTTGTGTGCTTTCAACTCACAGAGTTGAACGATCCTTTACACAGAGCAGATTAGAAACACTCTTTTTGTGGAATTTGCATGTGGAGATTTCAGCCGCTTTGAGGTCAATGGTAGAAAAGGAAATATCTTCGTATAAAAACTAGACAGAATGATTCTCAGAAACTCCTTTGTGATGTGTGTGTTCAACTCACAGAGTTTAACCTTTCTTTTCATAGAGTAGTTAGGAAACACTCTGTTTGTAAAGTCTGCAATTGGATATTCAGACCTCTTAGAGGCCTTCGTTGGAAACGGGATTTCTTCATATTATGCTAGACAGAAGAATTCTCAGTAACTTCCTTGTGTTGTGTGCATTCATCTCACAGAGTTGAAAGATCCTTTACACAGAGCAGATTAGAAACAATATTTTTGTGGATTTTGCAAGTGGAGATTTCAGCCACTTTGAGGTCAATGGTAGAAAAGGAAATATCTTCGTATAAAAACTAGAGAGAATCATTCTCAGAAACTGCTCTGCGATGTGTGCGTTCAACTCTCAGAGTTTAACTTTTCTTTTCATTCAGCAGTTTGGAAACACTCTGTTTGTAAAGTCTGCACGTGGATAACTTGACCACTTAGAGGCCTTCGTTGGAAACGGGTTTTTTTCCTGTAAGGCTAGACAGAAGAATTCCCAGTAACTTCCTTGTGTTGTGTGCATTCAACTCACAGAGTTGAACGTTCCCTTAGACAGAGCAGATTTGAAACACTCTATTTGTCCAATTTGCAAGTGTAGATTTCAAGCGCTTTAAGGTCAACGGCAGAAAAGGAAATATCTTCGTTTCAAAACTAGACAGAATCATTCCCACAAACTTCGTTGTGATGTGTTCGTTCAACTCACAGAGTTTAACGTTTATTTTCATAGAGCAGTTAGGAAACACTCTGTTTGTAAACTCTTCAAGTGGATATTCAGACCTCTTTGAGGCCTTCGTTGGAAACGGGATTTCTTCATATTCTGCTAGACAGAAGAATTCTCAGTAACTTCCTTGTGTTGTGTGTATTCAACTCACAGAGTTGAACGATCCTTTACACAGAGCACACTTGAAACACTCTTTTTGTGGAATTTGCAAGTGGAGATTTCAGCCGCTTTGAGGTCAATGGGAGAAAAGGAAATATCTTCGTATAAAGACTAGACAGAATGATTCTCAGAAACTCCTTTGTGATGTGTGTGTTCAACTCACAGAGTTTAACCTTTCTTTTCATAGAGCAGTTAGGAAACACTCTGTAAAGTCTGAAAGTGGATATTCAGACCTCTTTGAGGCCTTCGTTGGAAACGGGATTTCTTCATATTCTGCTAGACAGAATAATTCTCAGTAACTTCCTTGTGTTGTGTGTATTCAACTGACAGAGTTGAACTTTCATTTAGAGAGAGCAGATTTGAAACACTGTTTGTGTGGAATTTGCAAGTGGAGATTTCAAGCGCTTTGGGGCCAAAGGCAGAAAAGGTAATATCTTCGTATAAAAACTAGACAGAATCATTCTCAGAAACTGCTGCGTGATGTGTGCGTTCAACTCTCAGAGTTTAACTTTTCTTTTCATTCAGCCGTTTGGAAACACTCTGTTTGTAACGTCTGCACGTGGATATTTTGACCACTTAGAGGCCTTCGTTGGAAACGGGTTTTTTGCATGTAAGGCTAAACAGAAGAATTCCCCAGTAACTTCCTTGTGTTGTGTGCATTCAACTCACAGAGTTGAACGTTCCCTTAGACAGAGCAGATTTGAAACACTCTATTTGTGCAATTTGCAAGTGTAGATTTCAAGCGCTTTAAGGTCAACGGCAGAAAAGGAAATATCTTCGTTTCAAAACTAGACAGAATCATTCCCACAAACTGCGTTGTGATGTGTTCGTTCAACTCACAGAGTTTAACCTTTCTTTTCATAGAGCAGTTAGGAAACAGTCTGTTTGTCAATTCTGTAAGTGGATATTCTGACATCTTGTGGCCTTCGTTGGAAACGGGATTTCTTCATATTCTGCTAGACAGAAGAATTCTCAGTAACTTCCTTGTGTTGTGTGTATTCAACTCACAGAGTTGAACGATCCTTTACACAGAGCAGACTTGAAACACTCTTCTTGTGGAATTTGCAAGTGGAGATTTCAGTCCGCTTTGAGGTCAATTGTAGAATAGGAAATATCTTCCTATAGAAACTAGACAGAATGATTCTCAGAAACTCCTTTGTGATGTGTGCGTTCAACTCACAGAGTTTAACCTTTCTTTTCATAGAGCAGTTAGGAAACACTCTGTTTGTAAAGTCTGCAAGTGGATATTCAGACCTCCTTGAGGCCTTCGTTGGAAACGGGTTTTCTTCATATTATGCTAGACAGAAGAATTCTCAGTAACTTCCTTGTGTTGTGTGTATTCAACTCACAGAGTTGAACGATCCTTTACACAGAGCAGACTTGAGACACTCTTTTTGTGGAATTTGCAAGTGGAGATTTCAGCCGCTTTGAGGTCAATGGTAGAATAGGAAATATCTTCCTATAGAAACTAGACAGAATGATTCTCAGAAACTCCTTTGTGATGTGTGCGTTCAACTCACAGAGTTTAACCTTTCTTTTCATAGAGCAGTTGGGAAACACTCTGTTTGTAAAGTCTGCAAGTGGATATTCAGACGTCTTTGAGGCCTTCGTTGGAAACGGGATTTCTTCATATTCTGCTAGACAGAAGAATTCCCAGTAACTTCCTTGTGTTGTGTGCATTCAACATCACAGAGTTGAACGTTCCCTTAGACAGAGCAGATTTGAAACACTATATTTGTGCAATTTGCAAGTGTAGATTTCAAGCGCTTTAAGGTCAATGGCGAGAAAAGGAAATATCTTCGTTTCAAAACTAGACAGAATGATTCTCAGAAACTCCTTTGTGATGTGTGAGTTCAACTCACAGAGTTTAACCGTTCTTTTCATAGAGCAGTTAGGAAACACTCTGTTTGTAAAGTCTGCAAGTGGATATTCAGACCTCTTTGAGGCCTTCGTTGGAAACGGGATTTCTTCATATTCTGCTAGACAGAAGAATTCTCAGTAACTTCCTTGTGTTGTGTGCATTCAACTCACAGAGTTGAACGATCCTTTACACAGGGCAGATTTGAAACACTCTTTTTGTGGAATTTGCAAGCGGAGATTTCAGCCTCTTTGAGGTTAATGGTAGAAAATGAAATATCTTCGTATAGAAACTAGACAGAATGATTCTCAGAAACTCCTTTGTGATGTGTGTGTTCAACTCACAGAGTTTAACCTTTCTTTTCATAGAGCAGTTTGGAAACACTCTGTTTGTAAAGTCTGCAAGTGGATATTCAGACCTCTTTGAGGCCTTCGTTGGAAACGGGTTTTTTTCATATAAGGCTAGACAGAAGAATTCCCAGTAACTTCCTTGTGTGTGTTCAACTCACAGAGTTGAACTTTCATTTACACAGAGCAGATTGGAAACACTCTTTTTGTGGAATTTGCAAAGGGAGATTTCAAGAGCTTTGAGGCCAAAGGCAGAAAAGGAAATATCTTCGTATAAAAACGAGACAGAATCATTCTCAGAAACTGCTGTGCGATGTGTGCGTTCAACTCTCAGAGTTTAACTTTTCTTTTCATTCAGCAGTTTGGAAACACTCTGTTTGTAAAGTCTGCACGTGGATAATTTGACCACTTAGAGGCCTTCGTTGGAAACGGGTTTTTTTCATGTAAGGCTAGACAGAAGAATTCTCAGTAACTTCCTTGTGTTGTGTGTATTCAACTCACAGAGTTGAACGATCCTTTACACAGAGCAGACTTGAAACACTCTTTTTGTGGAATTTGGAAGTGGAGATTTCAGCCGCTTTGAGTGTCAATGGTAGAATAGGAAATATCTTCCTATAGAAACTAGACAGAATGATTCTCAGAAACTCCTTTGTGATGTGTGCGTTCAACTCACAGAGTTTAACCTTTCTTTTCATAGAGCAGTTGGGAAACACTCTGTTTGTAAAGTCTGCATGTGGATATTCAGACATCCTTGAGGCTTTCGTTGGAAACGGGATTTCTTCATATTCTGCTAGAAAGAATAATTCTCAGTAACTTCCTTGTGTTGTGTGTATTCAACTCACAGAGTTGAACGATCCTTTACAGAGAGCAGACTTGAAACACTCTTTTTGTGGAATTTGCAAGTGGAGATTTCAGCCGCTTTGAGGTCAAAGGTAGAATAGGAAATATCTTCCTACAGAAACTAGACAGAACGATTCTCAGAAACTCCTTTGTGATGTGTGCGTTCAACTCACAGAGTTTAACCTTTCTTTTCATAGAGCAGTTAGGAAACACTCTGTTTGTAAAGTCTGCAAGTGGATATTCAGACCTCTTTGAGGTCTTCTTTGGAAACGGGATTTCTTCCTATTCTGCTAGACAGAAGAATTCCCAGTAACTTCCTTGTGTTGTGTGTGTTCAACTCACAGAGTTGAACTTTCATTTACACAGAGCAGATTTGAAACACTCTTTTTGTGGAATTTGCAAGTGGAGATTTCAAGCGCTTTGAGGCCAAGGCACAAAAGGATATATCTTCGTATAAAAACTAGACAGAATCATTCTCAGAAACTGCTCTGCGATGTGTGCGTTCAACTCTCAGCAGTTTAACTTTTCTTTTCATTCAGCAGTGTGGAAACACTCTGTTTGTAAAGTCTGCACGTGGATATTTTGACCACTTAGAGGCCTTCGTTGGAAACGGGTTTTTTTCCTGTAAGGCTAGACAGAAGAATTCCCAGTAACTTCCCTTGTGTTGTGTACATTCAACTCACAGAGTTGAACGTTCCCTTAGACAGAGCTGATTTGAAACACTCTTTTTGTGCAATTGGCAAGTGGAGATTTCTAGCGCTTTAAGGTCAATGGCAGAAAAGGAAATATCTTCGTTTCAAAACTAGACAGAATCATTCCCACAAACTGCGTTGTGATGTGTTCGTTCAACTCACAAGAGTTTAACCTTTCTTTTCATAGAGCAGTTAGGAAACAGTCTGTTTGTCAATTCTGTAAGTGGATATTCTGACATCTTGTGGCCTTCGTTGGAAACGGGATTTCTTCATATTCTGCTAGACAGAAGAATTCTCAGAAACTTCCTTGTGTTGTGTGTATTCAACTCACAGAGTAGAACGATCCTTTACACAGAGCAGACTTGAAACACTCTTTTTGTGGAATTTGCAAGTGGAGATTTCAGCCGATTTGAAGTCAATGGTAGAAAGGGAAATATCTTCGTATAGAAACTAGACAGAATGATTCTCAGAAAATCTTTTGTGTGTGTGCGTTCAACTCACAGAGTTTAACTTTTCTTCTCATAGAGCAGTTAGGAAACACTCTGTTTGTAAAGTGTGCAAGTGGATATTCAGACCTCTTTGAGGCCTTCGTTGGAAACGGGATTTCTTCATATTATGCTAGACAGAAGAATTCCCAGTAACTTCCTTGTGTTGTGTGTGTTCAACTCACAGAGTTGAACTTCCATTTACACAGAGCAGATTTGAAACACTCTTTTTGTGGAATTTGCAAGTGGAGATTTCAAGCGCTTTGAGGCCAAAGGCAGAAAAGGAAATATCTTCCTTTCAAAACTAGACAGAATCATTCTCAGAAACTGCTCTGCGATGTGTGCGTTCAACTCTCAGAGTTTAACTTTTCTTTTCATTCAGCAGTTTGGAAACACTCTGTTTGTAAAGTCAGCACGTGGATAATTTGACCACTTAGAGGCCTTCGTTGGAAACGGGTTTTTTTCATGTAAGGCTAGACAGAAGAATTCCCAGTAACTTCCTTGTGTTGTGTGCATTCAACTCACAGAGTTGAACGTTTCCTTAGACAGAGCAGAATTGAAACACTCTATTTGTGCAATTTGCAAGTGTAGATTTCAAGCGCTTTATGGTCAGTGGCAGAAAAGGAAATATCTTCGTTTCAAAACTAGACAGAATGATTCTCAGAAACTCCTTTGTGATGTGTGCGTTCAACTCACAGAGTTTAACCTTTCTTTTCATAGAGCAGTTAGGAAACACTCTGTTTGTAAAGACTGCAAGTGGATATTCAGACCTCTTTGAGGCCTTCGTTGGAAACGGGATTTCTTCATATTCTGCTAGACAGAAGAATTCTCAGTAACTTCCTTGTGTTGTGTGTATTCAACTCACAGAGTTGAACGATCCTTTACACAGAGCAGACTTGAAACATTCTTTTTGTGGAATTTGCAAGTGGAGATTTCAGCCGCTTTGACGTCAATGGTAGAATAGGAAATATCTTCCTATAGAAACTGGACAGAATGATTCTCAGAAACTCCTTTGTGATGTGTGGGTTCAACTCACAGAGTTTAACCTTTCTTTTCATAGAGCAGTTAGGAAACACTCTGTTTGTAAGGTCTGCAAGTGGATATTCAGACCTCTTTGAGGCCTTCGTTGGAAACGGGATTTTTTCATATAAGGCTAGACAGAGAATTCTCAGTAACTTCCTTGTGTTGTGTGTATTCAACTGACAGAGTTGAACTTTCATTTAGAGAGAGCAGATTTGAAACACTGTTTTTGTGGAATTTGCAAGTGGAGATTTCAAGCGCTTTGGGGCCAAAGGCAGAAAAGGAAATATCTTCGTATAAAAACTAGACAGAATCTTTCTCAGAAACTGCTCTGCGATGTGTGCGTTCAACTCTCAGAGTTTAACTTTTCTTTTCATTCAGCAGTTTGGAAACACTCTGTTTGTAAAGTCTGCACGTGGATATTTTGACCACTTAGAGGCCTTCGTTTGAAACGGGTTTTTTTCCTGTAAGGCTAGACAGAAGAATTCCCAGTAACTTCCTTGTGTTGTGTACATTCAACTCACAGAGTTGAACGTTCCCTTAGACAGAGCAGATTTGAAACACTCTTTTTGTGCAATTGGCAAATGGAGATTTCAAGCGCTTTAAGGTCAATGGCAGAAAAGGAAATATTCTTCGTTTCAAAACTAGACAGAATCATTCCCACAAACTGCGTTGTGATGTGTTCGTTCAACCCACAGAGTTTAACCTTTCTGTTCATAGAGCAGTTAGGAAACACTCTGTTTGTAAAGTATGAAAGTGGATATTCTGACATCTTGTGGCCTTCGTTGGAAACGGGATTTCTTCATATTCTGCTAGACAGAAGAATTCTCAGTAACTTCCTTGTGTTGTGTGTATTCAACTCACAGAGTTGAACGATCCTTTACACAGAGCAGACTTGAAACACTCTTTTTGTGGAATTTGCTTGTGGAGATTTCAGCCGCTTTGAGGTCAATGGTAGAAAAGGAAATATCTTCGTATAAAGAGTAGACAGAATGATTCTCATAAACTCCTTCGTGATGTGTGCGTTCAACTCACAGAGTTTAACCTTTCTTTTCATAGAGCAGTTAGGAAACACTCTGTTTGTAAAGTCTGCAAGTGGATATTCAGACCTCTTTGAGGCCTTCGTTTTAAACGGGATTTCTTCATATTATGCTAGACAGAAGAATTCCCAGTAACTTCCTTGTGTTGTGTGTGTTCAACTAATAGAGTTGAACTTTCATTTACACAGAGCAGATTGGAAACACTCTTTTTGTGGAATTTGCAAGTGGAGATTTCAAGCGCTTTGAGGCCAAAGGCAGAAAAGGAAATATCTTCTTATAAAAACTAGACAGAATCATTCTCAGAAACTGCTGCGTGATGTGTGCGTTCAACTCTCAGAGTTTAACTTTTCTTTTCATTCAGCGGTTTGGAAACACTCTGTTTTTAAAGTCTGCACGTGGAAATTTTGACCACTTAGAGGCCTTCGTTGGAAACGGGATTTTTTCATGTAAGGCTAGACAGAAGAATTCCCAGTAACTACCTTGTGTTGTGTACATTCAACTCACAGAGTTGAACGTTCCCTTAGACAGAGCAGATTTGAAGTACTCTTTTTGTGCAATTGGCAAATGGAGATTTCAAGCGCTTTAAGGTCAATGGCAGAAAAGGAAATATCTTCGTTTCAAAACTAGACAGAATCATTCCCACAAGCTGCGTTGTGATGTGTTCGTTCAACTCACAGAGTTTAACCTTTCTGTTCATAGAGCAGTTAGGAAACCCTCTGTTTGTAAAGTCTGCAAGTGGATATTCAGACCTCTTTGAGGCTTTCGTTGGAAACGGGATTTCCTCAAATTCTGCTAGACAGAAGAATTCTCAGTAACTTCCTTGTGTTGTGTGTATTCAACTCACAGAGTTGAATGATCCTTTACACAGAGCAGACTTGAAACACTCTTTTTGTGGAATTTGCAAGTGGAGATTTCAGCCGCTTTGAGGTCAATGGTAGAAAAGGAAACTGTCTTCATATAAAGAATAGACAGAATGATTCTCAGAAAATCTTTTGTGATGTGTGCGTTCAACCCACAGAGTTTAACCTTTCTTTTCATAGAGCAGTTAGGAAACACTCTGTTTGAAAAGTCTGCAAGTGGATATTCAGACCTCTTTGAGGCCTTCGTTGGAAACGGGATTTCTTCATATTATGCTAGACAGAAGAATTCCCAGTAACTTTCCTTGTGTTGTGTGTGTTCAACTCACAGAGTTGAACTTTCATTTACACAGAGCAGATTTGAAACACTCTTTTTGTGGAATTTGCAAGTGGAGATTTCAAGCGCTGTGAGGCCAAAGGCAGAAAAGGAAATATCTTCGTATAAAAACTAGACAGAATCATTCTCAGAAACTGCTCTGCGATGTGTGCGTTGAACTCTCAGAAGTTTAACTTTTCTTTTCATTCAGCAGTTTGGAAACACTCTGTTTGTAAAGTCTGCACGTGGATAATTTGACCACTTAGAGGCCTTCGTTGGAAACGGGTTTTTTTCATGTAAGGCTAGACAGAAGAATTCCCAGTAACTTCCTTGTGTTGTGTGCATTCAACTCACAGAGTTGAACGTTCCCTTAGACAGAGCAGATTTGAAACACTCTATTTGTGCAATTTGCAAGTGTAGATTTCAAGCGCATTAAGGTCAATGGCAGAAAAGGAAATATCTTCGTTTCAAAATTAGACAGAATCACTCCCACAAACTGCGTTGTGATGTGTTCGTTCAACTCACAGAGTTTAACCTTTCTTTTCATAGAGCAGTTAGGAAACAGTCTGTTTGAAAATTCTGTAAGTGGATATTCTGACATCTTGTGGCCTTCGTTGGAAACGGGATTTCTTCATATTCTGCTAGGCAGAATAATTCTCAGTAACTTCCTTGTGTTGTGTGTATTCAACTCACAGAGTTGAAGGATCCTTTACAGAGAGCAGGCTTGAAACACTCTTTTTGTCGAATTTGCAAGTGGAGATTTCAGCCGCTTTGAGGTCAATGGTAGAAAAGTAAATATCTTCGTATAAAGACTAGACAGAATGATTCTCAGAAACTCCTTTGTGATGTGTGCGTTCAACTCACAGAGTTCAACCTTTCTTTTCATAGAGCAGTTGGGAAACACTCTGTTTGTAAAGTCTGCAAGTGGATATTCAGACTTCTTTGAGGGCTTCGTTGGAAGCGGGATTTCTTCATATTCTGCTAGACAGAAGAATTCCCAGTAACTTCCATGTGTTGTGTGTGTTCAACTCACAGAGTTGAACTTTCATTTACACAGAGCAGATTTGAAACACTCTTTTTGTGGAATTTGCAAATGGAGATTTCAAGCGCTTTGAGGCCAAAGGCAGAAAAGGAAATATCCTTCGTATAAAAACTAGACAGAATCATTCTCAGAAACTGCTCTGCGATGTGTGCGTTCAACTCTCAGAGTTTAACTTTTCTTTTCATTCAGCAGTTTGGAAACACTCTGTTTGTAAACTCTGCACGTGGATAATTTGACCACTTAGAGGTCTTCGTTGGAAACGGGTTTTTTTCATGTAACGCTAGACAGAAGAATTCCCAGTAACTTCCTTGTGTTGTGTGCATTCAACTCACACAGTTGAACGTTCCCTTAGACAGAGCAGATTTGAAACACTCTATTTGTGCAATTTGCAAGTGTAGATTTCAAGCGCTTTAAGGTCAATGGCAGAAAAGGAAATATCTTCGTTTCAAAACTAGACAGAATCATTCCCACAAACTGCGTTGTGATGTGTTCGTTCAACTCACAGAGTTTAACCTTTCTGTTCATAGAGCAGTTAGGAAACACTCTGTTTGTAAAGTCTGTAAGTGGATATTCTGATATCTTGTGGCCTTCGTTGGAAACGGGATTTCTTCCTATTCTGCTAGACAGAAGAATTCTCAGTAACTTCCTTGTGTTGTGTGTATTCAACTCACAGAGTTGAACGATCCTTTACACAGAGAAGAGTTGAAACACTCTTTTTGTGGAATTGGCAAGGGGAGATTTCTGCCGCTTTGAGTCAATGGTAGAAAAGGAAATATCTTCGTATAAAGACTAGACAGAATGATTCTCAGGAACTCCTTTGTGATGTGTGCGTTCAACTCACAGAGTTTAACTTTTCTTTTCATAGAGCAGTTAGGAAACACTCTGTTTGTAAAGTCTTCAAGTGGATATTCAGACCTCTTTGAGGCCTTCGTTGGAAACGGGATTTCTTCATATTCTGCTAGACAGAAGAATTCCAAGTAACTTCCTTGTGTTGTGTGTGTTCAACTCACAGAGATGAACTTTCATTTACACAGAGCAGATTTGAAACACTCTTTTTGTGGAATTTGCAAGTGGAGATTTCAAGCGCTTTGAGGCCAAAGGCAGAAAAGGAAATATCTTCGTATAAAAACTAGACAGAAATCATTCTCAGAACCTGCTTCGTGATGTGTGCGTTCAACTCTCAGAGTTTAACTTTTCTTTTCATTCAGCGGTTTGGAAACACTCTGTTTGTAAAGTCTGCACGTGGAAATTTTGACCACTTAGAGGCCTTCGTTGGAAACGGGTTTTTTTCATGTAAGGCTAGACAGAAGAATTCCCAGTAACTTCTTTGTGTTGTGTGCATTCAACTCACAGAGTTGAACGTTCTCTTAGACAGAGCAGATTTGAAACACTCTATTTGTGCAATTTGCAAGCGTAGATTTCAAGCGCTTTAAGGTCAATGGCAGAAAAGGAAATATCTTCGTTTCAAAACTAGACAGAAATGATTCCCACAAACTGCGTTGTGATGTGTTCGTTCAACTCACAGAGTTTAACCTTTCTGTTCATAGAGCAGTTAGGAAACACTCTGTTTGTAAAGTCTGTAAGTGGATATTCTGACATCTTGTGGCCTTCGTTGGAAACGGGATTTCTTCATATTATGCTAGACAGAAGAATTCTCAGTAACTTCCTTGTGTTGTGTGTATTCAACTCACAGAGTTGAACGATCCTTTACACAGAGCAGTCTTGAAACACTCTTTTTGTGGAATTTGCAAGTGGAGATTTCGGCCGCTTTGAGGTCAACGGTAGAAAAGGAAATATCTTCGTATAAAGACTAGATAGAATGATTCTCAGAAACTCCTTTGTGATGTGTGCGTTCAACTCACAGAGTTTAACCTTTCTTTTCATAGCGCAGTTGGGAAACACTCTGTTTGTAAAGTCTGCAAGTGGATATTCTGACATCCTTGAGGCTTTCGTTGGAAACGGGATTTCTTCATATTCTGCTAGAAAGAAGAATTCTCAGTAACTTCCTTGTGTTGTGTGTATTCAACTGACAGAGTTGAACTTTCATTTAGAGTGAGCAGATTTGAAACACTGTTTTTGTGGAATTTGCAAGTGGAGATTTCAAGCGCTTTGGGGCCAAAGGCAGAAAAGGAAATATCTTCGTATATAAACTAGACAGAATCATTCTCAGAAACTGCTCTGCGATGTGTGCGTTCAACTCTCAGAGTTTAACTTTTCTTTTCATTCAGCAGTTTGGAAACACTCTGTTTGTAAAGTCTGCACGTGGATAACTTGACCTCTTAGAGGCCTTCGTTGGAAACGGGTTTTTTTCCTGTAAGGCTAGACAGAAGAATTCCCAGTAACTTCCTTGTGTTGTGTGCACTCAACTCACAGAGTTGAACGTTCCCTTAGACAGAGCAGATTTGAAACACTCTATTTGTGCAATTTGCAAGCGTAGATTTCAAGCGCTTTAAGG
This sequence comes from Homo sapiens, assembly GCF_000001405.40. Lineage (NCBI taxonomy): Eukaryota > Metazoa > Chordata > Mammalia > Primates > Hominidae > Homo > Homo sapiens. The sequence continues at coordinate 48,351,339 of NC_000005.10, forward strand.
TCAATGGCAGAAAAGGAAATATCTTCGTTTCAAAACTAGACAGAATCATTCCCACAAACTGCGTTGTGATGTGTTCGTTCAACTCACAGAGTTTAACCTTTCTTTTCATAGAGCAGTTAGGAAACATTCTGTTTGTAAATTCTGTAAGTGGATATTCTGACATCTTGTGGCCTTCGTTGGAAACGGGATTTCTTCATATTCTGCTAGACAGAAGAATTCTCAGTAACTTCCTTGTGTTGTGTGTTTTCAACTCAGAGAGTTGAACGATCCTTTACACAGAGCAGACTTGAAACACTCTTTTTGTGGAATTTGCAACTGGAGATTTCAGCCGCGTTGATGTCAATGGTAGAAAAGGAAATATCTTCGTATAAAAACTGGACAGAATGATTCTCAGAAACTCCTTTGTGATGTGTGCGTTCAACTCACACAGTTTAACCTTTCTTTTCATAGAGAAGTTAGGAAACACTCTGTTTGTAAAGTCTGCAAGTGGATGTTCAGACCTCTTTGAGGCCTTCGTTGGAAACGGGTTTTTTTCATATAAGGCTAGACAGAAGAATTCCCAGTAACTTCCTTGTGTTGTGTGTGTTCAACTCACAGAGTTGAACTTTCATTTACCCAGAGCAGATTTGAAACACTCTTTTTGTGGAATTTGCAAATGGAGATTTCAGCCGCGTTGAGGTCAATGGTAGAAAAGGAAATATCTTCGTTTCAAAACTAGACAGAATCATTCTCAGGAACTACTGCGTGATGTGTGGGTTCAACTCTCAGAGTTTAACTTTTCTTTTCATTCAGCGGTTTGGAAACACTCTCTTTGTAAAGTCTGCACGTGGAAATTTTGACCACTTAGAGGCCTTCGTTTGTTTTTTTCATGTAAGGCTAGACAGAAGAATTCCCAGTAACTTCCTTGTGTTGTGTGTATTCAACTCACAGAGTTGAACGATCCTTTACACAGAGCGGACTTGTAACACTCTTTTTGTGGAATTTGCAAGTGGAGATTTCAGCCGCTTTGAAGTCAAAGTTAGAAAAGGAAATAACTTCCTATAAAAACTAGACAGATTCATTCCCACAAACTGCGTTGTGATGTGTTCGTTCAACTCACAGAGTTTAACCTTTCTTTTCATAGAGCAGTTAGGAAACAGTCCGTTTGAAAATTCTGTAAGTGGATATTCTGACATCTTGTGGCCTTCGTTGGAAACGAGATTTCTTCATATTCTGCTAGACAGAAGAATTCTCAGTAACTTCCTTGTGTTGTGTGTATTGAACTCACAGAGTTGAACGATCCTTTACACAGAGCAGACTTGAAACACTCTATTTGTAGAATTTGCAAGTGGAGATTTCAGCCGCTTTGAGGTCAGTAGTAGAAAAGGAAATATCTTCGTGGAAAAACTAGACAGAATGATTCTCAGAAACTCCTTTGTGATGTGTGCGTTCAACACACAGAGTTTAACTTTTCTTTTCATAGAGCAGTTAGTAAACACTCTGTTTATAAAGTCTGCAAGTGGATATTCAGACCCCTTTGAGGCCTTCGTTGGAAACGGGATTTCTTCATATTATGCTAGACAGAAGAATTCTCAGAATCTTCCTTGTGTTGTGTGTATTCAACTCACAGAGTTGAACGATCCTTTACACAGAGCAGACTTGAAACACTCTTTTTGTGGAATTTGCAAGTGGAGATTTCAAGCGCTTTGAGGCCAAAGGCAGAAAAGGAAATATCTTCGTAGAAAAACTAGACAGAATCATTCTCAGAAACTGCTCTGCGATGTGTGCGTTCAACTCTCAGAGTTTAACTTTTCTTTTCATTCAGCAGTTTGGAAACACTCTGTTTGTAAAGTCTGCACGTGGATAATTTGACCACTTAGAGGTCTTCGTTGGAAACGGGTTTTTTCATGTAAGGCTAGACAGAAGAATTCCCAGTAACTTCCCTTGTGTTGTGTACATTCAACTCACAGAGTTGAACGTTCCCTTAGACAGAGCATATTTGAAACACTCTTTTTGTGCAATTGGCAAGTGGAGATTTCAAGCGCTTTAAGGTCAATGGGAGAAAAGGAAATATCTTCGTTTCAAAACTAGACAGAATCTTCCCACAAACTGCGTTGTGATGTGTTCGTTCAACTCACAGAGTTTAACCTTTCTTTTCATAGAGCAGTTAGGAAACAGTCTGTTTGTCAATTCTGTAAGTGGATATTCTGACATCTTGTGGCCTTCGTTGGAAACGGGATTTCTTCATATTCTCCTAGACAGAAGAATTCTCAGTAACTTCCTTGTGTTGTGTGTATTCAACTCACAGAGTTGAACGATCCTTTACACAGAGCAGACTTGAAACACTCTTTTTGTGGAATTTGCAAGTGGAGATTTCAGCCGCTTTGAGGTCAATGGTAGAAAAGGAGACATCTTCGTATAAAAACTAGACAGAATGATTCTTAGAAACTCCTTTGTGATGTGTGCGTTCAACTCACAGAGTTTACCCTTTCTTTTCATAGAGCAGTTAGGAAACACTCTGTTTGTAAAGTCTGCAAGTGGATATTCAGACATCCTTGAGGCTTTCGTTGGAAACGGGATTTCTTCATATTCTGCCAGAAAGAAGAATTCCCAGTAACTTCCTTGTGTTGTGTGTGTTCAACTCACAGAGTTGAACTTTCATTTACACAGAGCAGATTTGAAACACTCTTTTTGTGGAATTTGCAAGTGGAGATTTCAAGCGCTTTGAGGTCAATGGTAGAAAAGGAAATATCTTCGTATAAAAACTAGACAGAATCATTCTCAGAAACTGCTCTGCGATGTGTTCGTTCAACTCTAAGAGTTTAACTTTTCTTTTCATTCAGCAGTTTGGAAACACTCTGTTTGTAAAGTCTGTACGTGGATAATTTGACCACTTAGAGGCCTTCGTTGGAAACGGGTTTTTTTCATGTAAGGATAGACAGAAGATTTCTCAGTAACTTCCTTGTGTTGTGTGTATTCAACTCACAGAGTTGAACGATCCTTTACACAGAGCAGACTTGTATCACTCTTTTTGTGGAATTTGCAAGTGGAGATTTCAGCCGCTTTGAAGTCAAAGGTAGAAAAGGAAATATCTTCCTATAAAAACTAGACAGAATGATTCTCAGAAACTTCTTTGTGATGTGTGCGTTCAACTCACAGAGTTTAACCTTTCTTTTCATAGAGCAGTTAGGAAACACTGTGTTTTTAAACTCTGCAAGTGGATATTCAGACCTCTTTGAGGCCTTCGTTGGAAACGGGATTTCTTCTTACTGTGCTAGACAGAAGAATTCTCAGTAACTTCCTTGTGTTGTGTGTATTCAACTCACAGAGTTGACCGATCCTTTACACAGAGCAGACTTGTAACACTCTTTTTGTGGAATTTGCAAGTGGAGATTTCAGCCGCTTTGAAGTCAAAGGTAGAAAAGGGAATATCTTCCTATAAAAACTAGACAGAATGATTCTCAGAAACTCCTTTGTGATGTGTGCGTTCAACTCACAGAGTTTAACCTTTCTTTTCATAGAGCAGTTAGGAAACACTCTGTTTGTAAAGTCTGCAAGTGGATATTCAGACCTCTCTGAGGCCTTCGTTGGAAACGGGATTTCTTCATACTGTGCTAGACAGAAGAATTCCCAGTAACTTCCTTGTGTTGTGTGTGTTCAACTCACAGAGTTGAACTTTCATTTACCCAGAGCAGATTTGAAACACTCTTTTTGTGGAATTTGCAAGTGGAGATTTCAAGCGTTTTGAGGCCAAAGGCAGAAAAGGAAATGTCTTCGTTTCAAAACTAGACAGAATCATTCTCAGAAACTGCTCTGCGATGTGTGCGTTCAACTCTCAGAGTTTAACTTTTCTTTTCATTCAGCAGTTTGGAAACACTCTGTTTGTAAAGTCTGCACGTGGATATTTTGACCATTTAGAGGCCTTCGTTGGAAACGGGTTTTTTTCTTGTAAGGCTAGACAGAAGAATTCTCAGTAACTCCCTTGTGTTGTGTGTATTCAACTCACAGAGTTGAACGATCCTTTACAGAGAGCAGACTTGAAACACTCTTTTTGTGGAATTTGCAAGTGGAGATTTCAGCCGCTTTGAGGTCAATGGTAGAATAGGAAATATCTTCCTATAGAAACTAGACAGAATGATTCTCAGAAATTCCTTTGTGATGTGTGCGTTCAACTCACAGAGTTTAACCTTTCTTTTCACTAGAGCAGTTAGGAAACACTCTGTTTGTAAAGTCTGCAAGTGGATATTCAGACCTCTTTGAGGCCTTCGTTGGAAACGGGATTTCTTCATATTCTGCTAGACAGAAGAATTCTCAGTAACTTCCTTGTGTTGTGTGTATTCAACTCACAGAGTTGAACGATCCTTTACACAGAGCAGACTTGAAACACTCTTTTTGTGGAATTTGCAAGTGGAGATTTCAGCCGCTTTGAGGTCAATAGTAGAAAAGGAAATATCTTCGTAGAAAAACTAGGCAGAATGATTCTCAGAAACTCCTTTGTGATGTGTGCGTTCAAGTCACAGAGTTTAACCTTTCTTTTCATCGAGCAGTTAGGAAACACTCTGTTTGTAAAGTCTGCAAGTGGATATTCAGACATCCTTGAGGCTTTCGTTGGAAACGGGATTTCTTCATATTCTGCTAGAAAGAAGAATTCCCAGTAACTTCCTTGTGTTGTGTGTGTTCAACTGACAGAGTTGAACTTTCATTTACCCAGAGCAGATTTGAAACACTCTTTTTGTGGAATTTGCAAGTGGAGATTTCAAGCGCTTTGAGGCCAAAGGCAGAAAAGGAAATATCTTCGTTTCAAAACTAGACAGAATCATTCTCAGAAACTGCTGCGTGATGTGTGCGTCCAACACTCAGAGTTTAACTTTTCTTTTCATTCAGCGGTTTGGAAACACTCTGTTTGTAAAGTCTGCACGTGGATATTTTGACCACTTAGAGGCCTTCGTTGGAAACGGGTTTTTTTCATGTAAGGCTAGACAGAAGGAATTCCCAGTAACTTCCTTGTGTTGTGTACATTCAACTCACAGATTTGAACGTTCCCTTAGACAGAGCAGATTTGAAACACTCTTTTTGTGCAATTGGCAAATGGAGATTTCAAGCGCTTTAAGGTCAATGGCAGAAAAGGAAATATCTTCGTTTCAAAACTAGACAGAATCATTCCCACAAACTGCGTTGTGATGTGTTCGTTCAACTCACAGAGTTTAACCTTTCTGTTAATAGAGCAGTTAGGAAACACTCTGTTTGTAAAGTTTGCAAGTGGATATTCAGACCTCCTTGAGGCCTTCGTTGGAAACGGGATTTCTTCATATTCTGCTAGACAGAAGAATTCTCAGAATCTTCCTTGTGTTGTGTGTATTCAACTCACAGAGTTGAACGATCCTTTACACAGAGCAGACTTGAAACACTCTTTTTGTGGAATTTGCAAGTGGAGATTTCAGCCGCTTTGAGGTCCATGGTAGAAAAGGAAATGTCTTCGTATAAAAACTAGACAGAATGATTCTCAGAAACTTCTTTGTGATGTGTGCGTTCAACTCACAGAGTTTAACCTTTCTTTTCATAGAGCAGTTAGGAAACACTCTGTTTGTAAATTCTGCAAGTGGATATTCAGACCTCTTTGAGGCCTTCGTTGGAAACGGGATTTCTTCATACTATGCTAGACAGAAGAATTCCCAGTAACTTCCTTGTGTTGTGTGTGTTCAACTCACAGATTTGAACTTTCATTTACACAGAGCAGATTTGAAACACTCTTTTTGTGGAATTTGCAAGTGGAGATTTCAAGCGCTTTGAGGCCAAAGGCAGAAAAGGAAATATCTTCGTATAAAAACTAGACAGAATCATTCTCAGAAACTGCTGCGTGATGTGTGCGTTCAACTCTCAGCGTTTAACTTTTCTTTTCATTCAGCGGTTTGGAAACACTCTGTTTGTAAAGTCTGCACGTGGATATTTTGACCACTTAGAGGCCTTCGTTGGAAACGGGTTTTTTTCATGTAAGGCTAGACAGAAGAATTCCCAGTAACTTCCTTGTGTTGTGTGCATTCAACTCACAGAGTTGAACGTTCCCTTAGACAGAGCAGATTTGAAACACTCTATTTGTGCAATTTGCAAGTGTAGTTTTCAAGCTCTTTAAGGTCAACGGCAGAAAAGGAAATATCTTGGTTTCAAAACTAGACAGAATGATTCTCAGAGAATCTTTTGTGATGTGTGCGTTCAACTCACAGAGTTTAACTTTTCTTCTCATAGAGCAGTTAGGAAACACTCTGTTTGTAAAGTCTGCAAGTGGATATTCAGACCTCTTTGAGGTCTTCGTTGGAAACGGGATTTCTTCATATTATGCTAGACAGAATAATTCTCAGTAACTTCCTTGTGTTGTGTGTATTCAACTCACAGAGTTGAAGGATCCTTTACAGAGAGCAGGCTTGAAACACTCTTTTTGTCGAATTTGCAAGTGGAGATTTCAGCCGCTTTGAGGTCAAAGGTAGAATAGGAAATATCTTCTTATAGAAACTAGACACAATGATTCTCAGAAACTTCTTTGTGATGTGTGCGTTCAACTCACAGAGTTTAACCTTTCTTTTCATAGAGCAGTTAGGAAACACTCTGTTGGTAAACTCTGCAAGTGGATATTCAGACCTCTTTGAGGCCTTCGTTGGAAACGGGATTTCTTCATACTATGCTAGACAGAAGAATTCCCAGTAACTTCCTTGTGTTGTGTGTGTTCAACTCACAGAGTTGAACTTTCATTTACACAGGGCAGATTTGAAACACTCTTTTTGTGGAATTTGCAAATGGAGGTTTCAAGCGCTTTGAGGCCAAAGGCAGAAAAGGAAATATCTTCGTATAAAAACTAGACAGAATCATTCTCAGAAACTGCTCTGCGATGTGTGCGTTCAACTCTCAGAGTTTAACTTTTCTTTTCATTCAGCAGTTTGGAAACACTCTGTTTGTAAAGTCTGCACGTGGATAATTTGACCACTTAGAGGCCTTCTTTGGAAACGGGTTTTTTTCATATAAGGCTAGACAGAAGAATTCCCAGTAACTTCCTTTTGTTGTGTGTGTTCAAGTCACACAGATGAACTCTCATTTACACAGAGCAGATTTGAAACTCTCTTTTTGTGGAATTTGCAAATGGAGATTTCAAGCGCTTTGAGGCCAAAGGCAGAAAAGGAAATATCTTCCTATAAAAACTAGACAGAATCATTCTCAGAAACTGCTCTGCGATGTGTGCGTTCAACTCTCAGAGTTTAACTTTTCTTTTCATTCAGCAGTTTGGAAACACTCTGTTTGTAAAGTCTGCACGTGGATAACTTGACCACTTAGAGGCCTTCGTTGGAAACGGGTTTTTTTAACGTAAGGCTAGACAGAAGAATTTCCCAGTAACTTCCTTGTGTTGTGTGCATTCAACTCACAGAGTTGAACGTTCCCTTAGACAGAGCAGATTTGAAACACTCTATTTGTGCAATTTGCAAGTGTAGATTTCAAGCGCTTTAAGGTCAATGGCAGAAAAGGAAATATCTTCGTTTCAAAACTAGACAGAATCATTCCCACAAGCTGCGTTGTGATGTGTTCGTTCAACTCACAGAGTTTAACCTTTCTGTTCATAGAGCAGTTAGGAAACACGCTGTTTGTAAAGTCTGTAAGTGGATATTCTGACATCTTGTGGCCTTCGTTGCAAACGGGATTTCTTCATATTCTGCTAGACAGAAGAATTCTCAGTAACTACCTTGTGTTCTGTGTATTCAACTCACAGAGTTGAACGATCCTTTACACAGAGCAGACTTGAAACACTCTTTTTGTGGAATTTGCAAGTGGAGATTTCAGCCATTTTGAGGTCAATGGTAGAAAAGGAAATATCTTCGTAGAAAAACTAGACAGAATGATTCTCAGAAACTGCTTTGTGATGTGTGCGTTCAACTCACAGAGTTCAACCTTTCTTTTCATAGAGCAGTTAGGAAACACTCTGTTTGTAAAGTCTGCAAGTGGATATTCAGACCTCTTTGAGGCCTTCGTTGGAAACGGGATTTCTTCATATTATGCTAGACAGAAGAATTCCCAGTAACTTCCTTGTGTTGTGTATGTTGAACTCACAGAGTTGAACTTTCATTTACACAGAGCAGATTTGAAACACTCTTTTTGTGGAATTTGCAAATGGAGATTTCAAGCACTTTGAGGCCAAAGGCAGAAAAGGAAATATCTTCATATAAAAACTAGACAGAATCATTCTCAGAAACTGCTCTGCGATGTGTGCGTTCAACTCTCAGAGTTTAACTTTTCTTTTCATTCAGCAGTTTGGAAACACTCTGTTTGTAAAGTCTGCACGTGGATAATTTGATCACGTAGAGGCCTTCGATGGAAACGGTTTTTTTTCATGTAAGGCTAGACAGAAGAATTCCCAGTAACTTCCTTGTGTTGTGTACATTCAACTCACAGAGTTGAACGTTCCCTTAGACAGAGCAGATTTGAAACACTCTTTTTGTGCAATTGGCAAGTGGAGATTTCAAGCGCTTTAAGGTCAATGGCAAAAAAGGAAATATCTTCGTTTCAAAACTAGACAGAATCATTCCCACAAACTGCGTTGTGATGTGTTCGTTCAACTCACAGAGTTTAACCTTTCTTTTCATAGAGCAGTTAGGAAACACTCTGTTTGTGAACTCTGCAAGTGGATATTCTGACATCTTGTGGCCTTTGTTGGAAACGGGATTTCTTCATATTCTGCTAGACAGAAGAATTCTCAGTAACTTCCTTGTGTTGTGTGTATTCAACTCACAGAGTTGAACGATCCTTTACACAGAGCAGACTTGAAACACTCTTTTTGTGGAATTTGCAAGTGGAGATTTCAGCCACTTTGAGTTCAATGGTAGAATAGGAAATATCTTCCTATAGAAACTAGACAGAATGATTCTCAGAAACTCCTTTGTGATGTGTGCGTTCAACTCACAGAGTTCAACCTTTCTTTTCATAGAGCAGTTGGGAAACACTCTGTTTGTAAAGTCTGCAAGTGGATATTCAGACTTCTTTGAGGCCTTCGTTGGAAGCAGGATTTCTTCATATTCTGCTAGACAGAAGAATTCCCAGTAACTTCCTTGTGTTGTGTGTCTTCAACTCACAGAGTTGAACTTTCATTTACACAGAGCAGATTTGAAACACTCTTTTTGTGGAATTTGCAAATGGAGATTTCAAGCGCTTTGAGGCCAAAGGCAGAAAAGGAAATATCTTCGGTATAAAAACTTGACAGAATCATTCTCAGAAACTGCTCTGCGATGTGTGCGTTCAACTCTCAGAGTTTAACTTTTCTTTTCATTCAGCAGTTTGAAAACACTCTGTTTGTAAAGTCTGCACGTGGATAATTTGACTACTTAGAGGCCTTCGTTGGACACGGGTTTTTTTCATGTAAGGCTAGACAGAAGAATTCCCAGTAACTTCCTTGTGTTCTGTGCATTCAACTCACAGAGTTGAACGTTCCCTCAGACAGAGCAGATTTGAAACACTCTATTTGTGCAATTTGCAAGTGTAGATTTCAAGCGCTTTAAGGTCAACGGCAGAAAAGGAAATATCTTCGTTTCAAAACTAGACAGAATGATTCTCAGAAACTCCTTTGTGATGTGTGCGTTCAACTCACAGAGTTTAACCTTTCTTTTCATAGAGCAGTTAGGAAACACTCTGTTTGTAAAGTCTGCAAGTGGATATTCAGACATCTTTGAGGCCTTCATTGGAAACGGGATTTCTTCATGTTCTGGTAGACACAAGAATTCTCAGAAACTTCCTTGTGTTGTGTGTTTTCAACTCACAGAGTTGAACGATGCTTTACACAGAGTAGACTTGAAACACTCTTTTTGTGTAATTTGCAAGTGGAGATTTCAGCCGCTTTGAAGTCAATGGTAGAAAAGGAAATATCTTCGTATAAAAACTAGACAGAATGATTCTCAGAAACTCCTTTGTGATGTGTGCGTTCAACTCACAGAGTTTAACCTTTCTTTTCATAGAGCAGTTAGGAAACACTCTGTTTGTAAAGTCTGCAAGTGGATATTCAGACCTCTTTGAGGCCTTCGTTGGAAAGGGGATTTCTTCATATTCTGCTAGAGAGAAGAATTCCCAGTAACTTCCTTGTGTTGTGTGTGTTCAACTCACAGAGTTGAACTTTGATTTACACAGAGCAGATTTGAAACACTCTTTTTGTGGAATTTGCAAGTGGGGATTTCAAGCGCTTTGAGGCCAAAGGCAGAAAAGGAAATATCTTCGTATAAAAACTAGACAGAATCATTCTCAGAAACTGCTCTGTGATGTGTGCGTTCAACTCTCAGAGTTGAACTTTTCTTTTCATTCAGCAGTTTGGAAACACTCTGTTTGTAAAGTCTGCACGTGGATATTTTGACCACTTAGAGGCGTTAGTTGGAAACGCGTTTTTTTCATGTAAGGCTAGACAGAAGAATTCCCAGTAACTTCCTTTTGTTGTGTGCATTCAACTCACAGAGTTGAACGTTCCCTTAGACAGAGCAGATTTGAAACACTGTTTTTGTGCAATTTGCAAGTGGAGATTTCAAGCGCTTTAAGGTCAATGGCAGAAAAGGAAATATCTTCGTTTCAAAACTAGACAGAATCATTCCCACAAACTGCGTTGTGATGTGTTCGTTCAACTCACAGAGTTTAACCTTTCTTTTCATAGAGCAGTTAGGAAACAGTCTGTTTGTGAATTCTGTAAGTGGATATTCTGACATCTTGTGGCCTTCGTTGGAAATGGGATTTCTTCATATTCTGCTAGACAGAAGAATTCTCAGTAACTTCCTTGTGTTGTGTGTATTCAACTCACAGAGTTGAACGATCATTTACACAGAGCAGACTTGTAACACTCTTTTTGTGGAATTTGCAAGTGGAGATTTCAGCCGCTTTGAAGTCAAAGGTAGAAAAGGAAATATCTTCCTATAAAAACTAGACAGAATGATTCTCAGAAACTCCTTTGTGATGTGTGCGTTCAACTCACAGAGTTCAACCTTTCTTTTCATAGAGCAGTTTGGAAACACTCTGTTTGTAAAGTCTGCAAGTGGATATTCAGACTTCTTTGAGGCCTTCGTTGGAAGCGGGATTTCTTCATATTCTGCTAGACAGAAGAATTCTCAGTAACTGCCTTGTGTTGTGTGTATTCAACTCACAGAGTTGAACGATCCTTTACACAGAGCAGACTTGAAACACTCTTTTTGTGGAATTTGCAAGTGGAGATTTCAGCCGCTTTGAGGTCAATGGTAGAATAGGAAATTTCTTCCTATAGAAACTAGACAGAATCATTCTCAGAAACTGCTCTGCGATGTGTGCGTTCAACTCTCAGAGTTTAACTTTTCTTTTCATTCAGCAGTTTGGAAACACTCTGTTTGTAAAGTCTGCACGTGGATAACTTGACCACTTAGAGGCCTTCGTTGGAAACGGGTTTTTTTCATGTAAGGCTAGACAGAAGAATTCCCAGTAACTTCCTTGTGTTGTGTGCATTCAACTCACAGAGTTGAACGTTCCCTTAGACAGAGCAGATTTGAAACACTCTATTTGTGCAATTTGTAAGTGTAGATTTCAAGCGCTTTAAGGTCAATGGCAGAAAAGGAAATATCTTCGTTTCAAAACTAGACAGAATCATTCCCACAAACTGCGTTGTGATGTGTTCGTTCAACTCACAGAGTTTAACCTTTCTGTTCATAGAGCAGTTAGGAAACACTCTGTTTGTAAAGTCTGTAAGTGGATATTCTGACATCTTGTGGCCCTTCGTTGGAAACTGGATTTCTCCATATTCTACTAGACAGAATAATTCTCAGTAACTTCCTTGTGTTGTGTGTATTCAACTCTCAGAGTTGAACGATCCTTCTACAGAGAGCAGACTTGAAACACTCTTTTTGTGGAATTTGCAAGTGGAGATTTCAGCCGCTTTGAGGTCAATAGTAGAAAAGGAAATATCTTCGTAGAAAAACTAGACAGAATGATTCTCAGAATCTCCTTTGTGATGTGTGCGTTCAACTCACAGAGTTTAACCTTTCTTTTCATAGAGCAGTTAGGAAACACTCTGTTTGTAAAGTCTGCAAGTGGATATTCAGACCTCTTTGAGGCCTTCGTTGGAAACGGGTTTTTTCATATAAGGCTAGACAGAAGAATTCCCAGTAACTTCCTTGTGTTGTGTGTGTTCAACTCACAGAGTTGAACTTTCATTTACACAGAGCAGATTTGAAACACTCTTTTTGTGGAATTTGCAATTGGAGATGTCAAGCGCTTTGAGGCCAAAGGCAGAAAAGGAAATATCTTCGTTTCAAAACTAGACAGAATCATTCTCAGAAACTGCTGCATGATGTGTGCGTTCAACTCTCAGAGTTTAACTTTTCTTTTCATTCAGCGGTTTGGAAACACTCTGTTTGTAAAGTCTGCACGTGGATATTTTGACCACTTAGAGGCCTTCGTTGGAAACGGGTTTTTTTCATGTAAGGCTAGACAGAAGAATTCCCAGTAACTTCCTTGTGTTGTGTGCATTCAACTCACAGAGTTGAACGTTCCTTTAGACAGAGCAGATTTGAAACACTCTATTTGTGCAATTTGCAAGTGTAGATTTCAAGCGCTTTAAGGTCAACGGCAGAAAAGGAAATATCTTCGTTTCAAAACTAGACAGAATGATTCTCAGAAACTCCTTTGTGATGTGTGCGTTCAACTCAGAGAGTTCAACCTTTCTTTTCATAGAGCAGTTGGGAAACACTCTGTTTGTAAAGTCTGCAAGTGGATATTCAGACTTCTTTGAGGCCTTCGTTGGAAGCGGGATTTCTTCATGTTCTGCTAGACAGAAGAATTCTCAGAAACTTCCTTGTGTTGTGTGTTTTCAACTCACAGAGTTGAACGATCCTTTACACAGAGCAGACTTGAAACACTCCTTTTGTGGAATTTGCAAGTGGAGATTTCAGCCGGTTTGAGGTCAATGGTAGAATAGGAAATATCTTCCTATAGAAAGTAGACAGAATGATTCTCAGAAACTCCTTTGTGATGTGTGCGTTCAACTCACAGAGTTTAACCTTTCTTTTCATAGAGCAGTTAGGAAACACTCTGTTTGTAAAGTCTGCAAGTGGATATTCAGACCTCCTTGAGGCCTTCGTTGGAAACGGGATTTCTTCATATTTTGCTAGACAGAAGAATTCTCAGTAACTTCCTTGTGTTGTGTGTATTCAACTCACAGAGTTGAACGATCCTTTACACAGAGAAGACTTGAAACACTCTTTTTGTGGAATTTGCAAGTGGAGATTTCAGCCGCTGTGAGTTCAATGGTAGAATAGGAAATATCTTCCTATAGAAACTAGACAGAATCATTCTCAGAAACTGCTCTGCGATGTGTGCGTTCAACTCTCAGGGTTTAACTTTTCTTTTCATTCAGCAGTTTGGAAACACTCTGTTTGTAAAGTCTGCACGTGGATAATTTGACCACTTAGAGGTCTTCGTTGGAAACGGGTTTTTTTCATGTAAGGCTAGACAGAAGAATTCCCAGTAACTTCCTTGTGTTGTGTGCATTCAACTCACAGAGTTGAACGTTCCCTTAGACATAGCAGATTTGAAACACTCTCTTTGTGCAATTTGCAAGTGTAGATTTCAAGCGCTTTAAGGTCAACGGCAGAAAAGGAAATATCTTCGTTTCAAAACTAGACAGAATGATTCTCAGAAACTCCTTTGTGATGTGTGCGTTCAACTCACAGAGTTTAACCTTTCTTTTCATAGAGCAGTTAGGAAACACTCTGTATGTAAAGTCTGCAAGTGGATATTCAGACCTCCTTGAGGCCTTCGTTGGAAATGGGATTTCTTCATATTCTGCTAGACAGAAGAATTCTCACTAACTTCCTTGTGTTGTGTGTATTCAACTCACAGAGTTGAACGATCCTTTACACAGAGCAGACTTGAAACACTCTTTTTGTGGAATTTGCAAGTGGAGATTTCAGCCGCTTTGAGGTCAATGGTAGAAAAGGAAATATCTTCGTATAAAGACTAGACAGAATGATTCTCAGAAACTCCTTTGTGATGTGTGCGTTCAACTCACAGAGTTTAACCTTTCTTTCCATAGAGCAGTTAGGAAACACTCTGTTTGTAAAGTCTGCAGGTGGATATTCAGACCTCCTTGAGGCCTTCGTTGGAAACGGGATTTCTTCATATTATGCTAGACAGAAGAATTCTCAGTAACTTCCTTGTGTTGTGTGTATTCAACTCACAGAGTTGAACTTTCATTTGGAGAGAGCAGATTTGAAACACTGTTTTTGTGGAATTTGCAAGTGGAGATTTCAAGCGCTTTGGGGCCAAAGGCAGAAAAGGAAATATCTTCGTATAAAAACTAGACAGAATGATTCTCAGAAACTCCTTTGTGATGTGTGCGTTCAACTCACAGAGTTTAACCTTTCATTTCATAGAGCAGTTAGGAAACACTCTGTTTGTAAAGTCTGCAAGTGGATATTCAGACATCCTTGAGGCTTTCGTTGGAAACGGGATTTCTTCATATTCTGCTAGAAAGAAGAATTCTCAGTAACTTCCTTGTGTTGTGTGTATTCAACTCACAGATTTGAACGATCGTTTACACAGAGCAGACTTGAGACACTCTTTTTGTGGAATTTGTAAGTGGAGATTTCAGCCGCTTTGAGGTCAATGGTAGAAAAGGAAATATCTTCATATAAAAACTAGACAGAATGATTCTCAGAAACTCCTTTGTGATGTGTGCGTTCAACTCACAGAGTTTAACCTTTCTTTTCATAGAGCAGTTAGGAAACACTCTGTTTGTAAAGTCTGCAAGTGAATATTCAGACCTCTTTGAGGCCTTCGTTGGAAACGGGATTTCTTCATATTAAGCTAGACAGAAGAATTCTCAATAACTTCCTTGTGTTGTGTGTATTCAACTCACAGAGTTGAACGATCCTTTACACAGAGCAGACTTGAAACACTCTTTTTGTGGAATTTGCAAGTGGAGATTTCAGCCGCTTTGAGGTCAATGGTAGAATAGGAAATATCTTCCTATAGAAAGTAGACAGAATGATTCTCAGAAACTCCTTTGTGATGTGTGCGTTCAGCTCACAGAGTTTAACCTTTCTTTTCATAGAGCAGTTAGGAAACACTGTGTTTGTAAAGTCTGCAAGTGGATATTCAGACCTCCTTGAGGCCTTCGTTGGAAACGGGATTTCTTCATATTATGCTAGACAGAAGAATTCTCAGTAACTTCCTTCTATTCTGTGTATTCAACTCACAGAGTTGAACGATCCTTTACACAGAGCAGACTTGAAACGCTCTTTTGGTGGAATTGGCAAGTGGAGAATTCAGCCGCTTTGAGATCAATGGTAGAATAGGAAATATATTCCTATGGAAACTAGAGAGAATGATTCTCAGAAACTCCTTTGTGATGTGTGCGTTCAACTCACAGAGTTTAACCTTTCTTTTCATAGAGCAGTTAGGAAACACTCTGTTTGTAAAGTCTGCAAGTGGATACTCAGACCTCTTTGAGGCCTTCGTTGGAAACGGGATTTCTTCATATTATGCTAGACAGAAGAATTCCCAGTAACTTCCTTGCGTTGTGTACATTCAACTCACAGAGTTGAACGTTCCCTTAGACAGAGCAGATTTGAAACACTCTTTTTGTGCAATTGGCAAGTGGAGATTTCAAGCGCTTTAAGGTCAATGGCAGAAAAGGAAATATCTTCGTTTCAAAACTAGACAGAATCATTCCCACAAACTGCGTTGTGATGTGTTCGTTCAACTCACAGAGTTTAACCTTTCTGTTCATAGAGCAGTTAGGAAACACTCTGTTTGTAAAGTCTGCAAGTGGATATTCAGACCTCTTTGAGGCCTTCGTTGGAAACGGGATTTCTTCATATTATGCTACACAGAGGAATTCTCAGGAACTTCCTTGTGTTGTGTGTATTCAACTCACAGAGTTGAACGATCCTTTACACAGAGCAGACTTGAAACACTCTTTTTGTGGAATTTGCAAGTGGAGATTTCAGCCGCTTTGAGTTCAAAGGTAGAATAGGAAATATCTTCCTATAGAAAGTACACAGAATGATTCTCAGAAACTTCTTTGTGATGTGTGCGTTCAACTCACAGAGTTTAACCTTTCTTTTCATAGAGCAGTTAGGAAACACTCTGTTTGTAAACTCTGCAAGTCGATATTCAGACCTCTTTGAGGCCTTAGTTGGAAACGGGATTTCTTCATACTATGCTAGACAGAAGAATTCTCAGTAACTTCCTTGTGTTGTGTGTATTCAACTGACAGAGTTGAACTTTCATTTAGAGAGAGCAGATTTGTAACACTGTTTTTGTGGAATTTGCAAGTGGAGATTTCAAGAGCTTTGGGGCCAAAGGCAGAAAAGGAAATATCTTCGTATAAAAACTAGACAGAATCATTCTCAGAAACTGCTCTGCGATGTGTGCGTTCAACTCTCAGAGTTTAACTTTGCTTTTCATTCAGCAGTTTGGAAACACTCTGTTTGTAAAGTCTGCACGTGGATAATTTGACCACTTAGAGGCCTTCGTTGGAAACGGGTTTTTTTCATGTAAGGCTAGACAGAAGAATTCCCAGTAACTTCCTTGTGTTGTGTGCATTCAACTCACAGAGTTGAACGTTCCCTTAGACAGAGCAGATTTGAAACACTCTATTTGTGCAATTTGCAAGTGTAGATTTGAAGCGCTTTAAGGTCAATGGCAGAAAAGGAAATATCTTAGTTTCAAAACTAGACAGAATCATTCCCACAAACTGCTTTGTGATGTGTTCGTTCAACTCACAGAGTTTAAGCTTTCTGTTCATAGAGCAGTTAGGAAACACTCTGTTTGTAAAGTCTGCAAGTGGATATTCAGACCTCCTTGAGGCCTTCGTTGGAAACGGGATTTCTTCATATTCTGCTAGACAGAAGAATTCTCAGTAACTTCCTTGTGTTGTGTGTATTCAACTCACAGAGTTGAACGATCCTTTACATAGAGCAGACTTGTAACACTCTTTTTGTGGAATTTGCAAGTGGAGATTTCAGCCGCTTTGAAGTCAAAGGTAGAAAAGGAAATATCTTCCTATAAAAACTAGACAGAATGATTCTCAGAAACTCCTTTGTGATGTGTGCGTTCAACTCACACAGTTTAACCTTTCTTTTCATAGAGCAGTTAGGAAACACTCTGTTTGTAAAGTCTGCAAGTGGATATTCAGACCTCCCTTGAGGTCTTCGTTGGAAACGGGATTTCTTCATATTATGCTAGACAGAAGAATTCCCAGTAACTTCCTTGTGTTGTGTGTGTTCAACTCACAGAGTTGAACTTTCATTTACACAGAGCAGATTTGAAACACTCTTTTTGTATAATTTGCAAATGGAGATTTCAAGCGCTTTGAGGCCAAAGGCAGAAAAGGAAATATCTTCTTATAAAAACTAGACAGAATCATTCTCAGAAACTGCTCTGCGATGTGTGCGTTCAACTCTCAGAGTTTAACTTTTCTTTTCATTCAGCAGTTTGGAAACACTCTGGTTGTAAAGTCTGCACGTGGATATTTTGACCACTTAGAGGCCTTCGTTGGAAACGGGTTTTTTTCCTGTAAGGCTAGACAGAAGAATTCCCAGTAACTTCCTTGTGTTGTGTACATTCAACTCACAGAGTTGAACGTTCCCTTAGACAGAGCAGATTTGAAACACTCTTTTTGTGCAACTGGCAAATGGAGATTTCAAGCGCTTTAAGGTCAATGGCAGAAAAGGAAATATCTTCGTTTCAAAACTAGACAGAATGATTCTCATAAACTCCTTTGTGATGTGTGCGTTCAACACACAGAGTTTAACCTTTCTGTTCATAGAGCAGTTAGGAAACACTCTGTTTGTAAAGTCTGTAAGTGGATATTCTGACATCTTGTGGCCTTCGTTGGAAACGGGTTTTCTTCATATTCTGCTAGACAGAAGAATTCTCAGTAACTTCCTTGTGTTGTGTGTATTCAACTCACAGAGTTGAACGATCCTTTACACAGAGGAGACTTGTAACACTCTTTTTGTGGAATTTGCAAGTGGAGATTTCAGCCGCTTTGAAGTCAAAGGTAGAAAAGGAAATATCTTCCTATAAAAACTAGACAGAATGATTCTGAGAAACTCCTTTGTGATGTGTGCGTTCAACTCACAGAGTTTAACCTTTCTTTTCATAGAGCAGTTAGGAAACACTCTGTTTGTAATGTGTGCAAGTGGATATTCAGACCTCCTTGAGGCCTTCGTTGGAAACGGGATTTCTTCATATTATGCTAGACAAAAGAATTCTCAGTAACTTCCTTGTGTTGTGTGTATTCAACTCACAGAGTTGAACGATCCTTTACACAGAGCAGACTGGAAACACTCTTTTTGTGGAATTTGCAAGTGGAGATTTCAGCCGCTTTGAGGTCAATGGTAGAATAGGAAATATCTTCCTATAGAAACTAGACAGAATCATTCTCAGAAACTGCTGTGTGATGTGTGCGTTCAACTCTCAGAGTTTAACTTTTCTTTTCATTCAGCGGTTTGGAAACACTCTGTTTGTAAAGTCTGCACGTGGAAATTTTGACCACTTAGAGGCCTTCGTGGAAACGGGTTTTTTTCATGTAAGGCTAGACAGAAGAATTACCAGTAACTTCCTTGTGTTGTGTGCATTCAACTCACAGAGTTGAACGTTCCCTTAGACAGAGCAGATTTGAAACACTCTATTTGTGCAATTTGCAAGTGTAGATTTCAAGCGCTTTAAGGTCAATGGCAGAAAAGGAAATATCTTCGTTTTAAAACTAGACAGAATCATTCCCACAAACTGCGTTGTGATGTGTTCGTTCAACTCACAGAGTTTAACCTTTCTTTTCATAGAGCAGTTAGGAAACAGTCTGTTTGTAAATTCTGTAAGTGGATATTCTGACATCCTTGTGGCCTTCGTTGGAAACGGGATTTCTTCATATTCTGCTAGACAGAAGAATTCTCAGAATCTTCCTTGTGTTGTGTGTATTCAACTCACAGAGTTGAACGATGGTTTACACAGAGCAGATTTGAAACACTCTTTTTGTGGAATTTGCAAGTGGAGATTTCAGCCGCTTTGAGGTCAATGGTAGAAAAGGAAATATCTTCATATAAAAACTAGACAGAATGATTCTCAGAAACTCCTTTGTGATGTGTGCGTTCAACTCACAGAGTTTAACCTTTCTTTTCATAGAGCAGTTAGGAAACACTCTGTTTGTAAAGTCTGCAAGTGGATATTCCGACCTCCTTGAGGCCTTCTTTGGAAACGGGATTTCTTCATATTATGCTAGACAGAAGAATTCCCAGTAACTTCCTTGTGTTGTGTGTGTTCAACTCACAGAGTTGAACTTTCATTTACACAGAGCAGATTTGAAACACTCTTTTTGTGGCATTTGCAAGTGGAGATTTCAAGCGCTTTGAGGCCAAAGGCAGAAAAGGAAATATCTTCGTTTCAAAACTAGACAGAATCACTCTCAGAAACTGCTCTGCGATGTGTGCGTTCAACTCTCAGAGTTTAACTTTTCTTTTCATTCAGCAGTTTGGAAACACTCTGTTTGTAAAGTCTGCACGTGGATATTTTGACCACTTAGAGGCCTTCGTTGGAAACGGGTTTTTTTCCTGTAAGGCTAGACAGAAGAATTGTCAGAATCTTCCTTGTGTTGTGTGTATTCAACACACAGAGTTGAATGATGGTTTACACAGAGCAGATTTGAAACACTCTTTTGGTGGAATTTGCAAGTGGAGATTTCAGCCGCTTTGAGGTCAATGGTAGAAAAGGAATTATCTTCGTTTCAAAACTAGACAGAATCATTCTCACAAACTGCGTTGTGATGTGTTCGTTCAACTCACAGAGTTTAACCTTTCTGTTCATAGAGCAGTTAGGAAACACTCTGTTTGTAAAGTCTGTAAGTGGATATTCTGACATCTTGTGGCCTTCATTGGAAACGGGATTTCTTCATATTCTGCTAGAC
Organism: Homo sapiens; assembly: GCF_000001405.40. Taxonomy (NCBI): domain Eukaryota; kingdom Metazoa; phylum Chordata; class Mammalia; order Primates; family Hominidae; genus Homo; species Homo sapiens. Next base: position 48,371,257 of record NC_000005.10, read on the forward strand.
AGAAGAATTCTCAGTAACTTCCTTGTGTTGTGTGTATTCAACTCACAGTAGTTGAACGATCCTTTACACAGAGCATACTTGAAACACTCTTGTTGTGGAATTTGCAAGTGGAGATTTCAGCCACTTTGAGGTCAATGGTAGAAAAGGAAATATCTTCGTATAAAAACTAGACAGAATGATTCTCAGAAACTCTTTTGTGATGTGTGCGTTCAACTCACAGAGTTTAACCTTTCTGTTCATAGAGCCGTTAGGAAACACTCTGTTTGTAAAGTCTGCAAGTGGATATTCACACCTCCTTGTGACCTTCGTTGGAAACGGGATTTCTTCATATTCTGCTAGACAGAAGAATTCTCAGTAACTTCCTTGTGTTGTGTGTATTCAACTGACAGAGTTGAACTTTCATTTAGAGAGAGCAGATTTGAAACACTGTTTTTGTGGAATTTGCAAGTGGAGATTTCAAGCGCTTTGGGGCCAAAGGCAGAAAAGGAAATATCTTCCTATGAAAACTAGACAGAATCATTCTCAGAAACTGCTGTGTGATGTGTGCGTTCAACTCTCACAGTTTAACTTTTCTTTTCATTCAGCCGTTTGGAAACACTCTGTTTGTAAAGTCTGCACGTGGATATTTTGACCACTTAAAGGCCTTCGTTGGAAACGGGTTTTTTTCATGTAAGGCTAGACAGAAGAATTCCCAGTAACTTCCTTGTGTTCTGTGCATTCAACTCACAGAGTTGAACGTTCCCTTAGACAGAGCAGATTTGAAACACTCTATTTGTGCAATTTGCAAGTGTAGATTTCAAGCGCTTTAAGGTCAATAACAGAAAAGGAAATATCTTCGTTTCAAAACTAGACAGAATCATTCTCACAAACTGCGTTGTGATGAGTTCGTTCAACTCACAGAGTTTAACCTTTCTGTTCATAGAGCAGTTAGGAAACACTCTGTTTGTAATGTCTGTAAGTGGATATTCTGACATCTTGTGGCCTTCGTTGGAAACGGGATTTCTTCATATTCTGCTAGACAGAAGAATTCTCAGTAACTTCCTTGTGTTGTGTGTATTCAACTCACAGAGTTGAACGATCCTTTACACAGAGCAGTCTTGAAACACTCTTTTTGTGGAATTTGCAAGTGGAGATTTCAGCCGTTTTGAGGTCAATGGTAGAAAAGGAAATATCTTCGTATAAAGACTAGACAGAATGATTCTCAGAAACTCCTTTGTGATGTGGGTGTTCAACTCACAGAGTTAACCTTTCTTTTCATAGAGCAGTTAGGAAACACTCTGTTTGTAAAGTCTGCAAGTGGATATTTTCACCTCTTTGAGGCCTTCATTGGAAACGGGTTTTTTTTCATGTAAGGCTAGACAGAAGAATTCTCAGTACCTTCCTTGTGTTGTGTGTATTCAACTGACAGAGTTGAACTTTCATTTAGACAGAGCAGATTTGAAACACTCTTTTTCTGGAATTTGCAAGTGGAGATTTCAAGCGCTTTGAGGCCAAAGGCAGAAAAGGAAATATCTTCGTATAAAAACTAGACAGAATCATTCTCAGAAATTGCTGCGTGATGTGTGCGTTCAACTCTCAGAGTTTAACTTTTCTTTTCATTCAGCGGTTTGGAAACACTCTGTTTGTAAAGTCTGCACGTGGATATTTTGACCACTTAGAGGCCTTCGTTGGAAACGGGTTTTTTTCATGTAAGGCTAGACAGAAGAATTCCCAGTAACTTCCTTGTGTTGTGTGCATTCAACTCACAGAGTTGAACGTTCCCTTAGACAGAGCAGATTTGAAACACTCTATTTGTGCAATTTGCAAGTGTAGATTTCAAGCGCATTAAGGTCAATGGCAGAAAAGGAAATATCTTCGTTTCAAAATTAGACAGAATCATTCCACAAACTGCGTTGTGATGTGTTCGTTCAACTCACAGAGTTTAACCTTTCTGTTCATAGAGCAGTTAGGAAACACTCTGTAAAGTCTGTAAGTGGATATTCTGACATCTTGTGGCCTTCGTTGTAAACGGGATTTCTTCATATTCTGCTAGACAGAAGAATTCTCAGAATCTTCCTTGTGTTGTGTGTATTCAACTCACACAGTTGAACGATTGTTTACACAGAGCAGATTTGAAACACTCTTTCTGTGGAATTTGCACGTGGAGATTTCAGCCGCTTTGAGGTCAATGGTAGAAAAGGAAATATACTTCGTATAAAAACTAGACAGAGTGATTCTCAGAAACTCCTTTGTGATGTCTGCGTTCAACTCACAGAGTTTAACCTTTCTTTTCATAGAGCAGTTAGGAAACACTCTGTTTGTAAAGTCTGCAAGTGGATATTCAGACATCCTTGAGGCTTTCGTTGGAAACGGGATTTCTTCATATTCTGCTATACAGAAGAATTCTCAGTAACTTCCCTTGTGTTGTGTGTATTCAACTGACAGAGTTGAACTATCATTTAGAGAGAGCAGATTTGAAACACTGTTTTGTGGAATTTGCAAGTGGAGATTTCAAGCGCTTTGGGGCCAAAGGCAGAAAAGGAAATATCTTCGTATAAAAACTAGACAGAGTCATTCTCAGAAACTGCTGCGTGATGTGTGTGTTCAACTCTCAGAGTTTAACTTTTCTTTTCATTCAGCGGTTTGGAAACACGCTGTTTGTAAAGTCTGCACGTGGATATTTTGACCACTTAGAGGCCTTCGTTGGAAACGGGTCTTTATCATGTAAGGCTAGACAGAAGAATTCCCAGTAACTTCCTTGTGTTGTGTACATTCAACTCACAGAGTTGAACGTTCCCTTAGACAGAGCAGATTTGAAACACTCTTTTTGTGCAATTGGGAAATGGAGATTTCAAGCGCTTTAAGGTCAATGGCAGAAAAGGAAATATCTTCGTTTCAAAACTAGACAGAATCATTCCCACAAACTGCGTTGTGATGTGTTCGTTCAACTCACAGAGTTTAACCTTTCTGTTCATAGAGCAGTTAGGAAACACTCTGTTTGTAAAGTCTGTAAGTGGATATTCTGACATCTTGTGGCCTTCGTTGGATACGGGATTTCTTCATATTCTGCTAGACAGAAGAATTCTCAGTAACTTCCTTGTGTTGTGTGTATTCAACTCACAGAGTTGAACGATCCTTTACACAGAGCAGACTTGTAACACTCTTTTTGTGGAATTTGCAAGTGGAGATTTCAGCCGCTTTGAAGTCAAAGGCAGAAAAGGAAATGTCTTCGTTTCAAAACTAGACAGAATGATTCTCAGAAACTCCTTTGTGATGAGTGCGTTCAACTCACAGAGTTTAACCTTTCTTTTCATAGAGCAGTTAGGAAACACTCTGTTTGTAAAGTGTGCAAGTGGATATTCAGACCTCTTTGAGGCCTTCGTTGGAAACGGGATTTCTTCATATTCTGCTAGACAGAGGAATTCTCAGGAACTTCCTTGTGTTGTGTGTTTTCAACTCACAGAGTTGAACGATCCTTTACACAGAGCAGACTTGAAACACTCCTTTTGTGGAATTTGCAAGTGGAGATTTCAGCCGCTTTGAGGTCAATGGTAGAATAGGAAATATCTTCCTATAGAAACTAGACAGAATCATTCTCAGAAACTGCTGCGTGATGTGTGCGTTCAACTCTCAGAGTTTAACTTTTCTTTTCATTCAGCGGTTTGGAAACACTCTGTTTGTAAAGTCTGCACGTGGAAATTTTGACCACTTAGAGGCCTTCGTTGGAAACGGGTTTTTTTTCATGTAAGGCTAGACAGAAGAATTCCCAGTAACTTCCTTGTGTTGTGTGCATTCAACTCACAGAGTTGAACGTTCCCTTAGACAGAGCAGATTTGAAAAACTCTATTTGTGCAATTTGCAAGTGTAGATTTCAAGCGCTTTAAGGTCAATGGCAGAAAAGGAAATATCTTCGTTTCAAAACTAGACAGAATGATTCTCAGAAAATCTTTTGTGATGTGTGCGTTCAACTCACAGAGTTTAACTTTTCTTCTCATAGAGCAGTTAGGAAACACTCTGTTTGTAAAGTCTGCAAGTGGATATTCAGACGTCTTTGAGGCCTTCGTTGGAAACGGGATTTCTTCATATTCTGCTAGACAGAATAATTCTCAGTAACTTCCTTGTGTTGTGTGTATTCAACTCACAGAGTTGAAGGATCCTTTACAGAGAGCAGGCTTGAAACACTCTGTTTGTCGAATTTGCAAGTGGAGATTTCAGCCGCTTTGAGGTCAAAGGTAGAATAGGAAATATCTTCTTATAGAAACTAGACAGAATGATTCTCAGAAACTCCTTTGTGATGTGTGCGTTCAACTCACAGAGTTTAACATTTCTTTTCATAGAGCAGTTAGGAAACACTCTGTTTGTAAAGTCTGCAAGTGGATATTCAGACCTCTTTGAGGCCTTCGTTGGAAATGGCTTTTTTTCATATAAGGCTAGACAGAAGAATTCCCAGTAACTTTCCTTGTGTTGTGTGTGTTCAACTCACAGAGTTGAACTTTCATTTACCCAGAGCAGATATGAAACACTCTTTTTGTGGAATTTGCAAGTGGAGATTTCAAGCGCTTTGAGGCCAAAGGCAGAAAAGGAAATATCTTCGTATAAAAACTAGACAGAATCATTCTCAGAAACTGCTCTGCGATGTGTGCGTTCAACTCTCAGAGTTTAACTTTTCTTTTCATTCAGCAGTTTGGAAACACTCTGTTTGTAAAGTCTGCACGTGGATAATTGGACCACTTAGAGGCCTTCGTTGGAAACGGGTTTTTTTCATGTAAGGCTATACAGAAGAATTCCCAGTAACTTCCTTGTCTTGTGTACATTCAACTCACAGAGTTGAACGTTCCCTTAGACAGAGCAGATTTGAAACACTCTTTTTGTGCAATTGGCAAATGGAGATTTCAAGCGCTTTAAGGTCAATGGCAGGAAAGGAAATATCTTCGTTTCAAAACTAGACAGAATGATTCTCAGAAAATCTTTTGTGATGTGTGCGTTCAACTCACAGAGTTTAACTTTTCTTCTCATAGAGCAGTTAGGAAACACTCTGTTTGTAAAGTCTGCAAGTGGATATTCAGACCTCTTTGAGGCCTTCGTTGGAAACGTGATTTCTTCATATTATGCTAGACAGAATAATTCTCAGTAACTTTCCTTGTGTTGTGTGTATTCAACTCACCGAGTTGAAGGATCCTTTACAGAGAGCAGGCTTGAAACACTCTTTTTGTCGAATTTGCAAGTGGAGATTACAGCCGCTTTGAGGTCAATGGTAGAAAAGGAAATATCTTCGTATAAAGACTAGACAGAACGATTCTCAGAAACTCCTTTGGGATGTGTGCGTTCAACTCACAGAGTTTAACCTTTCTTTTCATAGAGCAGTTAGGAAACACTCTGTTTGTAAAGTCTGCAAGTGGATATTCAGACCTCTTTGAGGCCTTCGTTGGAAACGGGATTTCTTCCTATTCTGCTAGACAGAAGAATTCTCAGTAACTTTCCTTGTGTTGTGTGTATTCAACTCACAGAGTTGAACGATCCTTTACACAGAGCAGACTTGAAACACTCTTTTTGTGGAATTTGCAAGTGGAGATTTCAGCCGCTTTGAGGTCAATAGTAGAAAAGTAAATATCTTCGTAGAAAAACTAGACAGAATCATTCTCAGAAACTGCTCTGCGATGTGTGCGTTCAACTCTCAGAGTTTAACTTTTCTTTTCATTCAGCAGTGTGGAAACACTCTGTTTGTAAAGTCTGCCCGTGGATATTTTGACCACTTAGAGGCCTTCGTTGGAAACGGGTTTTTTTCCTGTAAGGCTAGACAGAAGAATTCCCAGGAACTTCCTTGTGTTGTGTACATTCAACTCACAGAGTTGAACGTTCCCTTAGACAGAGCAGATTTGAAACACTCTTTTTGTGCAATTGGCAAGTGGGGATTTCAGCCGCTTTGAGGTCAATGGTAGAAAAGGAAATATCTTCGTATAAAAACTAGACAGAATCATTCCCAAAAACTGCGTTGTGATGTGTGCGTTCAACTCACAGAGTTTAACCTTTCTTTTCATAGAGCAGTTAGGAAACACTCTGTTTGTAAACTCTGCAAGTGGATATTCAGACCTCTTTGAGGCCTTCGTTGGAAACGGGATTTCTTCATACTGTGCTAGACAGAAGAATTCTCAGTAACTTCCTTGTGTTGTGTGTATTCAACTCACACAGTTGAATGATCCTTTACACAGAGCAGACTTGAAACACTCTTTTTGTGGAATTTGCAAGTGGAGATTTCAGCCGCTTTGAGTTCAATGGTAGAATAGGAAATATCTTCTTATAGAAACTAGACAGAATGATTCTCAGAAACTTCTTTGTGATGTGTGCGTTCAACTCACAGAGTTTAACCTTTCTTTTCATAGAGCAGTTAGGAAACACTCTGTTTTTAAACTCTGCATGTGGATATTCAGACCTCTTTGAGGCCTTCGTTGGAAACGGGATTTCTTCATACTGTGCTAGACAGAAGAATTCCCAGTAACTTCCTAGTGTTGTGTGTGTTCAACTCACAGAGTTGAACTTTCATTTACACAGAGCAGATTTGAAACACTCTTTTTGTGGAATTTTCAAGTGGAAATTTCAAGCGCTTTGAGGCCAAAGGCAGAAAAGGAAATATCTTCGTATAAAAACTAGACAGAATCATTCTCAGAAACTGCTCTGTGATGTGTGCGTTCAACTCTCAGAGTTTAACTTTTCTTTTCATTCAGCACTTTGGAAACACTCTGTTTGTAAAGTCTTCACGAGGATATTTTGACCACTTAGAGGTCTTTGTTGGAAACGGGTTTTTTTCCCATAAGGCTAGACAGAAGAATTCCCAGTAACTTCCTTGTGTTGTGTGCATTCAACTCACAGAGTTGAACGTTCCCTTAGACAGAGCAGATTTGAAACACTCTATTTGTGCAATTTGCAAGTGTAGATTTCAAGCGCTTTAAGGTCAACGGCAGAAAAGGAAATATCTTCGTTTCAAAACCAGACAGAATCATTCCCTCAAACTGCGTTGTGATGTGTTCGTTCAACTCACAGAGTTTAACCTTTCTGTTCATAGAGCAGTTAGGAAACACTCTGTTTGTAAAGTCTGTAAGTGGATATTCTGACATCTGGTGGCCTTCGTTGGAAACGGGATTTCTTCATATTCTGCTAGACAGAAGAATTCTCAGTAACTTCCTTGTGTTGTGTGTATTCAACTCACAGAGTTGAACGATCCTTTACACAGAGCAGACTTGAAACACTCTTTTTGTGGAATTTGCAAGTGGAGATTTCAGCCGCTTTGATGTCAATGGTAGAAAAGGAAATAACTTCGTATAAAGACTAGACAGAATTATTCTCAGAAACTCCTTTGTGATGTGTGTGTTCAACTCACAGAGTTTAACCTTTCTTTTCATAGAGCAGTTAGTAAACACTCTGTTTATAAAGTCTGCAAGTGGATATTCAGACCCCTTTGAGGCCTTCGTTGGAAACGGGATTTCTTCATATTCTGCTAGACAGAAGAATTCCCAGTAACTTCCTTGTGTTGTGTGTGTTCAACTCACAGAGTTGAACTTCCATTTACACAGAGCAGATTTGAAACACTCTTTTTGTGGAATTTGCAAGTGGAGATTTCAAGCGCTTTGAGGCCAAAGGCAGAAAAGGAAATATCTTCGTTTCAAAACTAGACAGAATCATTCTCAGAAACTGCTCTGCGATGTGTGCGTTCAACTCTCAGAGTTTAACTTTTCTTTTCATTCAGCAGTTTGGAAACACTCTGTTTGTAAAGTCCGCACGTGGATATTTTGACCATTTAGAGGCCTTCGTTGGAAACGGGTTTTTTTCTTGTAAGGCTAGACAGAAGAATTCCCAGTAACTTCCTTGTGTTGTGTGCATTCAACTCACAGAGTTGAACGTTCCCTTAGACAGAGAAGATTTGAAACACTCTATTTGTGCAATTTGCAAGTGTAGATTTCAAGCGCTTTAAGGTCAACGGCAGAAAAGGAAATATCTTCGTTTCAAAACCAGACAGAATCATTCCCACAAACTGCGTTGTGAAGTGTTCGTTCAACTCACAGAGTTTAACCTTTCTGTTCATAGAGCAGTTAGGAAACACTCTGTTTGTAAAGTCTGTAAGTGGATATTCTGACATCTTGTGGCCTTCGTTGGAAACGGGATTTCTTCATATTCTGCTAGACAGAATAATTCTCAGTAACTTCCTTGTGTTGTGTGTATTCAACTCACAGAGTTGAACGATCCTTTACAGAGAGCAGAGTTGAAACTCTCTTTTTGTGGAATTTGCAAGTGGAGATTTCAGCCGCTTTGAGGTCAATGGTAGAAAAGGAAATATCTTCCTATAGAAACTAGACAGAGTGATTCTCAGAAACTCCTTTGTGATGTCTGCGTTCAACTGACAGAGTTTAACCTTTCTTTTCATAGAGCAGTTAGGAAACACTCTGTTTGTAAAGTCTGCAAGTGGATATTCAGACCTCCTTGAGGCCTTCGTTGGAAACGGGATTTCTTCATATTATGCTAGACAGAAGAATTCTCAGTAACTTCCTTGTGTTGTGTGTATTCAACTCACAGAATTGAACGATCCTTTACACAGAGCAGACTTGAAACACTCTTTTTGTGGAATTTGCAAGTGGAGATTTCAGCCGCTTTGAGGTCAATGGTAGAATAGGATATATCTTCCTACAGAAACTAGACAGAATCATTCTCAGAAACTGTTGTGCGATGTGTGCGTTCAACTCTCAGAGTTTAACTTTTCTTTTCATTCAGGAGTTTGGAAACACTCTGTAAACTCTGCATGTGGATATTTTGACCACTTAGAGGCCTTCGTTGGAAACGGGTTTTTTTCCTGTAAGGCTAGACAGAAGAATTCCCAGTAACTTCCTTGTGTTGTGTACATTCAACTCACAGAGTTGAACGTTCCCTTAGACAGAGCAGATTTGAAACACTCTTTTTGTGCAATTGGCAAGTGGAGATTTCAAGCACTTTGAGGTCAATGGCAGAAAAGGAAATATCTTCGTTTCAAAACTAGACAGAATCATTCCCACAAACTGCGTTGTGATGTGTTCGTTCATCTCACAGAGTTTAACCTTTCTTTTCATAGAGCAGTTAGGAAACAGTCTGTTTGAAAATTCTGTAAGGGGATATTCTGACATCTTGTGGCCTTCGTTGGAAACGGGATTTCTTCATATTCTGCTAGACAAAAGAATTCTCAGTAACTTCCTTGTGTTGTGTGTATTCAACTCGCAGAGTTGAACGATCCTTTACACAGAGCAGACTTGAAACACTCTTTTTGTGGAATTTGCAAGTGAAGATTTCAGCCGCTTTAAGGTCAATGGTAGAAAAGGGAATATCTTCGTATAAAGACTAGACAGAATGATTCTCAGAAACTCCTTTGTGATGTGTGTGTTCAACTCACAGAGTTTAACCTTTCTTTTCATAGAGCAGTTAGTAAACACTCTGTTTATAAAGTCTGCAAGTGGATATTCATACCCCTTTGAGGCCTTCGTTGGAAACGGGATTTCTTCATATTATGCTAGACAGAAGAATTCTCAGTAACTTCCTTGTGTTGTGTGTATTCAACTGACAGAGTTGAACTTTCATTTAGATAGAGCAGATTTGAAACACTGTTTTTGTGGAATTTGCAAGTGGAGATTTCAAGCGCTTTGGGGCCAAAGCAGAAAAGGAAATATCTTCGTATAAAAACTAGACAGAATCATTCTCAGAAATTGCTCTGCGATGTGTGCGTTCAACTCTCAGAGTTTAACTTTTCTTTTCATTCAGCAGTTTGGAAACACTCTGTTTGTAAAGTCTGCACGTGGATATTTTGACCATTTAGAGGCCTTCGTTGGAAACGGGTTTTTTTCTTGTAAGGCTAGACAGAAGAATTCCCAGTAACTTCCTTGTGTTGTGTACATTCAACTCACAGAGTTGAACATTCCCTTAGACAGAGCAGATTTGAAACACTCTTTTTGTGCAATTGGCAAGTGGTGATTTCAGCCGCTTTGAGGTCAATGGTAGAAAAGGAAATATCTTCGTATAAAAACTAGACAGAATGATTCTCAGAAACTCCTTTGTGATGTGTGAGTTCAACTCACAGAGTTTATCCTTTCTTTTCATAGAGCAGTTAGGAAGCACTCTGTTTGTAAAGTCTGCAAGTGGATATTCAGACCTCTTTGAGGCCTTCGTTGGAAACGGGATTTCTTCATATTCTGCTAGACAGAAGAATTCTCAGTAACTTCCTTGTGTTGTGTGCATTCAACTCACAGAGTTGAACGATCCTTTACACAGGGCAGACTTGAAACACTCTTTTTGTGGAATTTGCAAGCGGACATTTCAGCCTCTTTAAGGTTAATGGTAGAAAATGAAATATCTTCGTATAGAAACTAGACAGAATGATTCTCAGAAACTCCTTTGTGATGTGTGCGTTCAACTCACAGAGTTGAACCTTTCTTTTCATAGAGCAGTTAGGAAACACTCTGTTTGTAAAGTCTGCAAGTGGATATTCAGACATCCTTGAGGCTTTCGTTGGAAACAGGATTTCTTCATATTCTGCTAGAAAGAAGAATTCCCAATAACTTCCTTGTGTTGTGTGTGTTCAACTCACAGAGTTGAACTTTCATTTACACAGAGCAGATTTGAAACACTCTTTTTGTGGAATTTGCAAGTGGAGATTTCAAGCGCTGTGAGGCCAAAGGCAGAAAAGGAAATATCTTCGTATAAAAACTAGACAGAATCATTCTCAGAAACTGCTGCGTGATGTGTGCGTTCAACTCTCAGAGTTTAAGTTTTCTTTTCATTCAGCGGTTTGGAAACACTCTGTTTGTAAAGTCTGCACGTGGATATTTTGACCACTTAGAGGCCTTCGTTGGAAACGGGTTTTTTTCATGTAAGGCTAGACAGAAGAATTCCCAGTAACTTCCTTGTGTTGTGTGCATTCCACTCACAGAGTTGAACGTTCCCTTAGACAGAGCAGATTTGAAACACTCTATTTGTGCAATTTGTAAGTGTAGATTTCAAGCGCTTTAAGGTCAATGGCAGAAAAGGAAATATCTTCGTTTCAAAACTAGACAGAATGATTCTCAGAAACTTCATTGTGTTGTGAGCGTTCAACTCACAGAGTTTAACCTTTCTTTTCATAGAGCAGTTAGGAAACACTCTGTTTGTAAACTCTGCAAGTGGATATTCAGACCTCTTTGAGGCCTTCGTTGGAAACGGGATTTCTTCATACTGTGCTAGACAGAACAATTCTCAGTAACTTCCTTGTGTTGTGTGTATTCAACTCACAGAGTTGAACGATCCTTTACACAGAGCGGACTTGAAACACTCTTTTTGTGGAATTTGCAAGTGGAGATTTCAGCCGCGTTGAGGTCAATGGTAGAAAAGGAAATATCTTCGTATAAAAAGTAGACAGAATGATTCTCAGAAACTCCTTTGTGATGTGTGTGTTCAACTCACAGAGTTTAACCTTTCTTTTCATAGAGCAGTTAGTAAACACTCTCTTTATAAAGTCTGCAAGTGGATATTCAGACCCCTTTGAGGCCTTCGTTGGAAACGGGATTTCTTCATATTATGCTAGACAGAAGAATTCTCAGTAACTTCCTTGTGTTGTGTGTATTCAACTGACAGAGTTGAACATTCATTTGGAGAGAGCAGATTTGAAACACTGTTTTTGTGGAATTTGCAAGTGGAGATTTCAAGCGCTTTGGGGCCAAAGGCAGAAAAGGAAATATCTTCGTATAAAAACTAGACAGAATGATTCTCAGAAACTCCTTTGTGATGTGTGCGTTCAACTCTCAGAGTTTAACTTTTCTTTTCATTCAGCAGTTCGGAAACACTCTGTTTGTAAAGTCTGCACGTGGATATTTTGACCACTTAGAGGCCTTCGTTGGAAACGGGTTTTTTTCCTGTAAGGCTAGACAGAAGAATTCCCAGTAACTTCCTTGTGTTGTGTGCATTCAACTCACAGAGTTGAACGTTCCCTTAGACAGAGCAGATTTGAAACACTCTATTTGTGCAATTTGCAAGTGTAGATTTCAAGCGCTTTAAGAGTCAATGGCAGAAAAGGAAATATCTTCATCTCAAAACTAGACAGAATGATTCTCAGAAACTCCTTTGAGATGTGTGCGTTCAACTCACAGAGTTTAACCTTTCTTTTCATAGAGCAGTTAGGAAACACTCTGTTTGTAAATTCTGCAAGTGGATATTCAGACCTCTTTGAGGCCTTCGTTGGAAACGGGATTTCTTCATATTATGCTAGACAGAAGGATTCTCAGTAACTTCCTTGTGTTGTGTGTATTCAACTCACAGAGTTGAACGATCCTTTACACAGAGCAGACTTGAAACACTCTTTTTGTGGAATTTGCAAGTGGAGATTTCAGCCGCTTTGAGGTCAATGGTAGAAAAGGAGATATCTTCGTATAAAAACTAGACAGAATGATTCTCAGAAACTCTTTGGGATGTGTGCGTTCAACTCACAGAGTTTAACTTTTCTTTTCATAGAGCAGTTAGGAAACACTCTGTTTGTAAAGTCTGCAAGTGGATATTCAGACCTCTTTGAGGCCTTCGTTGGAAACGGGATTTCTTCATATTATGCTAGACAGAAGAATTCTCAGTAACTTCCTTGTGTTGTGTGTATTCAACTCACAGAGTTGAAGGATCCTTTACACAGAGCAGACTAGAAACATTCTTTTTGTGGAATTTGCAAGTGGAGATTTCAGCCGCTTTGAGGTCAATGGTAGAATGGGAAATATCATCCTATAGAAACTAGACAGAATCATTCTCAGAAACTGCTGCGTAATGTGTGCGTTCAACTCTCAGAGTTTAACTTTTCTTTTCATTCAGCGGTTTGGAAACACTCTGTTTGTAAAGTCTGCACGTGGAAATTTTGACCATTTAGAGGCCTTCGTTGGAAACGGGTTTTTTTCATGTAAGGCTAGACAGAAGAATTCCCAGTAACTTCCTTGTGTTGTGTGCATTCAACTCACAGAGTTGAACGATCCTTTACACAGAGCAGACTTGAAACACTCTTTTTGTGGAATTTGCAAGTGGAGATTTCAGCCGCTTTGAGGTCAATGGTAGAAAAGGAAACTATCTTCATATAAAGACTAGACAGAATCATTCCCACAAACTGCGTTGTGAGGTGTTCGTTCAACTCACAGAGTTTAACCTTTCTTTTCATAGAGCAGTTAAGAAACAGTCTGTTTGTAAATTCTGTAAGTGGATATTCTGACATCTTGTGGCCTTCGTTGGAAACGGGATGTCTTCATATTCTGCTAGACAGAAGAATTCTCAGAATCTTCCTTGTGTTGTGTGTATTTAACTCACAGAGTTGAACGATCCTTTACACAGAGCAGACTTGAAACACTCTTTTTGTGGAATTTGCAAGTGGAGATTTCAGCCGCTTTGAGGTCCATGGTAGAAAAGGAAATATCTTCGTATAAAAACTAGACAGAATGATTCTCAGAAACTCCTTTGTGATGTGTGCGTTCAACACACAGAGTTCAACCTTTCTTTTCCTAGAGCAGTTGGGAAACACTCTGTTTGTAAAGTCTGCAAGTGGATATTCAGACTTCTTTGAGGCCTTCGTTGGAAGCGGGATTTCTTCATATTCTGCTAGACAGAAGAATTCCCAGTAACTTCCTTGTGTTGTGTGTGTTCAACTCACAGAGTTGAACTTTGATTTACACAGAGCAGATTTGAAACACTCTTTTTGTGGAATTTGCAAGTGGAGATTTCAAGCGCTTTGAGGCCAAATGCAGAAAAGGAAATATCTTCGTATAAAAACTAGACAGAATCATTCTCAGAAACTGCTCTGCGATGTGTGCGTTCAACTCTCAGAGTTTAACTTTTCTTTTCATTCAGCAGTTTGGAAACACTCTGTTTGTAAAGTCTGCAGGTGGATAATTTGACCACTTAGAGGCCTTCGTTGGAAACGGGTTTTTTTCCTGTAAGGCTAGACAGAAGAATTCCCAGTAACTTCCTTGTGTTGTGTGCATTCAACTCACAGAGTTGAAAGTTCCCTTCGACAGAGCAGATTTGAAACACTCTATTTGTGCAATTTGCAAGTGTAGATTTCAAGCGCTTTAAGGTCAACGGCAGAAAAGGAAATATCTTCGTTTCAAAACTAGACAGAATCATTCCCACAAACTGCGTTGTGATGTGTTCGTTCAACTCACAGAGTTTAACCTTTCTGTTCATAGAGGAGTTAGGAAACACTCTGTTTGTAAAGTCTGTATGTGGATATTCTGACATCTTGTGGCCTTCGTTGGAAACGGGATTTCTTTATATTCTGCTAGACAGAACAATTCTCAGTAACTTCCTTGTGTTGTGTGTATTCAACTCACAGAGTTGAACGATCCTTTACACAGAGCGGACTTGAAACACTCTTTTTGTGGAATTTGCAAGCGGAGATTTCAGCTGCGTTGAGGTCAATGGTAGAAAAGGAAATATCTTCGTATAAAAACTAGACAGAATGATTCTCAGAAACTTCATTGTGATGTGTGCGTTCAACTCACAGAGTTTAACCTTTCTTTTCATAGAGCAGTTAGGAAACACTGTTTGTAAACTCTGCAAGTGGATATTCAGACCTCTTTGAGGCCTTCGTTGGAAACGGGATTTCTTCATACTGTGCTAGACAGAAGAATTCCCAGTAACTTCCTTGGGTTGTGTGTGTTCAACTCACAGAGTTGAACTTTCATTTACACAGAGCAGATTTGAAACACTCTTTTTGTGGAATTTGCAAATGGAGATTTCAAGCGCTTTGAGGAAAAAGGCAGTAAAGGGAATATCTTCGTATAAAAACTAGACAGAATCATTCTCAGAACCTGCTCTGTGATGTGTGCGTTCAACTCTCAGAGTTTAACTTTTCTTTTCATTCAGCAGTTTGGCAACACTCTGTTTGTAAAGTCTGCACGTGGATAATTTGACCACTTAGAGGCCTTCGTTGGAAACGGGTTTTTTTCATGTAAGGCTAGACAGAAGAATTCTCAGTAACTTCCTTGTGTTGTGTGTATTCAACTCACAGAGTTGAACGATCCTTTACACAGAGCAGACTTGTAACACTCTTTTTGTGGAATTTGAAAGTGGAGATTTCAGCCGCTTTGAAGTCAAAGGTAGAAAAGGAAATATCTTCCTATAAAAACTACACAGAATCATTCCCAAAAACTGCGTTGTGATGTGTTCGTTCATCTCACAGAGTTTAACCTTTCTTTTCATAGAGCAGTTAGGAAACACTCTGTTTGTAAATTCTGTAAGTGGATATTCTGACATCTTGTGGCCTTCGTTGGAAACGGGATTTCTTCATATTCTGCTAGACAGAAGAATTCTCAGTAACTTCCTTGTGTTTTGTGTATTCAACTCACATAGTTGAACGATCCTTTACACAGAGCAGACTTGAAACACTCTTTTTGTGGTATTTGCAAGTGGAGATTTCAGCCACTTTGAGGTCAATGTTAGAAAAGGAAATATCTTCGTATAAAAACTAGACAGAATGATTCTCAGAAACTCCTTTGTGATGTGTGCGTTCAACTCACACAGTTTAACCTTTCTTTTCATAGAGCAGTTAGGAAACACTCTGTTTGTAAAGTCTGCAAGTGGATATTCAGACCTCCTTGAGGCCTTCGTTGGAAACGGGATTTGTTCATATTATGCTAGACAGAAGAATTCTCAGTAACTTCCTTGTGTTGTGTGTATTCAACTGACAGAATTGAACTTTCATTTAGAGAGAGCAGATTTGAAACACTGTTTTTGTGGAATTTGCAAGTGGAGATTTCAAGCGCTTTGGGGCCAAAGGCAGAAAAGGAAATATCTTCGTATAAAAACTAGACAGAAATCATTCTCAGAAACTGCTGCGTGATGTGTGCGTTCACCTCTCAGAGTTTAACTTTTCTTTTCATTCAGCGGTTTGGAAACACTCTGTTTGTAAAGTCTGCACGTGGAAATTTTGACCACTTAGAGGCCTTCGTTGGAAACGGGTTTTTTTCATGTAAGGCTAGACAGAAGAATTCCCAGTAACTTCCTTGTGTTGTGTGCATTCAACTCACAGAGTTGAACGTTCCCTTAGACAGAGCAGATTTGAAACACTCTATTTGTGCAATTTGCAAGTGTAGATTTCAAGCGCTTTAAGGTCAATGACAGAAAAGGAAATATCTTCGTTTCAAAACTAGACAGAATGATTCTCAAAAACTCCTTTGTGATGTGTGCGTTCAACTCACAGAGTTTAACCTTTCTTTTCATAGAGCAGTTAGGAAACACTCTGGTTGTAAAGTCTGCAAGTGGATATTAAGACCTCTTTGAGGCCTTCGTTGGAAACGGGATTTCTTCATATTCTGCTAGACAGAAGAATTCTCAGTAACTTCCTTGTGTTGTGTGTATTCAACTCACAGAGTTGAACGATCCTTTACACAGAGCAGACTTGAAACACTCTTTTTCTGGAATTTGCAAGTGGAGATTTCAGCCGCTTTGAGGTCAATGGTAGGATAGGAAATATCTTCCTATAGAAACTAGACAGAATGATTCTCAGAAACTCCTTTGTGATGTGTGCGTTCAACTCACAGAGTTTAACCTTTCTTTTCATAGAGCAGTTAGGAAACACTCTGTTTGTTAAGTCTGCAAGTGGATATTCAGACCTCCTTGAGGCCTTCGTTGGAAGCGGGATTTCTTCATATTCTGCTAGACAGAAGAATTCCCAGTAACTTCCTTGTGTTGTGTGTGTTCAACTCACAGAGCTGAACTTTCATTTACACAGAGCAGATTTGAAACACTCTTTTTGTGGAATTTACAAATGGAGATTTCAAGCGCTTTGAGGCCAAAGGCAGAAAAGGAAATATCTTCGTTTCAAAACTAGACGGAATGATTCTCAGAAACTGCTCTGCGATGTGTGCGTTCACCTCTCAGAGTTTAACTTTTCTTTTCATTCAGCAGTTTGGAAACACTCTGTTTGTAAAGTCTGCACGTGCATAATTTGACCACTTAGAGGCCTTCGTTGGCAACGGGTTTTTTTCATGTAAGGCTAGACAGAAGAATTCCCAGGAACTTCCTTGTGTTGTGTACATTCAACTCACAGAGTTGAACGTTCCCTTAGACAGAGCAGATTTGAAACACTCTTTTTGTGCAATGGGCAAGTGGTGATTTCAGCCGCTTTGAGGTCAATGGTAGAAAAGGAAATATCTTCGTATAAAAACTAGACAGAATGATTCTCATAAACTCCTTTGTGATGTGCGCGTTCAACTCACAGAGTTTAACCTTTCTTTTCATAGAGCAGTTAGGAAACACTCTGTTTGTAAAGTCTGCAAGTGGATATTCAGACCTCTTTGAGGCCTTCGTTGGAAACGGGATTTCTTTATATTCTGCTAGACAGAAGAATTCTCAGTAACTTCCTTGTGTTGTGTTTATTCAACTCACAGAGTTGAATGTTCCTTTACACAGAGCAGACTTGAAACACTCTTTTTGTGGAATTTGCAAGTGGAGATTTCAGCCGCTTTGAGGTCAATGGTAGAAAAGTAAATATCTTCGTATAAAGACTAGACAGAATGATTCTCAGAAACTTCTTTGTGATGTGTGCGTTCAACTCACAGAGTTTAACCTTTCTTTTCATAGAGCAGTTAGGAAACACTCTGTTTCTAAACTCTGCAAGTGGATATTCAGACCTCTTTGAGGCCTTCGTTGGAAACGGGATTTCTTCATACTATGCTAGACAGAAGAATTCTCAAGTAACTTCCTTGTGTTGTGTGTATTCAACTCACAGAGTTTAACGATCCTTTACACAGAGCAGACTTGTAACACTCTTTTTGTGGAATTTGCAAGTGGAGATTTCAGCCGCTTTGAAGTCAAAGGTAGAAAAGGAAATATCTTCCTATAAAAACTAGACAGAATCATTCTCAGAAACTGCTCTGCGATGTGTGCGTTCAACTCACAGAGTTTAACTTTTCTTTTCATTCAGCAGTTTGGAAACACTCTGTTTGTAAAGTCTGCACGTGGATAATTTGACCACTTAGAGGCCTTCGTTGGAAACGGGTTTTTTTCATGTAAGGCTAGACAGAAGAATTCCCAGTAACTTCCTTGTGTTGTGTGCATTCAACTCACAGAGTTGAACTTTCCCTTAGACGGAGCAGATTTGAAACACTCTATTTGTGCAATTTGCAAGTGTAGATTTCAAGCGCTTTAAGGTCAATGGCAGAAAAGGAAATATCTTCGTTTCAAAACTAGAGAGAATCATTCCCACAAACTGCGTTGTGATGTGTTCGTTCAACTCACAGAGTTTAACCTTTCTGTTCATAGAGCAGTTAGGAAACACTCTGTTTGTAAAGTCTGTAAGTGGATATTCCGACCTCCTTGAGGCCTTCGTTGGAAACGGGATTTCTTCATATTCTGCTAGACAGAAGAATTCTCAGAAACTTCCTGGTGTTGTGTGTTTTCAACTCACAGAGTTCAACGATCCTTTACACAGAGTAGACTTGAAACACTCTTTTTGTTGAATTGGCAAGTGGAGATTTCAGCTGCTTTGAGGTCAATGGTAGAAAAGGAAATATCTTCGTACAAAAACTAGACAGAATGATTCTCAGAAAATCCTTTGTGATGTGTGCGTTCAACTCACAGAGTTTAACTTTTCTTTTCATAGAGCAGTTAGGAAACACTCTGTTTGTAAAGTCTGCAAGTGGATATTCAGACCACTTTGAGGCCTTCATTGGAAACGGGATTTCTTCATATTGTGCTAGACGGAAGAATTCTCAGAAACTTCCTTGTGTTGCGTGTTTTCAACTCACAGAGTTCAACGATCCGTTACACAGAGTAGACTTGAAAAACTCTTTTTGTTGAATTGGCCAGTGGAGATTTCAGCCGCTTTGAGGTCAATGGTAGAAAAGGAAATATCTTCGTATAAAAACTAGACAGAATCATTCTCAGAAACGGCTCTGCGATGTGTGCGTTCAACTCTCAGAGTTTAACTTTTCTTTTCATTCAGCAGTTTGGAAACACTCTGTTTGTAAAGTCTGCACGTGGATATTTTGACCACTTAGAGGCCTTCGTTTGAAACGGGTTTTTTTCCTTTAAGGCTAGAGAGAAGAATTCCCAGTAACATCCTTGTGTTGTGTGTGTTCAACTCACAGAGTTGAACTTTCATTTACACAGAGCAGATTTGAAACACTCTTTTTGTGGAATTTGCAAGTGGAGATTTCAAGCGCTTTGAGGCCAAAGGCAGAAAAGGAAATATCCTTCGTTTCAAAACTAGACAGAAGCATTCTCAGAAGCTGCTCTGCGATGTGTGCGTTCAACTCTCAGAGTTTAACTTTTCTTTTCATTCAGCAGTTTGGAAACACTCTGTTTGTAAAGTCTGCACGTGGATAATTTGACCACTTAGAGGCCTTCGTTGGAAACGGGTTTTTTTCATGTAAGGCTAGACAGAAGAGTTCTCAGTAACTTCCTTGTGTTGTGTGTATTCAACTCACACAGTTGAACGATCCTTTACACAGAGCAGACTTGTAACACTCTTTTTGTGGAATTTGCAAGTGGAGATTTCAGCCGCTTTGAAGTCAAAGTAGAAAAGGAAATATCTTCCTATAAAAACTAGACAGAATGATTCTCAGAAACTTCTTTGTGATGTGTGCGTTCAACTCACAGAGTTTAACCTTTCTTTTCATAGAGCAGTTAGGAAAGACTCTGTTTGTAAAGTCTGCAAGTGGATATTCAGACCTCTTTGAGGCCTTCGTTGGAAACGGGTTTTTTTCATATAAGGCTAGACAGAAGAATTCTCAGTAACTTCCTTGTGTTGTGTGTATTCAACTGACAGAGTTGAACTTTCATTTAGAGAGAGCTGATTTGAAACACTGTTTTTGTGGAATTTGCAAGTGGAGATTTCAAGCGTTTTGGGGCCAAAGGCAGAAAAGGAAATATCTTCGTATAAAAACTAGACAGAATCATTCTCAGAAACTGCTGCGTGATGTGTGCGTTCAACTCTCAGAGTTTAACTTTTCTTTTCATTCAGCGGTTTGGAAACACTCTGTTTGTAAAGTCTGCACGTGGATATTTTGACCACTTAGAGGCCTTCGTTGGAAACGGGTTTTTTTTCATGTAAGGCTAGACAGAAGAATTCCCAGTAACTTCCTTGTGTTGTGTGCATTCAACTCACAGAGTTGAACGTTCCCTTACACAGAGCAGATTTGAAACACTCTATTTGTGCAATTTGCAAGTGTAGATTTCAAGCGCTTTAAGGTCAACGGCAGAAAAGGAAATATCTTCGTTTCAAAACTAGACAGAATCATTCCCACAAGCTGCGTTGTGATGTGTTCGTTCAACTCACAGAGTTTAACCTTTCTGTTCATAGAGCAGTTAGGAAACACTCTGTTTGTAAAGTCTGTAAGTGGATATTCTGACATCTTGTGGCCTTCGTTGGAAATGGGATTTCTTCATATTCTGCTGGACAGAAGAATTCTCAGTAACTTCCTTGTGTTGTGTGTATTCAACTCACAGAGTTGAACGATCCTTTACACAGAGCAGACTTGAAACGCTCTTTTTGTGGAATTTGCAAGTGGAGATTTCAGCCGCGTTGAAGTCAATGGTAGAAAAGGAAATATCTTCGTATAAAAACTAGACAGAATGATTTTCAGAAACTCCTTTGTGATGTGTGCGTTCAATTCACAGAGTTTAACTTTTCATAGAGCAGTTAGGAAACACTCTGTTTGTAAAGTCTGCAAGTGGATATTCAGACCTCTTTGAGGCCTTCGTTGGAAACGGGATTTCTTCATATTATGCTAGACAGAATAATTCTCAGTAACTTCCTTGTGTTGTGTGTATTCAACTCACAGATTTGAACGATCCTTTACAGAGAGCAGACTTGAAACACTCTTTTTGTGGAATTTGCAAGTGGAGATTTCAGCTGCTTTGAGGTCAATGGTAGAAAAGGAATTATCTTCGTAGAAAAACTAGACAGAATCATTCTCAGAAACTGCTGCGTGATGTGTGCGTTCAACTGTCAGAGTTTAACTTTTCTTTTCATTCAGCGGTTTGGAAACACTCTGTTTGTAAAGTCTGCACGTGGATATTTTGCCCACTTAGAGGCCTTCGTTGGAAACGGGTTTTTTTCATGTAAGGCTAGACAGAAGAATTCCCAGTAACTTCCTTGTGTTGTGTGCATTCAACTCACAGAGTTGAACGTTCCCTTAGACAGAGCAGATTTGAAACACTCTATTTGTGCAATTTGCAAGTGTAGATCTCAAGCGCTTTAAGGTCAATGGGAGAAAAGGAAATATCTTCGTTTCAAAACTAGACAGAATCATTCCCACAAACTGCGTTGTGATGTGTTCGTTCAACTCACAGAGTTTAACCTTTCTTTTCATAGAGTAGTTAGGAAACAGTCTGTTTGTAAATTCTGTAAGTGGATATTCTGACATCTTGTGGCCTTCGTTGGAAACGGGATTTCTTCATATTCTGCTAGACAGAAGAATTCTCAGTAACTTCCTTGTGTTGTGTGTATTCAACTCACAGAGTTGAACGATCCTTTACACAGAGCAGACTTGAAACACTCTTTTTGTGGAATTTGCAAGTGGAGATTTCAGCCGCTTTGAGGTCAATGTTAGAAAAGGAAATATCTTCCTATAGAAACTAGACAGAATGATTCTGAGAAACTCCTTTGTGATGGGTGCGTTCAACTCACAGAGTTTAACCTTTCTTTTAATAGAGCAGTTAGGAAACACTCTGTTTGTAAAGTCTGCAAGTGGATATTCAGACATCTTTGGGGCATTCGTTGGAAACGGGATTTCTTCATATTCTGCTAGACAGAAGAATTCTCAGTAACTTCCTTGTGTTGTGTGTATTCAACTGACAGAGTTGAACTTTCATTTAGAGAGAGCAGATTTGAAACACTATTTTTGTGGAATTTGCAAGTGGAGATTACAAGCGCTTTTGGGCCAAAGGCAGAAAAGGAAATATCTTCGTATAAAAACTAGACAGAATCATTCTCAGAAACTGCTCTGCGATATGTGCGTTCAACTCTCAGAGTTTAACTTTTCTTTTCATTCAGCAGTTTGGAAACACTCTGTTTGTAAAGTCTGCATGTGCGTAATTTGACCACTTAGAGGCCTTCGTTGGAAACAGGTTTTGTTCATGTAAGGCTAGACAGAAGAATTCCCAGTAACTTACCTTGTGTTGTGTACATTCAACTCACAGAGTTGAACGTTCCCTTAGACAGAGCAGATTTGAAACACTCTTTTTGTGCAATTGGCAAGTGGAGATTTCAAGCGCTTTAAGGTCAATGGCAGAAAAGGAAATATCTTCGTTTCAAAACTAGACAGAATCATTCCCACAAACTTCGTTGTGATGTGTTCGTTCAACTCACAGAGTTTAACCTTTCTGTTCATAGAGCAGTTAGGAAACACTCTGTTTGTAAAGTCTGTAAGTGGATATTCTGACATCTTGTGGCCTTCGTTGGAAACGGGATTTCTTCATATTCTGCTAGACAGAAGAATTCTCAGAACCTTCCTTGTGTTCTGTGCATTCAACTCACAGAGTTGAACGATCCTTTACACAGAGCAGACTTGAAACACTCTTTTTGAGGAATTTGCAAGTGGAGATTTCAGCCGCTTTGAGGTCCATGGTAGAAAAGGAAATATCTTCGTATAAAAACTAGACAGAATGATTCTCAGAAAGTCCGTTGTGATGTGTGCGTTCAACTCACAGAGTTTAACCTTTCTTTTCATAGAGCAGTTAGGAAACACTCTGTTTGTAAAGTCTGCAAGTGGATATTCAGACCTCTTTGAGGCCTTCGTTGGAAACGGGATTTCTTCATATTATGCTAGACAGAAGAATTCCCAGTAACTTCCTTGTGTTGTGTGTGTTCAACTCACAGAGTTGAACTTTCATTTACACAGAGCAGATTTGAAACACTCTTTTTATGGAATTTGCAAATGGAGATTTCAAGCGCTTTGAGGCCAAAGGCAGAAAAGGAAATATCTTCGTATAAAAACTAGACAGAATCATTCTCAGAAACTGCTGCGTGATGTGTGCGTTCAACTCTCAGAGTTTAACTTTTCTTTTCATTCAGCGGTTTGGAAACACTCTGTTTGTAAAGTCTGCACGTGGATATTTTGACCACTTAGAGGCCTTCGTTGGAAACGGGTTTTTTACATGTAAGGCTAGACAGAAGAATTCCCAGTAACTTCCCTTGTGTTGTGTACATTCAACTCACAGAGTTGAACGTTCCCTTAGACAGAGCAGATTTGAAACACTCTTTTTGTGCAATTGGCAAATGGAGATTTCAAGCGCTTTAAGGTCAATGGCAGAAAAGGAAATATCTTCGTTTCAAAACTAGACAGAATCATTCCCACAAACTGCGTTGTGATGTGTTCGTTCAACTCACAGAGTTTAACCTTTCTTTTCATAGAGCACTTAGGAAAGAGTCTGTTTGTAAATTCTGTAAGTGGATATTCTGACATCTTGTGGCCTTCGTTGGAAACGGGATTTCTTCATATTCTGCTAGACAGAAGAATTCTCAGAAACTTCCTTGTGTTGTGTGTTTTCAACTCACAGAATTGAACGATGCTTTACACAGAGTAGACTTGAAACACTCTTTTTGTGTAATTTGCAAGTGGAGATTTCAGCCGCTTTGAGGTCAATGGTAGAAAAGGAAATATCTTCGTATAAAAACTAGACAGAATGATTCTCAGAAACTCCTTTGTGATGTGGGCGTTCAACTCACAGAGTTTAACCTTTCTTTTCATAGAGCAGTTAGGAAACACTCTGTTTGTTAAGTCTGCACGTGGATACTTGGACTTCTTTGAGGCCTTCGTTGGAAACGGGTTTTTTTCATGTAAGGCTGGACAGAAGAATTCTCAGTAACTTCCTTGTGTTGTGTGTATTCAACTCACAGAGTTGAATGATCCTTTACAGAGAGCAGACTTGAAACACTCTTTTTGTGGAATTTGCAAGTGGAGATTTCAGCCGCTTTGAGGTCAATGGTAGAATAGGAAATATCTTCCTATAGAAACTAGACAGAATCATTCTCAGAAACTGCTCTGCGATGTGTGCGTTCAACTCTCAGAGTTTAACTTTGCTTTTCATTCAGCAGTTTGGAAACACTCTGTTTGTAAAGTCTGCACGTGGATAATTTGACCACTTAGAGGCCTTCGTTGGAAACGGGTTTTTTTCATGTAAGGCTAGACAGAAGAATTCCCAGTAACTTGCCTTGTGTTGTGTGCATTCAACTCACAGAGTTGAACGTTCCCTTAGACAGAGCAGATTTGAAACACTCTAGTTGTGCAATTTGCAAGTGTAGATTTCAAGCGCTTTAAGGTCAATGGCAGAAAAGGAAATATCTTCGTTTCAAAACTAGACAGAAATGATTCTCAGAAACTCCTTTGTGATGTGTGCGTTCAACTCACAGAGTTTAACCTTTCTTTTCATAGAGCAGTTAGGAAACACTCTGTTTGTAAAGTCTGCAAGTGGATATTCAGACCTCCTTGAGGCCTTCGTTGGAAACGGGATTTCTTCATATTATGCTAGACAGAAGAATTCTCAGTAAATTCCTTGTGTTGTGTGTATTCAACTCACAGAGTTGAACGATCCTTTACACAGAGCAGACTTGAAACACTCTTTTTGTGAAATTTGCAAGTGGAGATTTCAGCCGCTTTGTGGTCAATGGTAGAATAGGAAATATCTTCCTATAGAAACTAGACAGAATGATTCTCAGAAACTCCTTTGTGATGTGTGTGTTCAACTCACAGAGTTTAACCTTTCTTTTCATAGAACAGTTAGTAAACACTCTGTTTATAAAGTCTGCAAGTGGATATTCAGACCCCTTTGAGGCCTTCGTTGGAAACGGGATTTCTTCATATTATGCTAGACAGAAGAATTCTCAGTAACTTCCTTGTCTTGTGTGTATTCAACTCACAGAGTTGAACGATCCTTTACACAGAGCAGACTTGAAACACTCCTTTTGTGGAATTTGCAAGTGGAGATTTCAGCCGCTTTGAGGTCAATGGTAGAATAGGAAATATCTTCCTATAGAAACTAGACAGAATGATTCTCAGAAACTCCTTTGTGACGTGTGTGTTCAACTCACAGAGTTTAACCTTTCTTTTCATAGAGAAGTTAGTAAACACTCTGTTTATAAAGTCTGCAAGTGGATATTCAGACCCCTTTGAGGCCTTCGTTGGAAACGGGATTTCTTCATATTATGCTAGACAGAAGAATTCCCAGTAACTTCCTTGTGTTGTGTGTGTTCAACTCACAGAGTTGAACTTTCATTTACACAGAACAGATTTGAAACACTCTTTTTGTGGAATTTGCAAGTGGAGATTTCAAGCGCTTTGAGGCCAAAGGCAGAAAAGGAAATATCTTCGTTTCAAAACTAGACAGAATCATTCTCAGAAACTGCTCTGTGATGTGTGCGTTCAACTCTCAGAGTTTAACTTTTCTGTTCATTCAGCAGTTTGGAAACACTCTGTTTGTAAAGTCTGCACGTGGATAATTTGACCACTTAGAGGCCTTCGTTGGAAACGGGTTTTTTTCATGTAAGGCTAGACAGAAGAGTTCTCAGTAACTTCCTTGTGTTGTGTGTATTCAACTCACACAGTTGAACGATCCTTTACACAGAGCAGACTTGTAACACTCTTTTTGTGGAATTTGCAAATGGAGATTTCAGCCGCTTTGAAGTCAAAGTAGAAAAGGAAATATCTTCCTATAAAAACTAGACAGAATCATTCCCACAAACTGCGTTGTGATGTGTTCGTTCAACTCACAGAGTTTAACCTTTCTTTTCATAGAGCAGTTAGGAAACAGTCTGTTTGTAAATTCTGTAAGTGGATATTGTGACATCTTGTGGCCTTTGTTGGAAACGGGATTTCTTCATATTCTGCTAGACAGAAGAATTCTCAGTAACTTCCTTGTGTTGTGTGTATTCAACTCACAGAGTTGAACGGTCCTTTACACAGAGCTGACTTGAACCACTCTTTTTGTGGGATTTGCAAGTGGAGATTTCAGCCGCTTTCAGGTCAATGGTAGAATAGGAAATATCTTCCTATAGAAACTAGACAGAATGATTCTCAGAAACTCCTTTGTGATGTGTGTGTTCAACTCACAGAGTTTAACCTTTCTTTTCATAGAGCAGTTAGTAAACACTCTGTATATAAAGTCTGCAAGTGGATATTCAGACCCCTTTGAGGCCTTCGTTGGAAACGGGATTTCTTCATATTATGCTAGACAGAAGAATTCTCAGTAACTTCCTTGTGTTGTGTGTATTCAACTGACAGAGTTGAACTTTCATTTGGAGAGAGCAGATTTGAAACACTGTTTTTGTGGAATTTGCAAGTGGAGATTTCAAGCGCTTTGGGGCCAAAGGCAGAAAAGGAAATATCCTCGTATAAAAACATGACAGAAATCATTCTCAGAAACCGCTCTGTGATGTGTGCGTTCAACTCTCAGAGTTTAACTTTTCTTTCCATTCAGCAGTTTGGAAACACTCTGTTTGTAAAGTCTGCACGTGGATATTTTGACCACTTAGAGGTCTTCGTTGGAAACGGGTTTTTTTCATGTAAGGCTAGACAGAAGAATTCCCAGTAACTTCCTTGTGTTGTGTGCATTCAACTCACAGAGATGAGCGTTCCCTTAGACAGAGCAGATTTGAAACACTCTATTTGTGCAATTTGCAAGTGTAGATTTCAAGCGCTTTAAGGTCAATGGCAGAAAAGGAAATATCTTCGTTTCAAAACTAGACAGAATCATTCCCACAAACTGCGTTGTGATGTGTTCGTTCAACTCACAGAGTTTAACCTTTCTTTTCATAGAGCAGTTAGGAAACAGTCTGTTTGTTAATTCTGTAAGTGGATATTCTGACATCTTGTGGCCTTCGTTGGAAACGGGATTTCTTCATATTCTGCTAGACAGAAGAATTCTCAGTAACTTCCTTGTGTTGTGTGTATTCAACTCACAGAGTTGAATGATCCTTTACACAGTACAGTCTTGAAACACTCTTTTTGTGGAATTTGCAAGTGGAGATTTCAGCCGCTTTGAGGTCAATGGTAGAATAGGAAATACCTTCCTATAGAAACTAGACAGAATGATTCTCAAAAACTTCTTTGTGATGTGTGCGTTCAACTCACAGAGTTTAACCTTTCTTTTCATAGAGCAGTTAGGAAACACTCTGTTTGTAAACTCTGCAAGTGGATATTCAGACCTGTTTGAGGCCTTCGTTGGAAACGGGATTTCTTCATACTATGCTAGACAGAAGAATTCTCAGTAACTTCCTTGTGTTGTGTGTATTCAACTGACAGAGTTGAACTTTCATTTAGAGAGAGCAGATTTGAAACACTGTTTTTGTGGAAGTTGCAAGTGGAGATTTCAAGCGCTTTGGGGCCAAAGGCAGAAAAGGAAATATCTTCGTATAAAAACTAGACAGAATCATTCTCAGAAACTGCTGCGTGATGTGTGCGTTGAACTCTCAGAGTTTAACTTTTCTTTTCATTCAGCGGTTTGGAAACACTCTGTTTGTAAAGTCTGCACGTGGAAATTTTGACCACTTAGAGGCCTTCGTTGGAAACGGGATTTTTTCATGTAAGGCTAGACAGAAGAATTCCCAGTAACTTCCTTGTGTTGTGTGCATTCAACTCACAGAGTTGAACGTTCCGTTAGACAGAGCAGATTTGAAACACTCTATTTGTGCAATTTGCAAGTGTAGATTTCAAGCGCTTTAAGGTCAATGGCAGAAAAGGAAATATCTTCGTTTCAAAACTAGACAGAATCATTCCCACAAACTGCGTTGTGATGTGTTCGTTCAACTCACAGAGTTTAACCTTTCTGTTCATAGAGCAGTTAGGAAACACTCTGTTTGTAATGTCTGTAAGTGGATATTCTGACATCCTGTGGCCTTCGTTGGAAACGGGATTTCTTCATATTCTGCTAGACAGAAGAATTCTCAGTAACTGCCTTGTGTTGTGTGTATTCAACTCACAGAGTTGAACGATCCTTTACACAGAGCAGACTTGAAACACTCCTTTTGTGGAATTTGCAAGTGGAGATTTCAGCTGCTTTGAGGTCAATGGTAGAATAGGAAATATCTTCCTATAGAAAGTAGACAGAATGATTCTCAGAAACTCCTTTGTGATGTGTGCGTTCAACTCACAGAGTTTACCCTTTCTTTTCATACAGCAGTTGGGAAACACTCTGTTTGTAAAGTCTGCAAGTGGATATTCAGACCTCCTTGAGGCTTTCGTTGGAAACGGGATTTCTTCATATTCTGCTAGAAAGAAGAATTCCCAGTAACTTCCTTGTGTTGTGTGTGTTCAACTCACAGAGTTGAACTTTCATTTACACAGAGCAGATTTGAAACTCTCTTTTTGTGGAATTTCCAAGTGGAGATTTCAAGCGCTTTGAGGCCAAAGGCAGAAAAGGAAATATCTTCGTTTCAAAACTAGACAGAATCATTCTCAGAAACTGCACTGCGATGTGTGCGTTCAACTCTCAGAGTTTAACTTTTCTTTTCATTCAGCAGTTTGGAAACACTCTGTTTGTAAAGTCTGCACGTGGATAATTTGACCACTTAGAGGCCTTCTTTGGAAACGGGTTTTTTTCATGTAAGGCTAGACAGAAGAATTCCCAGTAACTTCCCTTGTGTTGTGTGTGTTCAACTCACAGAGTTGAACTTTCATTTACACAGAGCAGATTTGAAACACTCTTTTTGTGGAATTTGCAAGTGGAGATGTCAAGCGCTTTGAGGCCAAAGGCAGAAAAGGAAATATCTTCGTTTCAAAACTAGACAGAATCATTCCCACAAACTGCGTTGTGATGTGTTCGTTCAACTCACAGAGTTTAACCTTTCTTTTCATAGAGCAGTTAGGAAACACTCTGTTGGTAAATTCTGTAAGTGGATATTCTGACATCTTGTGGCCTTCAGTGGAAACGGGATTTCTTCATATTCTGCTAGACAGAAGAATTCTCAGAAACTTCCTTGTGTTGTGTGTTTTCAACTCACAGAGTTGAACGATGCTTTACACAGAGTAGACTTGAAACACTCTCTTTGTGTAATTTGCAAGTGGAGATTTCAGCCGCTTTGAGGTCAATGGTAGAAAAGGAAATATCTTCGTATAAAAACTAGACAGAATGATTCTCAGAAACTCCTTTGTGATGTGTGCGTTCAACTCACAGAGTTCAACCTTTCTTTTCATAGAGCAGTTAGGAAACACTCTGTTTATAATGTCTGCAAGTGGATATTCAGACCTCTTTGAGGCCTTCTTTGGAAACGGGATTTCTTCATATTCTGCTAGACAGAAGAATTCCCAGTAACTTCCTTGTGTTGTGTGTGTTCAACTCACAGAGTTGAACTTTCATTTGCACAGAGCAGATTTGAAACACTCTTTTTGTGGAATTTGCAAGTGGAGATTTCAAGCGCTTTGAGGCCAAAGGCAGAAAAGAAGGAAATATATTCGTATAAAAACTAGACAGAATCATTCTCAGAAACTGCTCTGCGATGTGTGCGTTCAACTCTCAGAGTTTAACTTTTCTTTTCATTCAGCAGTTTGGAAACACTCTGTTTGTAAAGTCTGCACGTGGATAACTTGACCACTTAGAGGACTTCGTTGGAAACGGGTTTTTTTCCTGTAAGGCTAGACAGAAGAATTCCCAGTAACTTCCTTGTGTTGTGTACATTCAACTCACAGAGTTGAACGTTCCCTAAGACAGAGCAGATTTGAAACACTCTTTTTGTGCAATTGGCAAGTGGTGATTTCAGCCGCTTTGAGGTCAATGGTATAAAAGGAAATATCTTCGTATAAAAACTAGACAGAATCATTCCCACAAACTGCGTTGTGACGTGTTCGTTCAACTCACAGAGTTTAACCTTTCTTTTCATAGAGCAGTTAGGAAACAGTCTGTTTGTCAATTCTTTAAGTGGATATTCTGACATATTGTGGCCTTCGTTGGAAACGGGATTTCTTCATATTCTGCTAGACAGAAGAATTCTCAGTAACTTCCCTGTGTTGTGTGTATTCAACTCACAGAGTTGAACGATCCTTTACACAGAGCAGACTTGAGACACTCTTTTTGTGGAATTTGCAAGTGGAGATTTCAGCCGCTTTGAGGTCAATGGTAGAAAAGGAAATATCTTCGTATAAAAACTAGACAGAATGATTCTCAGAAACTCCTTTATGATGTGTGCGTTCAACTCACAGAGTTTAACCTTTCTTTTCATAGAGCAGTTAGGAAACACTCAGTTTGTAATGTCTGCAAGTGGATAATCAGACCTCTTTGAGGCCTTCGTTGGAAACGGGATTTCTTCATATTCTGATAGACAGAAGAATTCCCAGTAACTTCCCTTGTGTTGTGTGTGTTCAACTCACAGAGTTGAACTTTCATTTACACAGAGCAGATTTGAAACTCTCTTTTTGTGGAATTTGCAAGTGGAGATTTCAAGCGCTTTGAGGCCAAAGGCAGAAAAGGAAATATCTTCGTTTCAAAACTAGACAGAATCATTCTCAGAAACTACTCTGCGATGTGTGCGTTCAACTCTCAGAGTTTAACTTTTCTTTTCATTCAGCAGTTTGGAAACACTCTGTTTGTAAAGTCTGCACGTGGATAACTTGACCACTTAGAGGCCTTCGTTGGAAACGGGTTTTTTTCACGTAAGGCTAGACAGAAGAATTCCCAGTAACTTCCTTGTGTTGTGTACATTCAACTCACAGAGTTGAACGTTCCCTTAGACAGAGCAGATTTGAAACACTCTTTTTGTGCAATTGGCAAGTGGAGATTTCAAGCGCTTTGTGGTCAATGGCAGAAAAGGAAATATCTTCGTTTCAAAACTAGACAGAAATCATTCCCACAAACTGCGTTGTGATGTGTTCGTTCAACTCACAGTAGTTTAACCTTTCTGTTCATAGAGCAGTTAGGAAACACTCTGTTTGTAAAGTCTGTAAGTGGATATTCTGACATCTTGTGGCCTTCGTTGGAAACGGGATTTCTTCATATTCTGCTAGACAGAAGAATTCTCAGAAACTTCCTTGTGTTGTGTGTATTCAACTCACAGAGTTGAATGATCCTTTACACAGAACAGTCTTGAAACACTCTTTTTGTGGAATTTGCTAGTGGAGATTTCAGCCGCTTTGAGGTCAATGGTAGAATAGGAAATATCTTCCTATAGAAACTAGACAGAATGATTCTCAGAAACTCCTTTGTGATGTGTGTGTTCAACTCACAGAGTTCAACCTTTCTTTTCATAGAGCAGTTGGGAAACACTCTGTTTGTAAAGTCTGCAAGTGGATATTCAGACCTCCTTGAGGCTTTCGTTGGAAACGGGATTTCTTCATATTCTGCTAGACAGAAGAATTCTCAGTTACTTCCTTGTGTTGTGTGTATTCAACTCACAGAGTTGAACGATCCTTTACACAGAGCAGACTTGAAACACTCTTTTTGTGGAATTTGCAAGTGGAGATTTCAGCCGCTTTGAGGTCAATGGTAGAAAAGGAAATATCTTCGTATAAAAAATAGACAGAATCATTCTCAGAAACTGCTCTGCGATGTGTGCGTTCAACTCTCAGAGTTTAACTTTTCTTTTCATTCAGCAGTTTGGAAACACTCTGTTTGTAAAGTCTGCACGTGGATAACTTGACCACTTAGAGTCCTTCGTTGGAAACGGGTTTTTTTCATGTAAGGCTAGACAGAAGAATTCTCAGTAACTTCCTTGTGTTGTGTGTATTCAACTCACAGAGTTGAACGGATCCTTTACACAGAGCAGACTTGAAATACTCTTTTTGTGGAATTTGCAAGTGGAGATTTCAGCCGCTTTGAGGTCAATGGTAGAATAGGAAATATCTTCCTATAGAAACTAGACAGAATGATTCTCAGAAACTCCTTTGTGATGTGTGCGTTCAGCTCACAGAGTTTAACCTTTCTTTTCATAGAGCAGTTAGGAAACACTCTGTTTGTAAAGTCTGCAAGTGGATATTCAGACATCCTTGAGGCTTTCGTTGGAAACGGGATTTCTTCATATTCTGCTAGAAAGAAGAATTCTCAGTAACTTCCTTGTGTTGTGTGTATTCAACTCACAGAGTTCAACGATCCTTTACACAGAGCAGACTTGAAACACTCTTTTTGTGGAATTTGCAAGTGGAGATTTCAGCCGCTTTGAGTTCAATGGTAGAATAGGAAATATCTTCCTATAGAAACTAGACAGAACGATTCTCAGAAACTCCTTTGTGATGTGTGCGTTCAACTCACAGAGTTTAACCTTTCTGTTCATAGAGCAGTTAGGAAACACTCTGTTTGTAAAGTCTGCAAGTGGATATTCAGACCTCTTTGAGGCCTTCGTTGGAAACGGGATTTCTTCCTATTCTGCTAGACAGAAGAATTCTCAGTAACTTCCTTGTGTTGTGTGTATTCAAATGACAGAGTTGAATTTCATTTAGAGAGAGCAGATTGGAAACACTGTTTTTGTGGAATTTGCAAGTGGAGATTTCAAGCGCTTTGGGGCCAAATGCAGAAAAGGAAATATCTTCGTATAAAAACTAGACAGAATCATTCTCAGAAACTGCTGCGTGATGTGTGCGTTCAACTCTCAGAGTTTAACTTTTCTTTTCATTCAGCGGTTTGGAAACACTCTGTTTGTAAAGTCTGCACGTGGATATTTTGACCACTTAGAGGCCTTCGTTGGAAACTGGTTTTTTTCATGTAAGGCTAGACAGAAGAATTCCCAGTAACTTCCTTGTGTTCTGTACATTCAACTCACAGGAGTTGAACGTTCCCTTAGACAGAGCAGATTTGAAACACTCTTTTTGTGCAATTGGCAAGTGGAGATTTCAAGCGCTTTAAGGTCAATGGCAGAAAAGGAAATATCTTCGTTTCAAAACTAGACAGAATGATTCTCAGAAACTCCTTTGTGATGTGTGCGTTCAACTCACAGAGTTCAGCCTTTCTTTTCATAGAGCAGTTGGGAAACACTCTGTTTGTAAAGTCTGCAAGTGGATATTCAGACTTCTTTGAGGCCTTCGTTGGAAGCGGGATTTCTTCATATTCTGCTAGACAGAAGAATTCTCAGTAACTTCCTTGTGTTGTGTGTATTCAACTCACAGAGTTCAACGATCCTTTACACAGAGTAGACTTGAAACACTCTTTTTGTGGAATTGGCAGGGTGGAGATTTCAGCCGCTTTGAGGTCAATGGAAGAAAAGGAAATATATTCGTATAAAAACTAGACAGAATGATTCTCATAAACTCCTTTGTGATGTGTGCGTTCAACTCACAGAGTTTAACTTTTCTTTTCATAGAGCAGTTAGGAAACACTCTGTTTGTAAAGTGTGCAAGTGGATATTCAGACCTCTTTGAGGCCTTCGTTGGAAACGGGATTTCTTTATATTATGCTAGACAGAATAATTCTCAGTAAGTTCCTTGTGTTGTGTGTATTCAACTCACAGAGTTGAACGATCCTTTACACAGAGCAGACTTGAAACATTCTTTTTGTGGAATTTGCAAGTGGAGATTTCAGCCGCTTTGAGGTCAATGGTAGAATAGGAAATATCTTCCTATAGAAACTAGACAGAATCATTCTCAGAAACTTCTCTGCGATGTGTGCGTTCAACTCTCAGAGTTTAACTTTTCTTTTCATTCAGCAGTTTGGAAACACTCTGTTTGTAAAGTCTGCACGTGGATATTTTGACCACTTAGAGGCATTCGTTGGAAACGGGATTTTTCCTGTAAGGCTAGACAGAAGAATTCCCAGTAACTTCCTTGTGTTGTGTACATTCAACTCACAGAGTTGAACGTTCCCTTAGACAGAGCAGATTTGAAACACTCTTTTTGTGCAATTGGCAAGTGGAGATTTCAAGCGCTTTAAGGTCAATGGCAGAAAAGGAAATATCTTATTTTCAAAACTAGACAGAATCATTCCCACAAACTGCGTTGTGATGTGTTCGTTCAACTCACAGAGTTTAACCTTTCTCTTCATAGAGCAGTTAGGAAACACTCTGTTTGTGAAGTCTGTAAGTGGATATTCTGACATCTTGTGGCCTTCGTTGGAAACGGGATTTCTTCATATTCTGCTAGACAGAAGAATTCTCAGTAACTTCCTTGTGTTGTGTGAATTCAACTCACAGAGTTGAACGATCCTTTACACAGAGCAGACTTGAAACACGCTTTCTGTGGAATTTGCAATTGGAGATTTCAGCCGCTTTGAGGTCAATGGTAGAATAGGAAATATCTTCGTATAAAAACTAGACAGAATGATTCTCAGAAACTCCTTTGTGATGTGTGCGTTCAACTCACAGAGTTTAACTTTTCTTTTCATAGAGCAGTTAGGAAACACTCTGTTTGTAAAGTCTGCAAGTGGATATTCAGACCTCTTTGAGGTCTTCGTTGGAAACGGGATTTCTTCATATTCTGCTAGACAGAAGAATTCTCAGTAACTTCCTTGTGTTGTGTGTATTCAACTGACAGAGTTGAACTTTCATTTAGAGAGAGCAGATTTGAAACACTGTTTTTTTGGATTTGCAAGTGGAGATTTCAAGCGCTTTGGGGCCAAAAGCAGAAACGTAAATATCGTCGTATAAAAACTAGACAGAATCATTCTCAGAAAGTGCTCTGCGATGTGTGCGTTCAACTCTCAGAGTTTAACTTTGCTTTTCATTCAGCAGTTTGGAAACACTCTGTTTGTAAAGTCTGCACGTGGATAATTTGACCACTTAGAGGCCTTCGTTGGAAACGGGTTTTTTTCATGTAAGGCTAGACAGAAGAATTCCCCGTAACTTCCTTGTGTTGTGTGCATTCAACTCACAGAGTTGAACGTTCCCTTAGACAGAGCAGATTTGAAACACTCTATTTGTGCAATTTGCAAGTGTAGTTTTCAAGCTCTTTAAGGTCAACGGCAGAAAAGGAAATATCTTCGTTTCAAAACTAGACAGAATCATTCCCACAAACTGCGTTGTGATGTGTTCGTTCAACTCACAGAGTTTAACCTTTCTGTTCATAGAGCAGTTAGGAAACACTCTGTTTGTAAACTCTGTAAGTGGATATTCTGACATCTTGTGGCCTTCGTTGGAAACGGGATTTCTTCATATTCTGCTAGACAGAAGAATTCTCAGTAACTTCCTTGTGTTGTGTGTATTCAACTCACAGAGTTGAACGATCCTTTACACAGAGCATACTTGAAACACTCTTCTTGTGGAATTTGCAAGTGGAGATTTCAGCCGCTTTGAGGTCAATGGTAGAATAGGAAATATCTTCCTATAGAAACTAGACAGAATGATTCTCAGAAACTCCTTTGTGATGTGTGTGTTCAACTCACAGAGTTTAACCTTTCTTTTCATAGAGCAGTTAGGAAACACTCTGTTTGAAAAGTCTGCAAGTGGATATTCAGACCTCCTTGTGGCCTTCGTTGGAAACGGGATTTCTTCATATTCTGCTAGACAGAAGAATTCCCAGTAACTTTCCTTGTGTTGTGTGTGTTCAACTCACAGAGTTGAACTTTCATTTACACAGAGCAGATTTGAAACACTCTTTTTGTGGAAGTTGCAAGTGGAGATTTCAAGCGCTTTGAGGCCAAAGGCAGAAAAGGAAATATCTTCGTTTCAAAACTAGACAGAATCATTCTCAGAAACTGCTCTGCGATGTGTGCGTTCAACTCTCAGAGTTTAACTTTTCTTTTCATTCAGCAGTGTGGAAAAATTCTGTTTGTAAAGTCTGCACGTGGATATTTTGACCACTTAGAGGCCTTCGTTGGAAACGGGTTTTTTTCCTGTAAGGCTAGACAGAAGAATTCCCAGTAACTTCCTTGTGTTGTGTTCATTCAACTCACAGAGTTGAACGTTCCCTTAGACAGAGCAGATTTGAAACACTCTTTTTGTGCAATTGGCAAATGGAGATTTCAAGCGCTTTAAGTTCAAAGGCAGAAAAGGAAATATCTTCGTTTCAAAACTAGACAGAATCATTCCCACAAACTGCGTTGTGATGTGTTCGTTCAACTCACAGAGTTTAACCTTTCTGTTCATAGAGCAGTTAGGAAACACTCTGTTTGTAAAGTCTGTAAGTGGATATTCTGACATATTGTGGCCTTCGTTGGAAACGGGATTTCTTCATATTCTGCTAGACAGAATAATTCTCAGTAACTTCCTTGTGTTGTGTGTATTCAACTCACAGAGTTGAAG
The DNA here is from genome assembly GCF_000001405.40 of Homo sapiens. Lineage (NCBI taxonomy): Eukaryota > Metazoa > Chordata > Mammalia > Primates > Hominidae > Homo > Homo sapiens. The sequence continues at coordinate 48,407,336 of NC_000005.10, forward strand.
GATCCTTTACAGAGAGCAGGCTTGAAACACTCTTTTTGTCGAATTTGCAAGTGGAGATTTCAGCCGCTTTGAGGTCAATGGTAGAATAGGAAATATCTTCTTATAGAACCTAGACAAAATGATTCTCAGAAACTCCTTTGTGATGTGTGTGTTCAACTCACAGAGTTTAACCTTGCTTTTCATAGAGCAGTTAGTAAACACTCTGTTTATAAAGTCTGCAAGTGGATATTCAGACCCCTTTGAGGCCTTCGTTGGAGACGGGATTTCTTCATATTATGCTAGACAGAAGAATTCCCAGTAACTTCCTTGTGTTGTGTGTGTTCAACTCACAGAGTTGAACTTTGATTTACACAGAGCAGATTTGAAACACTCTTTTTGTGGAATTTGCAAGTGGAGATTTCAAGCGCTTTCAGGCCAAAGGCAGAAAAGGAAATATGTTCGTATAAAAACTAGACAGAATCATTCTCAGAAACTGCTCTGCGATGTGTGCGTTCAACTCTCAGAGTTTAAGTTTTCTTTTCATTCAGCAGTTTGGAAACACTCTGTTTGTAAAGTCTGCACGTGGATATTTTGACCACTTAGAGGCCTTCGTTGGAAACGGGTTTTTTTCGTGTAAGGCTAGACAGAAGAATTCCCAGTAACTTCCTTGTGTTGTGTGCATTCAACTCACAGAGTTGAACGTTCCCTTAGACAGAGCAGATTTGAAACACTCTATTTGTGCAATTTCCAAGTGTAGATTTCAAGCGCTTTAAGGTCAACGGCAGAAAAGGAAATATCTTCGTTTCAAAACTAGACAGAATCATTCCCACAAACTGCGTTGTGATGTGTTCGTTCAAATCACAGAGTTTAACCTTTCTTTTCATAGAGCAGTTAGGAAACAGTCTGTTTGTAAATTCTGTAAGTGGATATTCTGACATCTTGTGGCCTTCGTTGGAAACGGGATTTCTTCATATTCTGCTAGACAGAAGAATTCCCAGTAACTTCCTTGTGTTGTTGTACATTCAACTCACAGAGTTGAACGATCCTTTACACAGAGCAGACTTGAAACACTCTTTTTGTGGAATTTGCAAGTGGAGATTTCAGCCGCTTTGAGGTCCATGGTAGAAAAGGAAATATCTTCGTATAAAAACTAGACAGAAAGATTCTCAGAAACTCCTTTGTGATGTGTGCGTTCAACTCACAGAGTTTAACCTTTCTGTTCATAGAGCAGTTAGGAAACACTCTGTTTGTAAAGTCTGCAAGTGGATATTCAGACCTCTTTGAGGCCTTCGTTGGAAACGGGTTTTTTTCATATAAGGCTAGACAGAAGAATTCTCAGTAACTTCCTTGTGTTGTGTGTATTCAACTGACAGAGTTGAACTTTCATTTGGAGAGAGCATTTTTGAAACACTGTTTTTGTGGAATTTGCAAGTGGAGATTTCAAGCGCTTTGGGGCCAAAGGCAGAAAAGGAAATATCTTCGTATAAAAACTAGACAGAACGATTCTCTGAAACTCCTTTGTGATGTGTGCGTTCAACTCATAGAGTTTAACCTTTCTGTTCATAGAGCAGTTAGGAAACACTCTGTTTGTAAAGTCTGCAAGTGGATATTCAGACCTCTTTGAGGCCTACGTTGGAAACGTGTTTTTTTCATGTAAGGCTAGACAGAAGAATTCCCACTAACTTCCTTGTGTTGTGTGCATTCAACTCACAGAGTTGAACGTTCCCTTAGACAGAGCAGATTTGAAACACTCTATTTGTGCAATTTGCAAGTGTAGATTTCAAGCGCTTTAAGGTCAACGGCAGAAAAGGAAATATCTTCGTTTCAAAACTAGACAGAATCATTCCCACAAACTGCGTTGTGATGTGTTCGTTCAACTCACAGAGTTTAACCTTTCTTTTCATAGAGCAGTTATTAAACAGTCTGTTTGTCAATTCTGTAAGTGGATATTCTGACATCTTGTGGCCTTCGTTGGAAACGGGATTTCTTCATATTCTGCTAGACAGAAGAATTCTCAGTAACTTCCTTGTGTTGTGTGAATTCAACTCACAGAGTTGAACGATCCTTTACACAGAGCAGACTTGAAACACTCTTTTTGTGGAATTTGCAAGTGGAGATTTCAGCCGCTTTGTTGTCAATAGTAGAATAGGAAATATCTTCCTATAGAAACTATACAGAATGATTCTCAGAAACTCCTTTGAGATGTGTGCGTTCAACTCACAGAGTTTAACCTTTCTTTTCATAGAGCAGTTAGGAAACACTCTGCTTGTAAAGTCTGCAAGTGGATATTCAGCCCTCTTTGAGGCCTTCGTTGGAAACGGGTTTTTTTCATATAAGGCTAGACAGAAGAATTCCCAGTAACTTCCTTGTGTTGTGGGTGTTCGACTCACAGAGTTGAACTTTCATTTACACAGAGCAGATTTGAAACACTCTTTTTGTGGAATTTGCAAGTGGAGATTTCAAGCGCTTTGAGGCCAAAGGCAGAAAAGGAAATATCTTCGTTTCAAAACTAGACAGAATCATTCTCAGAAACTGCTCTGCGATGTGTGCGTTCAACTCTCAGATTTTAACTTTTCTTTTCATTCAGCACTTTGGAAACACTCTGTTTGTAAAGTCTGCACGTGGATATTTTGACCACTTAGAGGCCTTCGTTGGAAACGGGTTTCTTTCTTGTAAGGCTAGACAGAAGAATTCCCAGTAACTTCCTTGTGTTGTGTACATTCAACTCACAGAGTTGAACGTTCCCTTAGACAGAGCAGATTTGAAACACTCTTTTTGTGCAATTGGCAAGTGGAGATTTCAAGCGCTTTAAGGTCAATGGCAGAAAAGGAAATATCTTCCTTTCAAAACTAGACAGAATGATTCTCAGAAACTTCTTTGTGATGTGTGCGTTCAACTCACGGAGTTTAACCTTTCTTTTCATAGAGCAGTTAGGAAACACTCTGTTTGTAAACTCTGCAAGTGGATATTCAGACCTCTTTGAGGTCTTCGTTGGAAACGGGATTTCTTCATACTATGCTAGACAGAAGAATTCTCAGTAACTTCCTTGTGTTGTGTGTATTCAACTCACAGAGTTGAACGATCCTTTACAGAGAGCAGACTTGAAGCACTCTTTTTGTGGAATTTGCAAGTGGAGATTTCAGCCGCTTTGAGGTCAATGGTAGAATAGGAAATATCTTCCTATAGAAACTAGACAGAATGATTCTGAGAAACTCCTTTGTGATGTGTGCGTTCACCTCACAGAGTTTAACCTTTCTTTTCATAGAGCAGTTAGGAAACACTCTGTTTGTAAAGTCTGCAAGTGGATATTCAGACCTCCTTGAGGCCTTCGTTGGAAACGGGATTTCTTCATATTATGCTAGACAGAAGAATTCCCAGTAACTTCCTTGTGTTGTGTGTGTTCAACTCACAGAGTTGAACTTTCATTTACACAGAGCAGATTTGAAGCACTCTTTTTGTGGAATTTGCAAGTGGAGATTTCAAGCGCTTTGATGCCAAAGGCAGAAAAGGAAATATCTTCGTATAAAAACTAGACAGAATCATTCTCAGAAACTGCTCTGCGATGTGTGCGTTCAACTCTCAGAGTTTAACTTTTCTTTTCATTCAGCAGTGTGGAAAAACTCTGTTTGTAAAGTCTGCACGTGGATATTTTGACCACTTAGAGGCCTTCGTTGGAAACGGGTTTTTTTCCTGTAAGGCTAGACAGAAGAATTCCCAGTAACTTCCTTGTGTTGTGTACATTCAACTCACAGAGTTGAAGGTTCCCTTAAACAGAGCAGACTTGTAACACTCTTTTTGTGGAATTTGCAAGTGGAGATTTCAGCCGCTTTGAAGTCAAAGGTAGAAAAGGAAATATCTTCCTATAAAAACTAGACAGAATGATTCTCAGAAACTCCTTTGTGATGTGTGCGTTCAACTCACAGAGTTCAACCTTTGTTTTCATAGAGCAGTTGGGAAACACTCTGTTTGTAAAGTCTGCAAGTGGATATTCAGACTTCTTTGAGGCCTTCGTTGGAAGCGGGATTTCTTCATATTCTGCTAGACAGAAGAATTCTCAGTAACTTCCTTGTGTTGTGTGTATTCAACTCACAGAGTTGAATGATCCTTTACACAGAGCAGACTTGAAACACTCTTTTTGTGGAATTTGGAAGTGGAGATTTCAGCCCGCTTTGAGTTCAATGGTAGAATAGGAAATATCTTCCTATAGAAACTAGACAGAATGATTCACAGAAACTCCTTTGTGATGTGTGCGTTCAACTCACAGAGTTTAACCTTTCTTTTCATAGAGCAGTTAGGAAACACTCTGTTTGTAAAGTCTGAAAGTGGATATTCAGACATCTTTGAGGCCATCGTTGGAAACGGGATTTCTACATATTCTGCTAGAGAGAAGAATTCTCAGTAACTTCGTTGTGTTGTGTGTATTCAACTCACAGAGTTGAACGATCCTTTACACAGAACAGACTTGAAACACTCTATTTGTGGAATTTGCAAGTGGAGATTTCAGCCGCTTTGAGGTCAATGGTAGAATAGGAAATATCTTCCTATAGAAACTAGACAGAATGATTCTCAGAAACTCCTTTGTGATGTGTGCGTTCAACTCACAGAGTTTAACTTTTCTTTTCATTCAGCAGTTTGGAAACACTCTGTTTGTAAAGTCTGCACGTGGCTATTTTGACCACTTAGATTCCTTCGATGGAAACGGGTTTTTTTCATGTAAGGCTAGACAGAAGAATTCCCAGTAACTTCCTTGTGTTGTGTACATTCAACACACAGAGTTGAACGTTCCCTTAGACAGAGCAGATTTGAAACACTCTTTTTGTGCAATTGGCAAGTGGAGATTTCAAGCGCTTTAAGGTCAATGGCAGAAAAGTAAATATCTTCGTTTCAAAACTAGACAGAATCATTCCCACAAACTGCGTTGTGATGTGTTCGTTCAACCCACAGAGTTTAACCATTCTTTTCATAGAGCAGTTAGGAAACACTCTGTTTGTAAATTCTGTAAGTGGATATTCTGACATCTTTTGGCCTTCGTTGGAAACGGGATTTCTTCATATTCTGCTAGACAGAAGAATTCTCAGAATCTTCCTTGTGTTGTGTGTCTTCAACTCACAGAGTTGAGCGATGGTTTACACAGAGCAGATTTGAAACACTCTTTTTGTGGAATTTGCAAGTGGAGATTTCAGCCGCTTTGAGGTCAATGGTAGAAAAGGAAATGTCTTCGTATAAAAACTAGACAGAATGATTCTCAGAAACTTCTTTGTGATGTGTGCGTTCAACTCACAGAGTTTAACCTTTCTTTTCATAGAGCAGTTAGGAAACACTCTGTTTGTAAACTCTGCAAGTGGATATTCAGACCTCTTTGAGGCCTTCGTTGGAAACGGGATTTCTTCATATTATGCCTGAGAGAAGAATTCTCAGTAACTTCCTTGTGTTGTGTGTATTCAACTGACAGAGTTGAACTTTCATTTAGAGAGAGCAGATTTGAAACACTGTTTTTGTGGAATTTGCAAGTGGAGATTTCAAGCGCTTTGGGGCCAAAGGCAGAAAAGGAAATATCTTCGTATAAAAACTAGAGAGAATCATTCTCAGAAACTGCTCTGCAATGTGTGCGTTCAACTCTCAGAGTTTAACTTTTCTTTTCATTCAGCAGTTTGGAAACACTCTGTTTGTAAAGTCTGCACGTGGATAATTTGACCACTTAGAGACCTTCATTGGAAACGGGTTTTTTTCCTGTAAGGCTAGACAGAAGAATTCCCAGTAACTTCCTTGTGTTGTGTGCATTCAACTCACAGAGTTGAACGTTCCCTTAGACAGAGCAGATTTGAAACACTCTATTTGTGCAATTTGCAAGTGTAGATTTCAAGCGCTTTAAGGTCAACGGCAGAAATGGAAATATCTTCGTTTCAAAACTAGACAGAAATCATTCCCACAAACTGCGTTGTGATGTGTTCGTTCAACTCACAGTAGTTTAACCTTTCTGTTCATAGAGCAGTTAGGAAACACTCTGTTTGTAAAGTCTGTAAGTGGATATTCTGACATCTTGTGGCCTTCGTTGGAAACGGGATTTCTTCATATTCTGCTAGACAGAAGAAATCTCAGAATCTTCCTTGTGTTGTGTGTATTCAACTCACAGAGTTGAACGATCCTTTACACAGAGCAGACTTGAAACACTCTTTTTGTGGAATTTGCAAGTGGAGATTTCAGCCGCTTTGAGGTCCATGGTAGAAAAGGAATTATCTTCGTATAAAAAGTAGACAGAATGATTCTCAGAAACTCCTTTGTGATGTGTGCGTTCAACTCACAGTAGTTTAACCTTTCTTTTCATAGAGCAGTTAGGAAACACTCTGTTTGTAAAGTCTGCAAGTGGATATTCAGACTTCCTTGAGGCCTTCGTTGGAAACGGGTTTTTTTCATATAAGGCTAGACAGAAGAATTCTCAGTAACTTCCCTGTGTTGTGTGTATTCAACTGACAAAGTCGAACTTTCATTTAGAGAGAGCAGATTTGTAACATTGTTTTTGTGGAATTTGCAAGTGGAGATTTCAAGCGCTTTGGGGCCAAAGGCAGAAAATGAAATATCTTCGTATAAAAACTAGACAGAATCATTCTCAGAAACTGCTCTGCGATGTGTGCGTTCAACTCTCAGAGTTTAACTTTTCTTTTCATTCAGCAGTTTGGAAACACTCTGTTTGTAAAGTCTGCACGTGGATATTTTGACCACTTAGAGGCCTTCGTTGGAAACGGGTTTCTTTCCTGTAAGGCTAGACAGAAGAATTCCCAGTAACTTCCTTGTGTTGTGTACATTCAAGTCACAGAGTTGAACGTTCCCTTAGACAGAGCAGATTTGAAACACTCTTTTTGTGCAATTGGCAAGTGGAGATTTCAAGCGCTTTAAGGTCAATGGCAGAAAAGGAAATATCTTCGTTTCAAAACTAGACAGAATCATTCCCACAAACTGCGTTGTGATGTGTTCGTTCAACTCACAGAGTTTAACCTTTCTTTTCATAGAGCAGTTAGGAAACAGTCTGTTTGTCAATTCTGTAAGTGGATATTCTGACAGCTTGTGGCCTTCGTTGGAAACGGGATTTCTTCATATTCTGCTAGACAGAAGAATTCTCAGAATCTTCCTTGTGTTGTGTGTATTCAACTCACAGAGTTGAACGATCCTTTACACAGAGCGGACTTGAAACACTCTTTTTGTGGAATTTGCAAGTGGAGATTTCAGCCGCGTTGAGGCCAAAGGCAGAAAAGGAAATATCTTCGTTTCAAAACTAGACAGAATGATTCTCATAAACTCCTTTGTGATGTGTGCGTTCAACTCACAGAGTTTAACCTTTCTTTTCATAGAGCAGTTAGGAAACACTCTATTTGTAAAGTCTGCAAGTGGATATTCAGACCTCCTTGAGGCCTTCGTTGGAAACGGGATTTCTTCATATTCTGCTAGACAGAACAATTCCCAGTAACTTCCTTGTGTTGTGTGTGTTCAACTCACAGAGTTGAACTTTCATTTACACAGAGCAGATTTGAAACACTCTTTTTGTGGAATTTGCAAGTGGAGATTTCAAGCGCTTTGAGGTCAATGGCAGAAAAGGAAATATCTTCATATAAAAACTAGACAGAATCATTCTCAGAAACTGCTCTGCAATGTGTGCGTTCAACTCTCAGAGTTTAACTTTTCTTTTCATTCAGCAGTTTGGAAACACTCTGTTTCTAAAGTCTGCACGTGGATATTTTGACCACTTAGAGGCCTTCGTTGGAAACGGGTTTTTTTCCTGTAAGGCTAGACAGAAGAATTCCCAGTAACTTCCTTGTGTTGTGTACATTCAACTCACAGAGTTGAACGTTCCCTTAGACAGAGCAGATTTGAAACACTCTTTTTGTGCAATTGGCAAGCGGAGATTTCAAGCGCTTTAAGGTCAATGGCAGAAAAGGAAATATCTTCGTTTCAAAACTAGACAGAATCATTCCCACAAACTGCGTTGTGATGTGTTCGTTCAACTCACAGGAGTTTAACCTTTCTTTTCATAGAGCAGTTAGGAAACAGTCTGTTTGTAAATTCTGTAAATGGATATTCTGACATCTTGTGGCCTTCGTTGGAAACTGGATTTCTTCATACTATGCTAGACAGAATAATTCTCAGTAACTTCCTTGTGTTGTGTGTATTCAACTCACAGAGTTGAACGATCCTTTACACAGAGCAGACTTGAAACATTCTTTTTGTGGAATTTGCAAGTGGAGATTTCAGCCGCTTTGAGGTCAATGGTAGAATAGGAAATATCTTCCTATAGAAACTAGACAGAATGATTCTCAGAAACTCCTTTGTGATGTGTGTGTTCAACTCACAGAGTTTAACCTTTCTTTTCATAGAGCAGTTAGTAAACACTCTGTTTATAAAGTCTACAAGTGGATATTCAGACCCCTTTGAGGCCTTCGTTGGAAACGGGATTTCTTCATATTATGCTAGACAGAAGAATTCCCAGTAACTTCCTTGTGTTGTGTGTGTTCAACTCACAGAGTTGAACTTTCATTTACACAGAGCAGATTTGAAACACTCTTTTTGTGGAATTTGCAAGTGGAGATTTCAAGCGATTTGAGGCCAAAGGCAGAAAAGGAAATATCTTCGTATAAAAACTAGACAGAATCATTCTCAGAAACTGCTCTGCGATGTGTGCGTTCAACTCTCAGAGTTTAACTTTTCTTTTCATTCAGCATTTTGGAAACACTCTGTTTGTAAAGTCTGCACGTGGATATTTTGACCACTTAGAGGCCTTCGTTGGAAACGGGTTTTTTTCCTGTAAGGCTAAAAAGAAGAATTCCCAGTAACTTCCTTCTGTTGTGTACATTCAACTCACAGAGTTGAACGCTCCCTTAGACAGAGCAGATTTGAAACACTCTTTTTGGGCAATTGGCAAGTGGAGATTACAAGCGCTTTAAGGTCAATGGCAGAAAAGGAAATATCTTCGTTTCAAAACTAGACAGAATGATTCTCAGAAACTTCTTTGTGATGTGTGCGTTCAACTCACAGAGTTTAACCTTTCTTTTCATAGAACAGTTAGGAAACACTCTGTTTGTAAACACTGCAAGTGGATATTCAGACCTCTTTGAGGCCTTCGTTGGAAACGGGATTTCTTCATACTATGCTAGACAGAAGAATTCTCAGTAACTTCCTTGTGTTGTGTGTATTCAACTCACAGAGTTGAACGATCCTTTACACAGAGCAGACTTGAAACACTCTTTTTGTGGAATTTGCAACTGGAGATTTCAGCCGCGTTGAGGTCAATGGTAGAAAAGGAAATATCTTCGTATAAAAACTGGACAGAATGATTCTCAGAAACTTCTTTGTGATGTGTGCGTTCAACTCACAGTGTTTAACCTTTCTTTTCATAGAGCAGTTAGGAAACACTCTGTTTGTAAACTCTGCAAGTGGATATTCAGACCTCTTTGAGGCCTTCGTTGGAAACGGGATTTCTTCATACTGTGCTAGACAGAAGAATTCCCAGTAACTTCCTTGTGTTGTGTGTGTTCAACTCACAGAGTTGAACTTTCATTTACACAGAGCAGATTTGAAACACTCTTTTTGTGGAATTTGCAAGTGGAGATTTCAAGCGCTTTGAGGTCAAAGGCAGAAAAGGAAATATCTTCGTTTCAAAACTAGACAGAATCATTCTCTGAAACTGCTGCGTGATGTGTTCGTTCAACTCTCAGAGTTTAACTTTTCTTTTCATTCAGCGGTTTGGAAACACTCTGTTTGTAAGTCTGCACGTGGATATTTTGACCACTTAGACGCCTTCGTTGGAAACGGGTTTTTTTCATGTAAGGCTAGACAGAAGAATTCCCAGTAACTTCCTTGTGTTGTGTGCATTCAACTCACAGAGTTGAACGTTCCCTTAGACAGAGCAGATTTGAAACACTCTATTTGTGAAATTTGCAAGTGTAGATTTCAAGCGCTTTAAGGTCAATGGCAGAAAAGGAAATATCTTCGTTTCAAAACTAGACAGAATCATTCCCACAAACTGCGTTGTTATGTGTTCGTTCAACTCACAGAGTTTAACCTTTCTGTTCATAGAGCAGTTAGGAAACACTCTGTTTGTAAAGTCTGTAAGTGGATATTCTGACATCTTGTGGCCTTCGTTGGAAAAGGGATTTCTTCATATTCTGCTAGACAGAATAATTCTCAGTAACTTCCTTGTGTTGTGTGTATTCAACTCACAGAGTTGAACGATCCTTTACAGAGAGCAGACTTGAAACACTCTTTTTGTGGAATTTGGAAGTGGAGATTTCAGCCGCTTTGAGGTCAAAGGTAGAATAGGAAATATCTTCCTACAGAAAATAGACAGAATGATTCTCAGAAACTCCTTTGTGATGTGTGTGTTCAACTCACAGAGTTTAACCTTTCTTTTCATAGAGCAGTTAGTAAACACTCTGTTTATAAAGTCTGCAAGTGGATATTCAGACCCCTTTGAGGCCTTCGTTGGAAACGGGATTGCTTCATATTATGCTAGACAGAAGAATTCTCAGTAACTTCCCTTGTGTTGTGTGTATTCAACTGACAGAGTTGAACTTTCATTTAGAGAGAGCAGATTTGAAACACTGTTTTTGTGGAATTTGCAAATGGAGATTTCAAGCGCTTTGGGGCCAAAGGCAGAAAAGGAAATATCTTCGTATAAAAACTAGACAGAATCATTCTCAGAAACTGCTCTGCGATGTGTGCGTTCAACTCTCAGAGTTTAACTTTTCTTTTCATTCAACAGTTTGGAAACACTCTGTTTGTAAAGTCTGCACGTGGATATTTTGACCACTTAGAGGCCTTCGTTGGAAACGGGTTTCTTTCCTGTAAGGCTAGACAGAAGAATTCCCAGTAACTTCCTTGTGTTGTGTGCATTCAACTCACGGAGTTGAACGTTCCCTAAGACAGAGCAGATTTGAAACACTCTATTTGTGCAATTTGCAAGTGTAGATTTCAAGCGCTTTAAGGTCAACGGCAGAAAAGGAAATATCTTCGTTTCAAAACTAGACAGAATCATTCCCACAAACTGCGTTGTGATGTGTTCGTTCAACTCACAGAGTTTAACCTTTCTTTTCATAGAGCAGTTAGGAAACACTCTGTTTGTAAACTCTGCAAGTGGATATTCAGACCTCTTTGAGGCCTTCGATGGAAACGGGATTTCTCCATACTATGCTAGACAGAAGAATTCTCAATAACTTCCTTGTGTTGTGTGTATTCAACTCACAGAGTTGAACGATCCTTTACACAGAGCAGACTTGAAACACTCTTGTTGTGGAATTTGCAGGTGGAGATTTCAGCCTCTTTGAGGTCAATGGTAGAATAGGAAATATCTTCCTATAGAAACTAGACAGAATGGTTCTCAGAAACTCCTTTGTGATGTGTGTGTTGAACTCACAGAGTTTAACCTTTCTTTTCATAGAGCAGTTAGTAAACACTCTGTTTATAAAGTCTGCAAGTGGATATTCAGACCCCTTTGAGGCCTTCGTTGGAAACGGGATTTCTTCATATTATGCTAGACAGAAGAATTCTCAGTAACTTCCTTGTGTTGTGTGTATTCAACTGACAGAGTTGAACTTTCATTTAGAGAGAGCAGATTTGAAACACTCTTTTTGTGGAATTTGCAAGTGGAGATTTCAAGTGCTTTGGGGCCAAAGGCAGAAAAGGAAATATCTTCGTATAAAAACTAGACAGAATCATTCTCAGAAACTGCTGCGTGATGTGTGCGTTCAACTCTCAGAGTTTAACTTTTCTTTTCATTCAGCAGTTTGGAAACACTCTGTTTGTAAAGTCTGCACGTGGAAATTTTGACCACTTAGAGGCCTTCGTTGGAAACGGGTTTTTTTCATGTAAGGCTAGACAGAAGAATTCCCAGTAACTTCCTTGCGTTGTGTACATTCAACTCACAGAGTTGAACGTTCCCTTAGACAGAGCAGATTTGAAACACTCTTTTTGTGCAATTGGCAAGTGGAGATTTCAAGCGCTTTAAGGTCAATGGCAGAAAAGGAAATATCTTCGTTTCAAAACTAGACAGAATGATTCTCAGAAACTCCTTTATGATGTGTGCGTTTAACTCACAGAGTTTAACCTTTCTTTTCATTGAGCAGTTAGGAAACACTCTGTTTGTAAAGTCTGCAAGAGGATATTCTGACCTCCTTGAGGCCTTCGTTGGAAACGGGATTTCTTCATATTCTGCTAGACAGAAGAATTCTCAGTGACTTCCTTGTGTTGTGTGTATTCAACTCACAGATTTGAACGATCCTTTACACAGAGCAGACTTGAAACACTCTTTTTGTGGAATTTGCAAGTGCAGATTTCAGCCAATTTGAGGTCAATGGTAGAAAAGGAAATATCTTCGTATAAAGACTAGACAGATGATTCTCAGAAACTCCTTTGTGATGTGTGCGTTCAACTCACAGAGTTTAACCCTTCTGTTCATAGAGCAGTTAGGAAACACTCTGTTTGTAAAGTCTGCAAGTGGATATTCAGACCTCCTTGAGGCCTTCGGTGGAAAAGGGATTTCTTCATATTCTGCTAGACAGAAGAATTCTCAGTAACTTCCTTGTGTTGTGTGTATTCAACTCACAGAGTTGAACGATACTTTACACAGAGCAGACTTGAAACACTCGTTTTGTGGAATTTGCAAGTGGAGATTTCAGCCGCGTTGAGGTCAATGGTAGAAAAGGAAATATCTTCGTATAAAAACTAGACAGAATCATTCTCAGAAACTGCTCTGCGATGTGTGCGTTCAACTCTCAGATTTTAACTTTTCTTTTCATTCAGCAGTTTGGAAACACTCTGTTTGTAAAGTCTGCACGTGGATATTTTGACCACTTAGAGGCCTTCGTTGGAAACGGGTTTTTTTCCTGTAAGGCTAAACAGAAGAATTCTCAGTAACTTCCTTGTGTTGTGTGTATTCAACTCACAGATTTGAACGATCCTTTACAGAGAGCAGACTTGAAACACTGTTTTTGTGGAATTTGCAAGTGGAGATTTCAGCCGCTTTGAGGTCAATGGTAGAATAGGAAATATCTTCCTATAGAAACTAGACAGAATGATTCTCATAAACTCCTTTGTGATGTGTGCGTTCAACACACAGAGTTTAACCTTTCTGTTCATAGAGCAGTTAGGAAACACTCTGTTTGTAAAGTCTGTAAGTGGATATTCTGACATCTTGTGGCCTTCGTTGGAAACGGGATTTCTTCATATTCTGCTAGACAGAAGAATTCTCAGTAACTTCCTTGTGTTGTGTGTATTCAACTCACTGAGTTGAACGATCCTTTACACAGAGCAGACTTGAAACACTCTTTTTGTGGAATTTGCAAGTGGAGATTTCAGCCGCTTTGAGGTCAATGGTAGAAAAGGAAATATCTTCGTATAAAAACTAGACAGAATGATTCTCAGAATCTCCTTTGTGATGTGTGCGTTCAACTCACAGAGTTTAACCTTTCTTTTCATAGAGCAGTTAGGAAACACTCTGTTTGTAAAGTCTGCAAGTGGATATTCAGTCCTCTTTGAGGCCTTCGTTGGAAACGGGTTTTTTTCATATAAGGCTAGACAGAAGAATTCCCAGTAACTTTCCTTGTGATGTGTGTGTTCAACTCACAGAGTTGAACTTTCATTTACACAGAGCACATTTGAAACACTCTTTTTGTGGAATTTGCAAGTGGAGATTTCAAGCGCTTTGAGGCCAAAGGCAGAAAAGGAAATATCTTCGTATAAAAACTAGACAGAATCATTCTCAGAAACTGCTCTGCGATGTGTGCGTTCAACTCTCAGAGTTTAACTTTTCTTTTCATTCAGCAGTGTGGAAAAACTCTGTTTGTAAAGTCTGCACGTGGATATTCTGACCACTTAGAGGCCTTCGTTGGAAACGGGTTTTTTTCCTGTAAGGCTAGACAGAAGAATTCTCAGTAACTTCCTTGTGTTGTGTGTATTCAACTCACAGAGTTGAACTGATCCTTTACACAGAACAGTCTTGAAACACTCTTTTTGTGGAATTTGCAATTGGAGATTTCAGCCGCTTTGAGGTCAATGGTAGAATAGGAAATATCTTCCTATAGAAACTAGACAGAATGATTCTCAGAAACTCCTTTGTGATGTGTGCGTTCAACTCACAGAGTTTAACCTTTCTTTTCATAGAGCAGTTAGGAAACACTCTGTTTGAAAAGTCTGCAAGTGGATATTCAGACCTCCTTGAGGCCTTCGTTGGAAACGGGATTTCTTCATATTATGCTAGACAGAAGAATTCTCAGTAACTTCCTTGTGTTGTGTGTATTCAACTCACAGAGTTGAACGATCCTTTCCACAGAGCAGACTTGAAACACTCTTTTTGTGGAATTTGCAAGTGGAGATTTCAGCCGCTTTGAGGTCAATGGTAGAAAAGGAAATATCTTCGTATAAAGACTAGACAGAGTGATTCTCAGAAACTCCTTTGTGATGTCTGCGTTTAACTCACAGAGTTTAACCATTCTTTTCATAGAGCAGTTAGGAAACACTCTGTTTGTAAAGTCTGCAAGTGGATATTCAGACCTCCTTGAGGCCTTCGTTGGAAACGGGATTTCTTCATATTATGCTAGACTGAAGAATTCCCAGTAACTTCCTTGTGTTGTGTGTGTTCAACTCACAGAGTTGAACTTTCATTTACACAGAGTAGATTTGAAACACTCTTTTTGTGGAATTTGCAAGTGGAGATTTCAAGCGCTTTGAGGCTAAAGGCAGAAAAGGAAATATCTTCGTATAAAAACTAGACAGAATCATTCTCAGAAACTGCTCTGCGATGTGTGCGTTCAACTCTCAAGAGTTTAACTTTTCTTTTCATTCAGAAGTTTGGAAACACTCTGTTTGTAAAGACTGCACGTGGATATTTTGACCACTTAGAGGCCTTCGTTGGAAACGGGTTTTTTTCATGTAAGGCTAGACAGAAGAATTCTCAGTAACTTCCTCGTGTTGTGTGTATTCAACTCACAGAGTTGAACGATCCTTTACACAGAGCAGACTTGAAACACTCTTTTTGTGGAATTTGCAAGTGGAGATTTCAGCCGCTTTGATGTCAATGGTACAAAAGGAAATATCTTCGTATAAAGACTAGACAGAATGATTTTCAGAAACTCTTTTGTGATGTGTGCGTTCAACTCACAGAGTTTAACCTTTCTGTTCATAGAGCAGTTAGGAAACACTCTGTTTGTAAAGTCTGCAAGTGGATATTCAGACCTCCTTGAGACCTTCGTTGGAAACGGGATTTCTTCATATTCTGCTAGACAGAAGAATTCTCAGTAACTTCCTTGTGTTGTGTGTATTCAACTCACAGAGTTGTACGATCCTTTACACAGAGCAGACTTGAAACACTCTTGTTGTGGAATTTGCAAGTGGAGATTTCAGCCACTTTGAGGTCAATGCTAGAAAAGGAAATATCTTCGTATAAAGACTAGACAGAATGATTCTCAGAAACTCCTTTGTGATGTGTGGGTTCAACTCACAGAGTTTAACCTTTCTTTTCATAGAGCAGTTAGGAAACACTCTGTTTGTAAAGTCTGCAAGTGGATATTCAGACCTCTTTGAGGCCTTCGTTGGAAACGGGTTTTTTTCATATAAGGCTAGACAGAAGAATTCTCAGTAACTTCCTTGTGTTGTGTGTATTCAACTGACAGAGTTGAACTTTCATTTAGACAGAGCAGATTTGAAGCACTGTTTTTGTGGAATTTGCAAGTGGAGATTTCAAGCGCTTTGAGGCCAAAGGCAGAAAACGAAATATCTTCGTATAAAAACTAGACAGAATCATTCTCAGAAACTGCTCTGCGATGTGTGCGTTCAGCTCTCAGAGTTTAACTTTTCTTTTCATTCAGCAGTTTGGAAACACTCTGTTTGTAAAGTCTGCACGTGGATATTTTGACCACTTAGAGGCCTTCGTTGGAAATGGGTTTTTGTCATGTAAGGCTAGACAGAAGAATTCCCAGTAACTTCCTTGTGTTGTGTGTGTTCAACTCACAGAGTTGAACTTTCATTTACACAGAGCAGATTTGAAACACTCTTTTTGTGGAATTTGCAAATGGAGATTTCACCCGCGTTGAGGTCAATGGTAGAAAAGGAAATATCTTCGTTTCAAAACTAGACAGAATGATTCTCAGAAACTCCTTTGTGATGTGTGCGTTCAACTCACAGAGTTTAACCTTTCTGTTCATAGAGCAGTTAGGAAACACTCTGTTTGTAAAGTCTGTAAGTGGATATTCTGACATCTTGTGGCCTTCGTTGGAAACGGGATTTCTTCATATTCTGCTAGACAGAAGAATTCTCAGTAACTTCCTTGTGTTGTGTGTATTCAACTCACAGTGTTGAACGATCCTTTACACAGAGCAGACTTGAAACACTCTTTTTGTGGAATTTGCAAGTGTAGATTTCAAGCGCTTTAAGGTCAATGGCAGAAAAGGAAATATCTTCGTATCAAAACTAGACAGAATGATTCTCATAAACTCCTTTGTGATGTGTGCGTTCAACTCACAGAGTTTAACCTTTCTTTTCATAGAGCAGTTAGGAAACACTCTGTTTATAAAGTCTGCAAGTGGATATTCAGACCTCCTTGAGGCCTTCGTTGGAAACGGGATTTCTTCATATTCTGCTAGACAGAAGAATTCCCAGTAACTTCCTTGTGTTGTGTGTGTTCAACTCGCAGAGTTGAACTTTCATTTACACAGAGCAGATTTGAAACACTCTTTTTGTGGAATTTGCAAATGGAGATTTCAAGCGCTTTGAGGCCAAAGGCAGAAAAGGAAATATCTTCGTATAAAAACTAGACAGAATCATTCTCAGAAACTGCTCTGCGATGTGTGTGTTCAACTCTCACAGTTTAACTTTTCTTTTCATTCAGCAGTTAGGAAACACTCTGTTTGTAAAGTCTGCACGTGGATAATTTGACCACTTAGAGGCCTTCGTTGGAAACGGGTTTTTTTCATGTAAGGCTAGACAGAAGAATTCCCAGTAACTTCCTTGTGTTGTGTACATTCAACTCACAGAGTTGAACGTTCCCTTAGACAGAGCAGATTTGAAACACTCTTTTTGTGGAATTTGCAAGTGGAGATTTCAGCCGCTTTGAGGTCAATGGTAGAAAAGGAAATATCTTCGTATAAAAACTAGACAGAAATGATTCTCAGAAAATCTTTTGTGATGTGTGCGTTCAACTCACAGAGTTTAACTTTTCTTCTCATAGAGCAGGTAGGAAACACTCTGTTTGTAAAGTCTGCAAGTGGATATTCAGACCTCTTTGAGGCCTTCGTTGGAAACGGGATTTCTTCATATTATGCTAGACAGAATAATTCTCAGTAACTTCCTTGTGCTGTGTGTATTCAACTCACAGAGTTGAAGGATCCTTTACAGAGAGCAGGCTTGAAACACTCTTTTTGTCGAATTTGCAAGTGGAGATTTCAGCCGCTTTGAGGTCAATGGTAGAATAGGAAATATCTTCTTATAGAAACTAGACAGAATGATTCTCATAAACTCCTTTGTGAAGTGTGCGTTCAACTCACAGAGTTTAACCTTTCTTTTCATAGAGCAGTTAGGAAACACTCTGTTTGTAAAGGCGGCAAGTGGATATTCAGACCTCCTTGAGGCCTTCGTTGGAAACAGGATTTCTTCATATTCTGCTAGACAGAAGAATTCTCAGTAACTTCCTTGTGTTGTGTGTATTCAACTGACAGAGTTGAACTTTCATTTAGAGAGAGCAGATTTGAAACACTGTTTTTGTGGAATTTGCAAGTGGAGATTTCAAGCGCTTTGTGGCCAAAGGCAGAAAAGGAAATATCTTCCTATAAAAACTAGACAGAATCATTCTCAGAAACAGCTCTGCGATGTGTGCGTTCAACTCTCAGAGTTTAACTTTTCTTTTCATTCAGCAGTTTGGAAACACTCTGTTTGTAAAGTCTGCACGTGGATATTTTGACCACTTAGAGGCCTTCGTTGCAAACGGGTTTTTTTCCTGTAAGGCTAGACAGAAGAATTCCCAGTAACTTCCTTGTGTTGTGTGCATTCAACTCACAGAGTTGAACGTCCCCTTAGACATAGCAGATTTGAAACACTCTATTTCTGCAATTTGCAAGTGTAGTTTTCAAGCTCTTTAAGGTCAACGGCAGAAAAGGAAATATCTTCGTTTCAAAACTAGACAGAATCATTCCCACAAACTGCGTTGTGATGTGTTCGTTCAACTTACAGAGTTTAACCTTTCTGTTCATAGAGCAGTTAGGAAACACTCTGTTTGTAAAGTCTGAAAGTGGATATTCTGACATCTTGTGGCCTTCGTTGGAAACGGGATTTCTTCATATTCTGCTAGACAGAAGAATTCTCAGTAACTTCCTTGTGTTGTGTGTATTCAACTCACAGAGTTGAATGATCCTTTACACAGAACAGTCTTGAAACACTCTTTTTGTGGAATTTGCAAGTGGAGATTTCTGCCGCTTTGAGGTCAATGGTAGAATAGGAAATATCTTCCTATAGAAACTAGACAGAATGATTCTCATAAACTCCTTTGTGATGTGTGCGTTCAACTCACAAAGTTTAACTTTTCTTTTCATAGAGCAGTTAGGAAACACTCTGTTTGTAAAGTCTGCAAGTGGATATTCAGAACTCTTTGAGGCCTTCGTTGGAAACGGGATTTCTTCATATTATGCTAGACAGAAGAATTCTCAGTAACTTCCTTGTGTTGTGTGTATTCAACTGACAGAGTTGAACTTTCATTTAGAGAGAGCGGATTTGAAACACTGTTTTTGTGGAATTTGCAAGTGGAGATTTCAAGCGCTTTGGGGCCAAAGGCAGAAAAGGAAATATCTTCGTATAAAAACTAGACAGAATCATTCTCAGAAACTGCTGCGTGATGTGTGCGTTCAACTCTCAGAGTTTAACTTTTCTTTTCATTCAGCGGTTTGGAAACACTCTGTTTGTAAAGTCTGCACGTGGAAATTTTGACCACTTAGAGGCCTTCGTGGAAACGGGTTTTTTTCATGTAAGGCTAGACAGAAGAATTCCCAGTAACTTCCTTGTGTTGTGTGCATTCAACTCACAGAGTTGAACGTTCCCTTAGACAGAGCAGATTTGAAACACTCTATTTGTGCAATTTGCAAGTGTAGATTTCAAGCGCTTTAAGGTCAATGGCAGAAAAGGAAATATCGTCGTTTCAAAATTAGACAGAATCATTCCCACAAACTGCGTTGTGATGTGTTCGTTCAACTCACAGAGTTTAACCTTTCTGTTCATAGAGCAGTGAGGAAACACTCTGTTTGTAAAGTCTGTAAGTGGATATTCTGACATCTTGTGGCCTTCGTTGGAAACGGGATTTCTTCATATTCTGCTAGACAGAAGAATTCTCAGTAACTTCTTTGTGTTGTGTGTATTCAACTCACAGAGTTGAACGATCCTTTACACAGAGCAGACTTGAAACACTCTTTTTGTGGAATTTGCAAGTGGAGATTTCAGCCGCTTTGAGGTCAATGGTAGAATAGGAAATATCTTCATATAGAAACTAGACAGAATGTTTCTCAGAAACTCCTTTGTGATGTGTGCGTTGAACTCACAGAGTTTAACCTTTCTTTTCATAGAGCAGTTAGGAAACACTCTGTTTGTAAAGTCTGCAAGTGGATATTCAGACATCGTTGAGGCTTTCGTTGGAAACGGGATTTCTTCATATTCTGATAGAAAGAAGAATTCTCAGTAACTTCCTTGTGTTGTGTGTATTCAACTCACAGAGTTGAATGATCCTTTACACAGAACAGTCTTGAAACACTCTTTTTGTGGAATTTGCAAGTGGAGATTTCAGCCGCTTTGAGGTCAATGGTAGAATAGGAAATATCTTCCAATAGAAACTAGACAGAATCATTCTCAGAAACTGCTCTGCGATGTGTGCGTTCAACTCTCAGAGTTTAACTTTTCTTTTCATTCAGCAGTTTGGAAACACTCTGTTTGTAAAGTCTGCACGTGGATATTTTGACCACTTAGAGGCCTTCGTTGGAAACGGATTTTTTTCCTGTAAGGCTAGACAGAAGAATTCCCAGTAACTTCCTTGCGTTGTGTACATTCAACTCACAGAGTTGAACGTTCCCTTAGACAGAGCAGATTTGAAACACTCTTTTTGTGCAATTGGCAAGTGGAGATTTCAAGCGCTTTAAGGTCAATGGCAGAAAAGGAAATATCTTCGTTTCAAAACTAGACAGAATCATTCCCACAAACTGCGTTGTGATGTGTTCGTTCAACTCACAGAGTTTAACTTTTCTTTTCATAGAGCAGTTAGGAAACAGTCTGTTTGTCAATTCTGTAAGTGGATATTCTGACATCTTGTGGCCTTCGTTGGAAACGGGATTTCTTCATATTCTGCTAGACAGAAGAATTCTCAGTAACTTCCTTGTGTTGTGTGTATTCAACTCACAGAGTTGAATGATCCTTTACACAGATCAGTCTTGAAACACTCTTTTTGTGGAATTTGCAAGTGGAGATTTCAGCCGCTTTGAGGTCAATGGTAGAATAGGAAATATCTTCCTATAGAAACTAGACAGAATGATTCTCAGAAACTCCTTTGTGATGTGTGCGTTCAACTCACAGAGTTTAACCTTTCTTTTCATAGAGCAGTTAGGAAACACACTGTTTGTAAAGTCTGCAAGTGGATATTCATACCTCTTTGAGGCCTTCGTTGAAAACGGGATTTCTTCATATTCTGCTAGAGAGAAGAATTCTCAGTAACTTCCTTGTGTTGTGTGTATTCAACTCACAGAGTTGAACGATCCTTTACACAGAGCAGACTTGAAACACTCTTTTTGTGGAATTTGCAAGTGGAGATTTCAAGCGCTTTGAGGCCAAAGGCAGAAAAGGAAATATCTTCGTACAAAAACTAGACAGAATCATACTCAGAAACTGCTCTGCAATGTGTGCGTTCAACTCTCAGAGTTTAACTTTTCTTTTCATTCAGCAGTTTGGAAACACTCTGTTTGTAAAGTCTGCACGTGGATATTTTGACCACTTAGTGGCCTTTGTTGGAAACGGTTTTTTTTCCTGTAAGGCTAGACAGAAGAATTCCCAGTAACTTCCTTGTGTTGTGTACATTCAACTCACAGAGTTGAACGTTCCCTTAGACAGAGCAGATTTGAAACACTCTTTTTGTGCAATTGGCAAATGGAGATTTCAAGCGCTTTAAGGTCAATGGCAGAAAAGGAAATATCGTCGTTTCAAAACTAGACAGAATCATTCCCACAAACTGCGTTGTGATGTGTTCGTTCAACTCACAGAGTTTAACCTTTCTTTTCATAGAGCAGTTAGGAAACAGTCTGTTTGTCAATTCTGTAAGTGGATATTCTGACATCTTGTGGCCTTCGTTGGAAACGGGATTTCTTCATATTCCGCTAGACAGAAGAATTCTCAGTAACTTCCTTGTGTTGTGTGTATTCAACTCACAGAGTTGAACGATCCTTTACACAGAGCAGACTTGAAGCACCCTTTTTGTGGAATTTGCAAGTGGAGATTTCAGCCGCTTTGAGGTCAATGGTAGAAAAAGAAATATCTTCGTATAAAAACTAGACAGAATGATTCTCAGAAACTCCTTTGTGATGCGTGCGTTCAACTCACAGAGTTCAACCTTTCTTTTCATAGAGCAGTTGGGAAACACTCTGTTTGTAAAGTCTGCAAGTGGATATTCAGACTTCTTTGAGGCCTTCGTTGGAAGCGGGATTTCTTCATATTCTGCTAGACAGAAGAATTCCCAGTAACTTCCTTGTGTTGTGTGTGTTCAACTCACAGAGTTGAACTTTCATTTACACAGAGCAGATTTGAAACACTCTTTTTGTGGAATTTGCAAGTGGAGATTTTAAGGGCTTTGAGGCCAAAGGCAGAAAAGGAAATATCTTCGTATAAAAACTAGACAGAATCATTCTCAGAAACTGCTCTGCGATGTGTGCGTTCAACTCTCAGAGTTTAACTCTTCTTTTCATTCAGCTGTTTGGAAACACTCTGTTTGTAAAGTCTGCACGTGGATAATTTGACTACTTAGAGGCCTTCGTTGGAAACGGGTTTTTTTCCTGTAAGGCTAGACAGAAGAATTCCCAGTAACTTCCTTGTGTTGTGTGCATTCAACTCACAGAGTTGAACGTTCCCTTAGACAGAGCAGATTCGAAACACTCTATTTGTGCAATTTGCAAGTGTAGATTTCAAGCGCTTTAAGGTCAATAGCAGAAAAGGAAATATCTTCGTTTGAAAACTAGACAGAATCATTCCCACAAACTGCGTTGTGATGTGTGCGTTCAACTCACAGAGTTTAACTTTTCTTTTCATAGAGCAGTTAGGAAACACTCTGTTTGTAAAGTCTGCAAGTGGATATTCAGACCTCTTTGAGGCCTTCGTTGGAAACGGGATTTCTTCATATTCTGCTAGACAGAAGAATTCTCAGAAACTTCCTTGTGTTGTGTGTATTCAACTCACAGAGTTGAACGATCCTTTACACAGAGCAGACTTGAAACACTCTTTTTGTGGAAATTGCAAGTGGAGATTTCAGGCGCTTTGAGGTCAATGGTAGAAAAGGAAATATCTTCGTATAAAAACTAGACAGAATGATTCTCAGAAAATCTTTTGTGATGTGTGCGTTCAACTCACAGAGTTTAACTTTTCTTCTCATGGAGCAGTTAGGAAACACTCTGTTTGTAAAGTCTGCAAGTGGATATTCAGACCCCTTTGAGGCCTTCGTTGGAAACGGGATTTCTTCATATTCTGCTAGACAGAAGAATTCCCAGTAACTTCCTTGTGTTGTGTGTATTCAACTCACAGAGTTGAACGATCCTTTACACAGAGAGGACTTGAAACACTCTTTTTGAGGAATTTGCAAGTGGAGATTTCAGCCGCTTTGAGGTCAATGGTAGAAAAGGAAATATCTTCGTATAAAAACTAGACAGAATGATTCTCAGAAACTTCTTTGTGATGTGTGCGTTCAACTCACAGAGTTTAACCTTTCTTTTCATAGAGCAGTTAGGAAACACTCTGTTTGTTAAGTCTGCACGTGGATACTTGGACTTCTTTGAGGCCTTCGTTGGAAACGGGTTTTTTTCATGTAAGGCTGGACAGAAGAATTCCCAGTAACTTCCTTGTGTTGTGTACATTCAACTCACAGAGTTGAACGTTCCCTTAGACAGAGCAGATTTGAAACACTCTTTTTGTGCAATTGGCAAAAGGAGATTTCAAGCGCTTTACGTTCAATGGCAGAAAAGGAAATATCTTCGTTTCAAAACTAGACAGAATCATTCCCACAAACTGCGTTGTGATGTGTTCGTTCAACTCACAGAGTTTAACCTTTCTTTTCATAGAGCAGTTAGGAAACAGTCTGTTTGTAAATTCTGTAAGTGGATATTCTGACATCATGTGGCCTTCGTTGGAAACGGGATTTCTTCATATTCTGCTAGACAGAAGAATTCTCAGAAACTTCGTTGTGTTGTGTGTTTTCAACTCACAGAGTTCAACGATCCTTTACACAGAGCAGACTTGAAACACTCTTTTTGTGGAATTTGCAAGTGGAGATTTCAGCCATTTTGAGGTCAACGTTAGAAAAGGAAATATCTTCGTATAAAAACTACACAGAATGATTCTCAGAAACTCCTTTGTGATGTGTGCGTTCAACTCACAGAGTTCAACCTTTCTTTTCATAGAGCAGTTGGGAAACACTCTGTTTGTAAAGTCTGCAAGTGGATATTCAGACTTCTTTGAGGCCTTCGTTGGAAACGGGATTTCTTCATATTCTGCTAGACAGAAGAATTCCCAGTAACTTCCTTGTGTTGTGTGTGTTCAACTCACAGAGTTGAACTTTCATTTACACAGAGCAGATTTGAAACACTCTTTTTGTGGAATTTGCAAGTGGAGATTTCAAGCGCTTTGAGGCCAAAGGCAGAAAAGGAAATATCTTCGTATCAAAACTAGACAGAATCATTCTCAGAAACTGCTCTGCGATGTGTGCGTTCAACTCTCAGAAGTTTAACTTTTCTTTTCATTCAGCAGTTTGGAAACACTCTGTTTGTAAAGTCTGCACGTGGATAACTTGACCACTTAGAGGCCTTCGTTGGAAACGGGTTTTTTTCATGTAAGGCTAGACAGAAGTTTTCCCAGTAACTTCCTTGTGTTGTGTACATTCAACTCACAGAGTTGAACGTTCCCTTAGACAGAGCAGATTTGAAACACTCTTTTTGTGCAATTGGCAAATGGAGATTTCAAGCGCTTTAAGGTCAATGGCAGAAAAGGAAATATCTTCGTTTCAAAACTAGACAGAATCATTCCCACAAACTGCGTTCTGATGTGTTCGTTCAACTCACAGAGTTTAACCTTTCTGTTCATAGAGCAGTTAGGAAACACTCTGTTTGTAAAGTCTGTAAGTGGATATTCTGACATCTTGTGGCCTTCGTTGGAAACGGGATTTCTTCATATTCTGCTAGACAGAAGAATTCTCAGTAACTTCCTTGTGTTGTGTGTATTCAACTCACAGAGTTGAACGATCGTTTACACAGAGCAGACTTGAAACATTCTTTTTCTGGAATTTGCAAGTGGAGATTTCAGCCGCTTTGAGGTCAATGGTAGAATAGGAAATATCTTCCTATAGAAACTAGACAGAAATGATTCTCAGAAACTCCTTTGTGATGTGTGCGTTCAACTCACAGAGTTTAACCTTTCTTTTCATAGAGCAGTTAGGAAACACTCTGTTTGTAAAGTCTCCAAGTGGATATTCAGACCTCTTTGAGGCCTTCGTTGGAAACGGGTTTTTTTCATATAAGGCTAGACAGAAGAATTCTCAGTAACTTCCTTGTGTTGTGTGTATTCAACTGACAGAGTTGAACGATCCTTTACACAGAGCAGACTTGAAACACTCTTTTTGTGGAATTTGCAAGGGGAGATTTCAAGCGCTTTGGGGCCAAAGGCAGAAAAGGAAATATCTTCGTATAAAAACTAGACAGAATCATTCTCAGAAACTGCTCTGCGATGTGTGCGTTCAACTCTCAGAGTTTAAATTTTCTTTTCATTCAGCAGTTTGGAAACACTCTGTTTGTAAAGTCTGCACGTGGATATTTTGACCACTTAGAAGCCTTCGTTGGAAACGGGTTTCTTTCCTGTAAGGCTAGACAGAAGAATTCCCAGTAACTTCCTTGTGTTGTGTACATTCAACTCACAGAGTTGAACGTTCCCTTAGACAGAGCAGATTTGAAACACTCTTTTTGTGCAATTGGCAAATGGAGATTTCAAGCGCTTTAAGTTCAATGGCAGAAAAGGAAATATCTTCGTTTCAAAACTAGACAGAATCATTCCCACAAACTGCGTTGTGATGTGTTCGTTCAACTCACAGAGTTTAACCTTTCTGTTCATAGAGCAGTTAGGAAACACTCTGTTTGTAAAGTCTGTAAGTGGATATTCTGACATCTTGTGGCCTTCGTTGGAAACGGGATTTCTTCATATTATGCTAGACAGAAGAATTCTCAGTAACTTCCTTGTGTTGTGTGTATTCAACTCACAGAGTTGAACGATCCTTTACACAGAGCAGACTTGAAACACTCTTTTTGTGGAATTGGCAAGTGGAGATTTCAGCCGCTTTGAGGTCAATGGTAGAATAGGAAATATCTTCCTATAGAAACTAGACAGAATGATTCTCAGAAACTCCTTTGTGATGTGTGCGTTCAACTCACAGAGTTTAACCTTTCTTTTCATAGAGCAGTTAGGAAACACTCTGTTTGTAAAGTCTGCAAGTGGATATTCAGACTTCTTTGAGGCCTTCGTTGGAAACGGGTTTTTTTCATATAAGGCTAGACAGAAGAATTCCCAGTAACTTCCTTGAGTTGTGTGTATTCAACTCACAGAGTTGAACTTTCATTTACACAGAGCAGATTTGAAACACTCTTTTTGTGGAATTTGCAAATGGAGATTTCAAGTCCTTTCAGGCCAAAGGCAGAAAAGGAAATATCTTCGTATGAAAACTAGACAGAATCATTCTCAGAAACTGCTCTGCGATGTGTGCGTTCAACTCTCCGAGTTTAACTTTTCTTTTCATTCAGCAGTTTGGAAACACTCTGTTTGTAAAGTCTGCACGTGGATAATTTGACCACTTAGAGGCCTTCGTTGGAAACGGTTTTTTTTTCATGTAAGGCTAGACAGAAGAATTCACAGTAACTTCCTTGTGTTGTGTACATTCAACTCACAGAGTTGAACGTTCCCTTAGACAGAGCAGATTTGAAACACTCTTTTTGTGCAATTGGCAAGTGGAGATTTCAAGCGCTTTAAGGTCAATGGCAGAAAAGGAAATATCTTCCTTTCAAAACTAGACAGAATCATTCCCACAAACTGCGTTGTGATGTGTTCGTTCAACTCACAGAGTTTAACCTTTCTTTTCATAGAGCAGTTAGGAAACAGTCTGTTTGTAAATTCTGTAAGTGGATATTCTGACATCTTGTGGCCTTCGTTGGAAATGGGATTTCTTCATATTCTGCTAGACAGAAGAATTCTCAGAAACTTCCTTGTGTTGTGTGTCTTCAACTCACAGAGTTGAACGATGCTTTACACAGAGTAGACTTGAAACACTCTTTTTGTGGAATTTGCAAGTGGAGATTTCAGGCGCTTTGAGGTCAATGGTAGAAAAGGAAATATCTTCGTATAAAAACTAGACAGAATGATTCTCATAAACTCCTTTGTGATGTGTGCGTTCAACTCACAGAGTTTAACTTTTCTTTTCATAGAGCAGTTAGGAAACACTCTGTTTGTAAAGTCTGCAAGTGGATATTCAGACCTCTTTGAGGCCTTCTTTGGAAACGGGATTTCTTCATATTATGCTAGACAGAAGAATTCTCAGTAACTTCCTTGTGTTGTGTGTATTCAACTCACAGAGTTGAATGATCCTTTACACAGAGGAGACTTGAAACACTCTTTTTGTGGAATTTGCAAGTGGAGATTTCAGCCGCTTTGAGGTCAATAGTAGAAAAGGAAATATCTTCGTAGAAAAACTAGACAGAATGATTCTCAGAAACTCCTTTGTGATGTGTGTGTTCAACTCACAGAGTTTAACCTTTCTTTTCATAGAGCAGTTAGGAAACACTCTGCTTGTAAAGTCTGCAAGTGGATATTCAGACCTCGTTGAGGCCTTCGTTGGAAACGGGATTTCTTCATATTCTGCTAGACAGAAGAATTCTCAGTAACTTCCTTGTGTTGTGTTTATGCAACTCACAGAGTTGAATGATCCTTTACACAGAGCAGACTTGAAACACTCTTTTTGTGGAATTTGCAAGTGGAGATTTCAGCCGCTTTGTGGTCAATGGTAGAAAAGGAAATATCTTCGTATAAAGACTAGACAGAATCATTCTCAGAAACTGCTCTGCGATGTGTGCGTTCAACTCTCAGTGTTTAACTTTTCTTTTCATTCAGCAGTTTGGAAACACTCTGTTTGTAAAGTCTGCACGTGGATAATTTGACCACTTAGAGATTTTCGTTGGAAACGGGTTTTTTTCATGTAAGGCTAGACAGAAGAATTCCCAGTAACTTCCTTGTGTTGTGTACATTCAACTCACAGAGTTGAACGTTCCCTTAGACAGAGCAGATTTGAAACACTCTTTTTGGGCAATTGGCAAGTGGAGATTACAAGCGCTTTAAGGTCAATGGCAGAAAAGGAAATATCTTCGTTTCAAAACTAGACAGAATCATTCCCACAAACTGCGTTGTGATGTGTTCGTTCAACTCACAGAGTTTAACCTTTCTTTTCATAGAGCAGTTAGGAAACACTCTGTTGGTAAATTCTGTAAGTGGATATTCTGACATCTTGTGGCCTTCGTTGGAAACGGGATTTCTAAATATTCTGCTAGACAGAAGAATTCTCAGTAACTTCCTTGTGTTGTGTTTATTCAACGCACAGAGTTGAATGATCCTTTACGCAGAGCAGACTTGAAACACTCTTTTTGTGGAATTTGCAAGTGGAGATTTCAGCCGCTTTGAGGTCAATGGTAGAAAAGTAAATATCTTCGTATAAAGACTAGACAGAATGATTCTCAGAAAATCTTTTGTGATGTGTGCGTTCAACTCACAGAGTTTAACTTTTCTTCTCATAGAGCAGTTAGGAAACACTCTGTTTGTAAAGTCTGCAAGTGGATATTCAGACCTCTTTGAGGCCTTCGTTGGAAACGGGATTTCTTCATATTCTGCTAGACAGAAGAATTCTCACTAACTTCCTTATGTTGTGTGTATTCAACTCACAGAGTTGAAGGATGCTTTACAGAGAGCAGGCTTGAAACACTCTTTTTGTCGGATTTGCAAGTGGAGATTTCAGCCGCTTTGAGGTGAATGGTAGAATAGGAAATATCTTCTTATAGAAACTAGACAGAATCATTCTCAGAAACTCCTTTGAGATGTGTGCGTTCAACTCTCAGAGTTTAACTTTTCTTTTCATTCAGCAGTTTGGAAACACTCTGTTTGTAAAGTCTGCACGTGGATATTTTGACCACTTAGAGGCCTTCGTTGGAAACGGGTTTCTTTCCTGTAAGGCTAGACAGAAGAATTCCCAGTAACTTCCTTGTGTTGTGTGCATTCAACTCACAGAGTTGAACGTTCCCTTAGACAGAGCAGATTTGAAACACTCTATTTGTCCAATTTGCAAGTGTAGATTTCAAGCGCTTTAAGGTCAACGGCAGAAAAGGAAATATCTTCGTTTCAAAACTAGACAGAATCATTCCCACAAACTGCGTTGTGATGTGTTCGTTCAACTCACAGAGTTTAACCTTTCTTTTCATAGAGCACTTAGGAAACAGTCTGTTTGTAAATTCTGTAAGTGGATATTCTGACATCTTGTGGCCTTCGTTGGAAACGGGATTTCTTCATATTCTGCTAGACAGAAGAATTCTCAGTAACTTCCTTGTGTTGTGTGTATTCAACTCACAGAGTTGAACGATCCTTTACACAGAGCAGACTTGTAACACTCTTTTTCTGGAATTTGCAAGTGGAGATTTCAGCCGCTTTGAAGTCAAAGGTAGAAAAGGAAATATCTTCCTATAAAAACTAGACAGAATGATTCTCAGAAACTTCTTTGTGATGTGTGCGTTCAACTCACAGAGTTTAACCTTTCTATTCATAGAGCAGTTAGGAAACACTCTGTTTGTAAACTCTGCAAGTGGATATTCAGACCTCTTTGAGGCCTTCGATGGAAACGGGATTTCTCCATACTATGCTAGACAGAAGAATTCTCAGTAATTTCCTTGTGTTGTGTGTATTCAACTCACAGAGTTGAACGATCCTTTACACAGAGCAGACTTGAAACACTCTTTTTGTGGAATTTGCAAGTGGAGATTTCAGCCGCTTTGAGGTCAATGGTAGAAAAGGAAATATCTTCGTATAAAAACTAGACAGAATCATTCTCAGAAACTGCTCTGGGATGTGTGCGTTCAACTCTCAGAGTTTAACTTTTCTTTTCATTCAGCAGTGTGGAAACACTCTGTTTGTAAAGTCTGCACGTGGATATTTTGACCACTTAGAGGCCTTCGTTGGAAACGGGTTTTTTTCCTGTAAGGCTAGACAGAAGAATTCCCAGTAACTTCCTTGTGTTGTGTACATTCAACTCACAGAGTTGAACGTTACCTTAGACAGAGCAGATTTGAAACACTCTTTTTGTGCAATTGGCAAATGGAGATTTCAAGCGCTTTAAGGTCAATGGCAGAAAAGGAAATATCTTCGTTTCAAAACTAGACAGAATCATTCCCACAAACTGCGTTGTGATGTGTTCGTTCAACTCACAGAGTTTAACCTTTCTGTTCATAGAGCAGTTAGGAAACACTCTGTTTGTAAAGTCTGTAAGTGGATATTCTGACATCTTGTGGCCTTCGTTGGAAACGGGATTTCTTCGTATTCTGCTAGACAGAAGAATTCTCAGTAAATTCCTTGTGTTGTGTGTATTCAACTCACAGAGTTGAACGATCCTTTACACAGAGCGGACTTGAAACACACTTTTTGTGGAATTTGCAAGTGGAGATTTCAGCCGCGTTGAGGTCAATGGTAGAAAAGGAAATATCTTCGTATAAAAACTAGACAGAATGATTCTCAGAAACTCCTTTGTGATGTGTGCGTGCAACTCACAGAGTTTAACTTTTCTTTTCATAGAGCAGTTAGGAAACACTCTGTTTGTAAAGTCTGCAAGTGGATATTCAGACCTCTTTGAGGCCTTCGTTGGAAACGGGATTTCTTCATATTATGCTAGACAGAAGAATTCCCAGTAACTTCCTTGTGTTGTGTGTGTTCAACTCACAGAGCTGAACTTTCATTTACACAGAGCAGATTTGAAACACTCTTTTTGTGGAATTTGCAAATGGAGATTTCAAGCGCTTTGAGGCCAAAGGCAGAAAAGGAAATATCTTCGTTTCAAAACTAGACGGAATCATTCTCAGAAACTGCTCTGCGATGTGTGCGTTCAACTCTCAGAGTTTAACTTCTCTTTTCATTCAGTAGTTTGGAAACACTCTGTTTGTAAAGTCTGCACGTGGATAACTTGACCACTTAGAGGCCTTCGTTGGAAACGGGTTTTTTTCATGTAAGGCTAGACAGAAGAATTCCCAGTAACTTCCTTGTGTTGTGTACATTCAACTCACAGAGTTGAACGTTCCCTTAGACAGAGCAGATTTGAAAAACTCTTTTTGTGCAATTGGCAAGTGGAGATTTCAAGCGCTTTAAGGTCAATGGCAGAAAAGGAAATATCTTCGTTTCAAAACTAGACAGAATCATTCCCACAAACTGCGTTGTGATGTGTTCGTTCAACTCACAGAGTTTAACCTTTCTTTTCATAGAGCAGTTAGGAAATAGTCTGTTTGTAAATTCTGTAAGTGGATATTCTGACATCTTGTGGCCTTCGTTGGAAACGGGATTTCTTCATATTCTGCTAGACAGAAGAATTCTCAGTAACTTCCTTGTGTTGTGTGTATTCAACTCACAGGGTTGAACGATCCTTTATACAGAGCAGACTTGAAACACTCTTTTTGTGGGACTTGCAAGTGGAGATTTCAGCCGCTTTGAGGTCAATAATAGTAAAGGAAATATCTTCGTAGAAAAACTAGACAGAATGATTCTCAGAAACTCCTTTGTGATGTGTGCGTTCAACTCACAGAGTTTAACCTTTCTTTTCATAGAGCAGTTAGGAAACACTCTGTTTGTAAAGTCTGCAAGTGGATATTCAGACCTCCTTGAGGCCTTCGTTGGAAATGGGATTTCTTCATATTATGCTAGACAGAAGAATTCTCAGTAACTTCCTTGTGTTGTGTGTATTCAACTCACAGAGTTGAACGATCCTTTACACAGAGCATACTTGAAACACTCTTGTTGTGGAGTTTGCAAGTGGAGATTTCAGCCGCTTTGAGGTCAATGGTAGAATAGGAAACATCTTCCTATAGAAACTAGACAGAATCATTCTCAGAAACTGCTCTGCGATGTGTGCGTTCAACTCTCAGAGTTTAACTTTTCTTTTCATTCAGCAGTTTGGAAACACTCTCTTTGTAAAGTCTGCACGTGGATATTTTGACCATTTAGAGGCCTTCGTTGGAAACGGGTTTTTTTCCTGTAAGGCTAGAGAGAAGAATTCCCAGTAACTTCCTTGCGTTGTGTACATTCAACTCACAGAGTTGAACGTTCCCTTAGACAGAGCAGATTTGAAACACTCTTTTTGTGCAATTGGCAAGTGGAGATTTCAAGCGCTTTAAGGTCAATGGCAGAAAAGGAAATATCTTCGTTTCAAAACTAGACAGAATCATTCCCACAAACTGCGTTGTGATGTGTTCGTTCAACTCACAGAGTTTAACCTTTCTTTTCATAGAGCAGTTAGGAAACAGTCTGTTTGAAAATTCTGTAAGTGGATATTCTGACATCTTGTGGCCTTCATTGGAAACGGGATTTCTTCATATTCTGCTAGACAGAAGAATTCTCAGTAACTTCCTTGTGTTGTGTGTATTCAACTCACAGAATTGAACGATCCTTTACACAGAGCAGACTTGAAACATTCTTTTTGTGGAATTTGCAAGTGGAGATTTCAGCCGCTTTGAGGTCAATGGTAGAATAGGAAATATCTTCCTATAGAAAATAGACAGAATGATTCTCAGAAAATCTTTTGTGATGTGTGCGTTCAACTCACAGAGTTTAACTTTTCTTCTCATAGAGCAGTTAGGAAACACTCTGTTTGTATAGTCTGCAAGTGGATATTCAGACCTCTTTGAGGCCTTCGTTGGAAACGGGATTTCTTCATATTATGCTAGACAGAAGAATTCTCGGTAACTTCCTTGTGTTGTGTGTATTCAACTGACAGAGTTGAACTTTCATTTAGAGAGAGCAGATTTGAAACACTGTTTTTGTGGAATATGCAAGTGGAGATTTCAAGCGCTTTGGGGCCAAGGGCAGAAAAGGAAATATCTTCGTTTAAAAACTAGACAGAATCATTCTCAGAAACTGCTGCGTGATGTGTGCGTTCAACGCTCAGAGTTTAACTATTCTTTTCATTCAGCGGTTTGGAAACACTCTGTTTGTAAAGTCTGCACGTGGATATTTTGACCACTTAGACGCCTTCGTTGGAAACGGGTTTTTTTCATGTAAGGCTAGACAGAAGAATTCCCAGTAACTTCCTTGTGTTGTGTACATTCAACTCACAGAGTTGAACGTTCCCTTAGACAGAGCAGATTTGAAACACTCTTTTTGTGCAATTGGCAAGTGGAGATTTCAAGCGATTTAAGGTCAATGGCAGAAAAGGAAATATCTTCGTTTCAAAACTAGACAGAATCATTCCCACAAACTGCGTTGTGATGTGTTCGTTCAACTCACAGAGTTTAACCTTTCTGTTCATAGAGCAGTTAGGAAACACTCTGTTTGAAAAGTCTGCAAGTGGATATTCAGACCTCCTTGAGGCCTTCGTTGGAAACGGGATTTCTTCATATTCTGCTAGACCGAAGAATTCTCAGAATCTTCCTTGTGTTGTGTGTATTCAACTCACACAGTTGAACGATGGTTTACACAGAGCAGATTTGAAACACTCTTTTTGTGGAATTTGCAAGTGGAGATTTCAGCCGCGTTGAGGTCAATGGTAGAAAAGGAAATATCTTCGTATAAAAACTAGACACAACGATTCTCAGAAACTTCTTTGTGATGTGTGCGTTCAACTCACAGAGTTTAACCTTTCTTTTCATAGAGCAGTTAGGAAACACTCTGTTTGTAAACTCTGCAAGTGGATATTCAGACCTGTTTGAGGCCTTCGTTGGAAACGGGATTTCTTCATACTATGCTAGACAGAAGAATTCCCAGTAACTTCCTTGTGTTGTGTGTGTTCAACTCACAGAGTTCAACTTTCATTTACACAGAGCAGATTTGAAACACTCTTTTTGTGGAATTTGCAAGTGGAGATTTCAAGCGCTTTGAGGCCAAAGGCAGAAAAGGAAATACCTTCGTATAAAAACTAGACAGAATCATTCTCAGAAACTGCTCTGCGATGTGTGCGTTCAACTCTCAGAAGTTTAACTTTTCTTTTCATTCAGCAGTTTGGAAACACTCTGTTTGTAAAGTCTGCACGTGGATAACTTGACCACTTAGAGGCCTTCGTTGGAAACGGGTTTTTTTCCTGTAAGGCTAGACAGAAGAATTCCCAGTAACTTCCTTGTGTTGTGTACATTCAACTCACAGAGTTGAACGTTCCCTTAGACAGAGCAGATTTGAAACACTCTTTTTGTGCAATTGGCAAGTGGAGATTTCAAGCGCTTTGAGGTCAATGGCAGAAAAGGAAATATCTTCGTTTCAAAACTAGACAGAATCATTCCCACAAACTGCGTTGTGATGTGTTCGTTCATCTCACAGAGTTTAACCTTTCTTTTCGTAGAGCAGTTAGGAAACAGTCTGTTTGTAAATTCTGTAAGTGGATATTCTGACATCTTGTGGCCTTCGTTGGAAATGGGATTTCTTCATATTCTGCTAGACAGAAGAATTCTCAGAATCTTCCTTGTGTTGTGTGTATTCAACTCACAGAGTTGAACGATGGATTACACAGAGCAGATTTGAAACACTCTTTTTGTGGAATTTGCAAGTGGAGATTTCAGCCGCTTTGAGGTCAATGGTAGAAAAGGAAATATCTTCGTATAAAAACTAGACAGAATGATTCTCAGAAACTCCTTTGTGATGTGTGCGTTCAACTCACAGAGTTTAACCTTTCTTTTCATAGAGCAGTTAGGAAACACTGTGTTTTTATAGTCTGCAAGTGGATATTCAGACATCTTTGAGGCCTTCGTTGGAAACGGGATTTCTTCATATTCTGCTATACAGAAGAATTCTCAGAAACTTCCTAGTGTTGTGTGTTTTCAACTCACAGAGTTGAACGA
Source organism: Homo sapiens (assembly GCF_000001405.40). NCBI lineage: Eukaryota > Metazoa > Chordata > Mammalia > Primates > Hominidae > Homo > Homo sapiens. The sequence continues at coordinate 48,441,667 of NC_000005.10, forward strand.
TGCTTTACACAGAGTAGACTTGAAACACTCTTTTTGTGTAATTTGCAAGTGGAGATTTCAGCCGCTTTGAGGTCAATGGTAGAAAAGGAAATATCTTCGTATAAAAACTAGACAGAATGATTGTCAGAAACTCCTTTGTGATGTGTGCGTTCAACTCACAGAGTTTAACCTTTCTTTTCATAGAGCAGTTAGGAAACACTCTGTTTGTAAAGTCTGCAAGTGGATATTCAGACATCTTTGAGGCTTTCGTTGGAAACGGGATTTCTTCATATTCTGCTATACAGAAGAATTCCCAGTAACTTCCTTGTGTTGTGTGTGTTCAACTCACAGAGTTGAACTTTCATTTACACAGAGCAGATTTGAAACACTCTTTTTGTGGAATTTGCAAGTGGAGATTTCAAGCGCTTTGAGGTCAATGGCAGAAAAGGAAATATCTTCGTTTCAATCTAGACAGAATCATTCCCACAAACTGCGTTGTGATGTGTTCGTTCAACTCACAGAGTTTTACCTTTCTGTTCATAGAGCAGTTAGGAAACACTCTGTTTGTAAAGTCTGTAAGTGGATATTCTGACATCTTGTGGCCTTCGTTGGAAAAGGGATTTCTTCATATTCTGCTAGACAGAAGATTTCTCAGTAACTTCCTTGTGTTGTGTGTATTCAACTCACAGAGTTGAACGATCCTTTACACAGAGCAGACTTGGAACACTCTTTTTGTGGAATTTCCAAGTGGAGATTTCAGCCGCGTTGAGGTCAATGGTAGAAAAGGTAATATCTTCGTATAAAAACTAGACAGAATGATTCTCAGAAACTCCTTTGTGATGTGTGTGTTCACCTCACAGAGTTTAACCTTTCTTTTCATAGAGCAGTTAGTAAACACTCTGTTTATAAAGTCTGCAAGTGGATATTCAGACCCCTTTGGGGCCTTCGTTGGAAACGGGATTTCTTCATATTATGCTAGACAGAAGAATTCCCAGTAACTTCCTTGTGTTGTGTGTGTTCAACTCACAGAGTTGAACTTTCATTTACACAGAGCAGATTTGAAACACTCTTTTTGTGGAATTTGCAAGTGGAGATTTCAAGCGCTTTGAGGCCAAAGCAGAAAAGGAAATATCTTCGTTTCAAAACTAGACAGAATCATTCTCAGAAACTGCTCTGCGATGTGTGCGTTCAACTCTCAGAGTTTAACTTTTCTTTTCATTCAGCAGTTTGGAAACACTCTCTTTGTAAAGTCTGCACGTGGATATTTTGACCACTTAGAGGCCTTCGTTGGAAACGGGTTTTTTTCCTGTAAGGCTAGACAGAAGAATTCCCAGTAACTTCCTTGTGTTGTGTACATTCAACTCACAGAGTTGAACGTTCCCTTAGACAGAGCAGATTTGAAACACTCTTTTTGTGCAATTGGCAAGTGGTGATTTCAGCCGCTTTGAGGTCAATGGTATAAAAGGAAATATCTTCGTATAAAAACTAGACAGAATGATTCTCAGAAACTTCATTGTGATGTGTGCGTTCAACTCACAGAGTTTAACCTTTCTTTTCATAGAGCAGTTTGGAAACAGTCTGTTTGTAAATTCTGTAAGTGGATATTCTGACATCTTGTGGCCTTCGTTGGAAACGGGATTTCTTCATATTCTGCTAGACAGAAGAATTCTCAGTAACTTCCTTGTGTTGTGTGTATTCAACTCACAGAGTTGAACGATCCTTTACACAGAGCAGACTTGAAACACTCTTTTTGTGGAATTTGCAAGTGGAGATTTCAGCCGCTTTGAGGTCAATAGTAGAAAAGGAAATATCTTCGTAGAAACACTAGACAGAATGATTCTCAGAAACTTCTTTGTGATGTGTGCGTTCAACTCACAGAGTTTAACCTTTCTTTTCATAGAGCAGTTAGGAAACACTCTGTTTGTAAAGTCTGCAAGTGGATATTCAGACCTCTTTGAGGCCTTCGTTGGAAACGGGATTTCTTCATACTATGCTAGTCAGAAGAATTCTCAGTAACTTCCTTGTGTTGTGTGTATTCAACTCACAGAGTTGAACTTTCATTTACACAGAGCAGATTTGAAACTCTCTTTTTGTGGAAGTTGCAAGTGGAGATTTCAAGCGCTTTGAGGCCAAAGGCAGAAAAGGAAATATCTTCGTTTCAAAACTAGACAGAATCATTCTCAGAAACTGCTGCGTGATGTGTGCGTTCAACTCTCAGAGTTTAACTTTTCTTTTCATTCAGCGGTTTGGAAACACTCTGTTTGTAAAGTCTGCACATGGATATTTTGACCACTTAGAGGCCTTCGTTGGAAACGGGTTTTCTTCATGTAAGGCTAGACAGAAGAATTCCCAGTAACTTCCTTGTGTTGTGCGCATTCAACTCACAGAGTTGAACGTTCCCTTAGACAGAGCAGATTTGAAACACTCTATTTGTGCAATTTCCAAGTGTAGATTTCAAGCGCTTTAAGGTCAACGGCAGAAAAGGAAATATCTTCGTTTCAAAACTAGACAGAATCATTCCCACAAACTGCGTTGTGATGTGTTCGTACAACTCACAGAAGTTTAACCTTTCTGTTCATAGAGCAGTTAGGAAACACTCTGTTTGTAAAGTCTGTAAGTGGATATTCAGACATCTTGTGGCCTTCGTTGGAAACGGGATTTCTTCATATTCTGCTAGACAGAAGAATTCTCAGTAACTTCCTTGTGTTGTGTGTATTCAACTCACAGAGTTGAACGATCCTTTACACAGAGCAGACTTGAAACACTCTTTTTGTGGAATTTGCAAGTGGAGATATCAGCCGCTTTGAGGTCAATGGTAGAAAAGGAAATATCTTCGTATAAAAACTAGACAGAGAATGATTCTCAGAAACTCCTTTGTGATGTGTGCGTTCAGCTCACAGAGTTTAACCTTTCTTTTTATAGAGCAGTTCGGAAACACTCTGTTTGTAAAGTCTGCAAGTGGATATTCAGACCTCTTTGAGGCCTTCGTTGGAAACGGGATTTCTTCATATTCTGCTAGACAGAATAATTCTCAGTAACTTCCTTGTGTTGTGTGTATTCAACTCACAGAGTTGAAGGATCCTTTAGAGAGAGCAGGCTTGAAACACTCTTTTTGTCGAATTTGCAAGTGGAGATTTCAGCCACTTTGAGGTCAATGGTAGAATAGGAAATATCTTCTTATAGAACCTAGACAAAATGATTCTCAGAAACTTCTTTGTGATGTGTGCGTTCAACTCACAGTAGTTAAAACTTTCTTTTCATAGAGCAGTTAGGAAACACTCTGTTTGTAAAGACTGCACGTGGATATTCAGACCTCTTTGAGGCCTTCGTTGGAAACGGGTTTTTTTCCTGTAAGGCTAGACAGAAGAATTCCCAGTAACTTTCCTTGTGTTGTGTACATTCAACTCACAGAGTTGAACGTTCCCTTAGACAGAGCAGATTTGAAACACTCTTTTTGTGCAATTGGCAAATGGAGATTTCAAGCGCTTTAAGGTCAATGGCAGAAAAGGAAATATCTTCGTTTCCAAACTAGACAGAATCATTCCCACAAACTGCGTTGTGATGTGTTCGTTCAACTCACAGAGTTTAACCTTTCTGTTCATAGAGCAGTTAGGAAACACTCTGTTTGTAAAGTCTGAAAGTGGATATTCTGACATCTTGTGGCCTTCGTTGGAAACGGGATTTCTTCATATTCTGCTAGACAAAAGAATTCTCAGTAACTTTCCTTGTGTTGTGTGTATTCAACTCACAGAGTTGACCGATCCTTTACACAGAGCAGACTTGTAACACTCTTTTTGTGGAATTTGCAAGTGGAGATTTCAGCCGCTTTGAAGTCAAAGGTAGAAAAGGGAATATCTTCCTATAAAAACTAGACAGAATGATTCTCAGAAACTCCTTTGTGATGTGTGCGTTCAACACACAGAGTTTAACCTTTCTTTTCATAGAGCAGTTAGGAAACACTCTGTTTGTAAAGTCTGCAAGTGGATATTCAGACCTCTTTGAGGCTTTCGTTGGAAACGGGATTTCTTCATATTCTGCTAGACAGAAGAATTCCCAGTAACTTCCTTGTGTTGTGTGTGTTCAACTCACAGAGTTGAACTTTCATTTACACAGAGCAGATTTGAAACACTCTTTTTGTGGAATTTGCAAGTGGAGATTTCAAGGGCTTTGAGGCCAAAGGCAGAAAAGGAAATGTCTTCGTTTCAAAACTAGACAGAATGATTCTCAGAAACTGGTTTGTGATGTGTGCGTTCAACTCACAGAGTTTAACCTTTCTTTTCATAGAGCAGTTAGGAAACACTCTGTTTGTAAAGTCTGCATGTGGATATTTGGACTTCTCTGAGGTCTTCGTTGGAAACGGGTTTTTTTCATGTAAGGCTAGACAGAAGAATTCTCAGTAACTTCCTTGTGTTGTGTGTATTCAACTCACAGAGTTGAACGATCCTTTACACAGAGCAGACTTGAAACACTCTTTTTATGGAATTTGCAAGTTTAGATTTCAGCCGCTTTGAGGTCAATGGTAGAAAAGGAAATATCTTCGTATAAAAACTAGACAGAATGATTCTCAGAAACTCCTTTGTGATGTGTGCATTCAACTCACAGAGTTTAACCTTTCTTTTCATAGAGCAGTTAGGAAACACTCTGTTTGTAAAGTCTGCAATTGGATATTCAGACCTCCTTGAGGCCTTCGTTGGAAAAGGGATTTCTTCATATTATGCTAGACAGAAGAATTCTCAGTAACTTCCTTGTGTTGTGTGTATTCAACTCACAGAGTTGAACGATCCTTTACACAGAGCAGACTTGAAACACTCTTTTTGTGGAATTTGCAAGTGGAGATTTCAGCCGCTTTGAGGTCAATGGTAGAATAAGAAATATCTTCCTATAGAAACTAGACAGAAATGATTCTCAGAAACTCCTTTGTGATGTGTGCGTTCTACTCACAGAGTTTAACCTTTCTTTTCATAGAGCAGTTAGGAAACACTCTGTTTGTAAAGTCTGCAAGTGGATATTCAGACATCTTTGAGACTTTCGTTGGAAACGGGATTTCATCATATTCTGCTAGACAGAAGAATTCTCAGTAACTTCCTTGTGTTGTGTGTATTCAACTCACAGAGTTGGACGATCCTTTACACAGAGCAGACTTGAAACACTCTTTTTGTGGCATTTGCAAGTGGAGATTTCAGCCGCTTTGAGTTCAATGGTAGAATAGGAAATATCTTCCTATAGAAACTAGACAGAATCATTCTCAGAAACTGCTCTGCGATGTGTGCGTTCAACTCTCAGAGTTTAACTTTTCTTTTCATTCAGCAGTTTGGAAACACTCTGTTTGTAATGTCTGCACGTGGATATTTTGACCACTTAGAGGCCGTCGTTGCAAACGGGTTTTTTTCCTGTAAGGCTAGACAGAAGAATTCCCAGTAACTTCCTTGTGTTGTGTACATTCAACTCACAGAGTTGAACGTTCCCTTAGACAGAGCAGATTTGAAACACTCTTTTTGTGCAATTGGCAAGTGGAGATTTCAAGCGCTTTGAGGTCAATGGCAGAAAAGGAAATATCTTCCTTTCAAAACTAGACAGAAATCATTCCCACAAACTGCGTTGTGATGTGTTCGTTCAACTCACAGAAGTTTAACCTTTCTTTTCATAGAGCAGTTAGGAAACAGTCTGTTTGTAAATTCTGTAAGTGGATATTCTGACATCTTGTGGCCTTCGTTGGAAACGGGATTTCTTCATATTCTGCTAGACAGAAGAATTCTCAGTAACTTCCTTGTGTTGTGTGTATTCAACTCACAGAGTTGAACGATCCTTTACACAGAACAGACTTGTAACACTCTTTTTGTGGAATTTGCAAGTGGAGATTTCAGCCACTTTGAAGTCAAAGGTAGAAAAGGAATTAACTTCCTATAAAAACTAGACAGAATGATTCTCAGAAACTTCTTTGTGATGTGTGTGTTCAACTCACAGAGTTTAACCTTTCTTTTCATAGAGCAGTTAGGAAACACTCTGTTTGTAAACTCTGCAAGTGGATATTCAGACCTCTATGAGGCCTTCGTTGGAAACGGGTTTTTTTCATATAAGGCTAGACAGAAGGATTCCCAGTAACTTCCTTGTGTTGTGTGTGTTCAACTCACAGAGTTGAACTTTCATTTACAAAGAGCATATTTGAAACACTCTTTTTGTGGAATTTGCAAGTGGAGATTTCAAGCGCTTTGAGGCCAAAGGCAGAAAAGGAAATATCTTCGTATAAAAACTAGACAGAATCATTCTCAGAAACTGCTCTGCGATGTGTGCGTTCAACTCTCAGAGTTTAACTTTTCTTTTCATTCAGCAGTTTGGAAACACTCTGTTTGTAAAGTCTGCACGTGGATAATTTGACCACTTAGAGGCCTTCCTTGGAAACGGGTTTTTTTCATGTAAGGCTAGACAGAAGAATTCCCAGGAACTTCCTTGTGTTGCGTACATTCAACTCACACATTTGAACGTTCCCTTAGACAGAGTAGATTTGAAACACTCTTTTTGTGCAATTGGCAAGTGGTGATTTCAGCCGCTTTGAGGTCAATGGTAGAAAAGGAAATATCTTCGTATAAAAACTAGACAGAATCATTCCCACAAACTGCGTTGTGACGTGTTCGTTCAACTCACAGAGTTTAACCTTTCTTTTCATAGAGCAGTTAGGAAACAGTCTGTTTGTAAATTCTGTAAGAGGATATTCTGACATCTTGTGGCCTTCGTTGGAAACGGGATTTCTTCATATTCTGCTAGACAGAAGAATTCTCAGTAACTTCCTTGTGTTGTGTGTATTCAACTCACAGAGTTGAACGATCCTTTACACAGAGCGGACTTGAAACACACGTTTTGTGGAATTTGCAAGTGGAGATTTCAGCCGCGTTGAGGTCAATGGTAGAAAAGGAAATATCTTCGTATAAAAGCTAGACAGAATGATTCTCAGAAACTCCTTTGTGATGTGTGCGTTCAACTAACAGAGTTTAACCTTTCTTTTCATAGAGCAGTTAGGAAACACTCTGTTTGTGAAGTCTGCAAGTGGATATTCAGACCTCTTTGAGGCCTTCGTTGGAAACGGGTTTTTTTCATATAAGGCTAGACAGAAGAATTCCCAGTAACTTCCTTGTGTTGTGTGTGTTCAACTCACAGAGTTGAACTTTCATTTACCCAGAGCAGATTTGAAACACTCTTTTTGTGGAATTTGCAAGTGGAGAATTCAAGCGCTTTGAGGCCAAAGGCAGAAAAGGAAATATCTTCGTATAAAAACTAGACAGAATCATTCTCAGAAACTGCTCTGCGATGTGTGCGTTCAACTCTCAGAGTTTAACTTTTCTTTTCATTCAGCAGTTTGGAAACACTCTGTTTGTAAAGTCTGCACGTGGATAATTTGACCACGTAGAGGCCTTCGATGGAAACGGGTTTTTTTCATGTAAGGCTAGACAGAAGAATTCTCATTAACTTCCTTGTGTTGTGTGTATTCAACTCACACAGTTGAACGATCCTTTACACAGAGTAGACTTGTAACACTCTTTTTGTGGAATTTGCAAGTGGAGATTTCAGCCGCTTTGAAGTCAAAGGTAGAAAAGGAAATATCTTCCTATAAAAACTAGACAGAATGATTCTCAGAAACTTCATTGTGATGTGTGCGTTCAACTCACAGAGTTTAACCTTTCTTTTCATAGAGCAGTTAGGAAACACTCTGTTTGTAAACTCTGCAAGTGGATATTCAGACCTCTTTGAGGCCTTCGTTGGAAACGGGGTTTCTTCATACTGTGCTAGACAGAAGAATTCTCAGTAACTTCCTTGTGTTGTGTGTATTCAACTCACAGAGTTGAACGATCCTTTACACAGAGCGGAGTTGAAACACTCTTTTTGTGGAATTTGCAAGTGGAGATTTCAGCCGCGTTGAGGTCAATGGTAGAAAAGGAAATATCTTCGTATAAAAACTAGACAGAATGATTCTCAGAAACTTCATTGTGATGTGTGCGTTCAACTCACAGAGTTTAACCTTTCTTTTCATAGAGCAGTTAGGAAACACTCTGTTTGTAAACTCTGCAAGTGGATATTCAGACCTCTTTGAGGCCTTCGTTGGAAACGGGATTTCTTCATACTATGCTAGACAGAAGAATTCTCAGTAACTTCCTTGTGTTGTGTGTATTCAACTCACAGAGTTGAACGATCCTTTACACAGAGCGGACTTGAAACACTCGTTTTGTGGAATTTGCAAGTGGAGATTTCAGCCGCGTTGAGGTCAATGGTAGAAAAGGGAATATCTTCGTATAAAAACTAGCACAGAATGATTCTCAGAAACTTCTTTGTGATGTGTGCGTTCAACTCACAGAGTTTAACCTTTCTTTTCATAGATCAGTTAGGAAACACTCTGTTTGTAAACTCTGCAAGTGGATATTCAAACCTCTTTGAGGCCTTCGTTGGAAACGGGATTTCTTCATACTATGCTAGACAGAAGAATTCCCAGTAACTTCCTTGTGTTGTGTGCATTCAACTCACAGAGTTGAACGTTCCCTTAGACAGAGCAGATTTGAAACACTCTATTTGTGCAATTTGCAAGTGTAGTTTTCAAGCTCTTTAAGGTCAACGGCAGAAAAGGAAATATCTTCGTTTCAAAACTAGACAGAATCATTCTCAGAAACTGCTCTGCGATGTGTGCGTTCAACTCTCAGAGTTTAACTTTTCTTTTCATTCAGCAGTTTGGAAACACTCTGTTTGTGAAGTCTGCACGTGGATAACTTGACCACTTAGAGGCCTTCGTTGGAAACGGGTTTTTTTCATGTAAGGCTAGACAGAAGTATTCTCAGTAACTTCCTTGTGTTGTGTGTATTCAACTCACAGAGTTGAACGATCCTTTACACAGAGCGGACTTGTAACACTCTTTTTGTGGAATTTGCAAGTGGAGATTTCAGCCGCTTTGAAGTCAAAGTTAGAAAAGGAAATAACTTCCTATAAAAACTAGACAGAACGATTCTCAGAAACTCCTTTGTGATGTGTGCATTCAACTCACAGAGTTTAACCTTTCTTTTCATAGAGCAGTTAGGAAACACTCTGTTTGTAAAGTGTGCAAGTGGATATTCAGACCTCTTTGAGGCCTTCGTTGGAAACGGGATTTCTTCATATTCTGCTAGACAGAAGAATTCCCAGTAACTTCCTTGTGTTGTGTGTGTTCAACTCACAGAGTTGAACTTTCATTTACACAGAGCAGATTTGAAACCCTCTTTTTGTGGAATTTGCAAGTGGAGATTTCAAGGGCTTTGTGGCCAAAGGCAGAAAAGGAAATGTCTTCGTTTCAAAACTAGACAGAATCATTCTCAGAAACTGCGGCGTGATGTGTGCGTTCAACTCTCAGAGTTTAACTTTTCTTTTCATTCAGCGGTTTGGAAACACTCTGTTTGTAAAGACTGCACGTGGATATTTTGACCACTTAGAGGCCTTCGTTGGAAACGGGTTTTTTTCATGTAAGGCTAGACAGAAGAATTCCCAGTAACTTCCTTGTGTTGTGTACATTCAACTCACAGCAGTTGAACGTTCCCTTAGACAGAGCAGATTTGAAACACTCTTTTTGTGCAATTGGCAAATGGAGATTTCAAGCGCTTTAAGGTCAATGGCAGGAAAGGAAATATCTTCGTTTCAAAACTAGACAGAATCATTCCCAAAAACTGCGTTGTGATGTGTTCGTTAATCTCACAGAGTTTAACCTTTCTTTTCATAGAGCAGTTAGGAAACAGTCTGTTTGTAAATTCTGTAAGTGGATATTCTGACATCTTGTGGCCTTCGTTGGAAACGGGATTTCTTCATATTCTGCTAGACAGAATAATTCTCAGTAACTTCCTTGTGTTGTGTGTATTCAACTCACAGAGTTGAAGGATCCTTTACAGAGAGCAGGCTTGAAACACTCTTTTTGTCGAATTTGCAAGTGGAGATTTCAGCCGCTTTGAGGTCAATGGTAGAATAGAAAATATCTTCTTATAGAAACTAGACAGACTGATTCTCAGAAACTCCTTTGTGATGTGTGCGTTCAACTCACAGAGTTTAACCTTTCTTTTCATAGAGCAGTTAGGAAACACTCTGTTTGTAAAGTCTGCAAGTGGATATTCTGACCTCTTTGAGGCCTTCGTTGGAAACGGGATTTTTTCATATAAGGCTAGACAGAAGAATTCTCAGTAACTTCCTTGTGTTGTGTGTATTCAACTGACAGAGTTGAACTTTCATTTCGAGAGAGCAGATTTGAAACACTGTTTTTGTGGAATTTGCAAGTGGAGATTTCAAGCGCATTGGGGCCAAAGGCAGAAAAGGAAATATCTTCGTATAAAAACTAGACAGAATCATTCTCAGAAACTGCTGCGTGATGTGTGCGTTCAACTCTCAGAGTTTAACTTTTCTTTTCATTCAGCGGTTTGGAAACACTCTGTTTGTAAAGTCTGCACGTTGATATTTTGACCACTTAGAGGCCTTCGTTGGAAACGGGTTTTTTTCATGTAAGGCTAGACAGAAGATTTCTCAGTAACTTCCTTCTGTTGTGTTTATTCAACTCACAGAGTTGAATGATCCTTTACACAGAGCAGACTTGAAACACTCTTTTTGTGGAATTTGCAGTTGGAGATTTCAGCCGCTTTGAGGTCAATGGTAGAAAAGTAAATATCTTCGTATAAAGACTAGACAGAATGATTCTCAGAAACTCCTTTGTGATGTGTGCGTTCAACTCACAGAGTTTAACCTTTCCGTTCATAGAGCAGTTAGGAAACACTCTGTTTGTAAAGTCTGCAAGTGGATATTCAGACCTCCTTGAGGCCTTCGTTGGAAACGGGATTTCTTCATATTCTGCTAGACAGAAGAATTCTCAGTAACTTCCTTGTGTTGTGTGTATTCAACTCACAGAGTTGAATGATCCTTTACACAGAGCAGACTTGAAACACTCTTTTTGTGGAATTTGCAAGTGGAGATTTCAGCCGCTTTGAGGTCAATGGTAGAATAGGAAATATCTTCCTATAGAAACTAGACAGAATGATTCTCAGAAACTCCTTTGCGATGTGTGCGTTCAACTCACAGAGTTTAACCGTTCTTTTCATAGAGCAGTTAGGAAACACTCTGTTTGTAAAGCCTGCAAGGGGATATTCAGACCTCTTTGAAGCCTTCGTTGGAAACGGGATTTCTTCATGTTATGCTAGACAGAAGAATTCCCAGTAACTTCCTTGTGTTGTGTGTGTTCAACTCACAGAGTTGAACTCTCATTTACACAGAGCAGATTTGAAACACTCTTTTTGTGGAATTTGCAAGTGGAGATTTCAAGTGCTTTGAGGCCAAAGGCAGAAAAGGAAATATCTTCGTATAAAAACTAGACAGAATCATTCTCAGAAACTGCTATGCGATGTGTGCGTTCAACTCTCAGAGTTTAACTTTTCTTTTCATTCAGCAGTTTGGAAACACTCTGTTTGTAAAGTCTGCACGTGGATAACTTGACCTACTTAGAGGCCTTCGTTGGAAACGGGTTTTTTTCATGTAAGGCTAGACAGAAGAATTCCCAGTAACTTCCTTGTGTTGTGTGCATTCAACTCACAGAGTTGAACGTTCCCTTAGACAGAGCAGATTTGAAACACTCTATTTGTCCAATTTGCAAGTGTAGATTTCAAGCGCTTTAAGGTCAACGGCAGAAAAGGAAATATCTTCGTTTCAAAACTAGACAGATTCATTCCCACAAACTGCGTTGTGATGTGTTCGTTCAACTCACAGAGTTTAACCTTTCTGTTCATAGAGCAGTTAGGAAACACTCTGTTTGTAAAGTCTGCCAGTGGATATTCAGACCTCCTTGAGGCCTTCGTTGGAAACGGGATTTCTTCATATTCTGCTAGACAGAAGAATTCTCAGAATCTTCCTTGTGTTGTGTGTATTCAACTCACAGAGTTGAACGATGGTTTACACAGAGCAGATTTGAAACACTCTTTTTGTGGAATTTGCAAGTGGAGATTTCAGCCGCTTTGAGGTCAATGGTAGAAAAGTAAATATCTTCATATAAAAACTAGACAGAATGATTCTCAGAAACTTCTTTGTGATGTGTGCGTTCAACTCACAGAGTTTAACCTTTCTTTTCATAGAGCAGTTAGGAAACACTCTGTTTGTAAAGTCTGCAAGTGGATATTCAGACCTGTTTGAGGCCTTCGTTGGAAACGGGATTTCTCCATACTATGCTAGACAGAAGAATTCTCAGTAACTTCCTTGTGTTGTGTGTATTCAACTGACAGAGTTGAACTATCATTTAGAGAGAGCAGATTTGAAACACTGTTTTGTGGAATTTGCAAGTGGAGATTTCAAGCGCTTTGGGGCCAAAGGCAGAAAAGGAAATATCTTCGTATAAAAACTAGACAGAATCATTCTCAGAAACTGCTCTGCGATGTGTGCGTTCAACTCTCAGAGTTTAACTTTTCTTTTCATTCAACAGTTTGGAAACACTCTGTTTGTAAAGTCTGCACGTGGATAACTTGACCACTTAGAGGCCTTCGTTGGAAACGGGTTTTTTTCATGTAAGGCTAGACAGAAGAATTCTCAGTAACTTCATTGTGTTGTGTGTATTCAACTCACAGAGTTCAACGATCCTTTACACAGAGCAGACTTGAAACACTCTTTTTCTGGAATTTGCAAGTGGAGATTTCAGCCGCTTTGAGGTCAATGGTAGAAAAGGAAATATCTTCCTATAAAAACTAGACAGAATGATTCTCAGAAACTCCTTTGTGATGTGTGCGTTCAACTCACAGAGTTTAACCTTTCTTTTTATAGAGCAGTTAGGAAACACTCTGTTTGTAAAGTCTGCAAGTGGATATTCAGACCTCCTTGAGGCCTTCGTTGGAAACGGGATTTCTTCATATTATGCTAGACAGAAGAATTCTCAGTAAGTTCCTTGTAGTGTGTGTATTCAACTCACAGAGTTAAACGATCCTTTACACAGAGCATACTTGAAACACTCTTTTTGTGGAATTTGCAAGTGGAGATTTCAGCCGCTTTGAGGTCAATGGTAGAATAGGAAGTATCTCCCTATAGAAACTAGACAGAATGATTCTCAGAAACTCCTTTGTGATGTGTGCGTTCAACTCACAGAGTTTAACCTTTCTTTTCATAGAGCAGTTAGGAAACACTCTGTTTTTATAGTCTGCAAGTGGATATTCAGACATCTTTGAGGCCTTCGTTGGAAACCGTGATTTCTTCATATTCTGCTATACAGAAGAATTCTCAGAAATTTCCTTCTGTTGTGTGTTTTCAACTCACACAGTTGAACGATGCTTTACACAGAGTAGACTTGAAACACTCTTTTTGTGGAATTTGCAAGTGGAGATTTCAGCCGCTTTGAGGTCAATGGTAGAAAAGGAAATGTCTTCGTATAAAAACTAGACAGAATCATTCTCAGAAACTGCTCTGCGATGTGTGCGTTCAACTCTCAGAGTTTAACTTTTCTTTTCATTCAGCAGTTTGGAAACACTCTATTTGTAAAGTCTGCACGTGGATAATTTGACCACTTAGAGGCCTTCGTTGGAAACGGGTTTTTTTCATGTAAGGCTAGACAGAAGAATTCCCACTAACTTCCTTGTGTTGTGTACATTCAACTCACAGAGTTGAACGTTCCCTTAGACAGAGCAGATTTGAAACACTCTTTTTGTGCAATTGGCAAGTGGAGATTTCAAGCGCTTTAAGGTCAATGGCAGAAAAGGAAATATCTTCGTTTCAAAACTAGACAGAATCATTCCCACAAACTGCGTTGTGATGTGTTCGTTCAACTCACAGAGTTTAACCTTTCTTTTCATAGAGCAGTTAGGAAACAGTCTGTTTGTCAATTCTGTAAGTGGATATTCTGACATCTTGTGGCATTCGTTGGAAACGGGATTTCTTCATATTCTGCTAGACAGAAGAATTCTCAGTAACTTCCTTGTGTTGTGTGTGTTCAACTCACAGAGTTGAACGATCCTTTACAGAGAGCAGACTTGAAACACTCTTTTTGTGGAATTTGCAAGTGGAGTTTTCAGCCGCTTTGAGGTCAATGGTAGAAAAGGAAATATCTTCGTATAAAGACTAGACAGAATGATTCTCAGAAACTCCTTTGTGATGTGTGCGTTCAACTCACAGTGTTTAACCTTTCTTTTCATAGAGCAGTTAGGAAACACTCTGTTTGTAAAGTCTGCAAGTGGATATTCAGACCTCTTTGAGGCCTTCGTTGGAAACGGGTTTTTTTCATATAAGGCTAGACAGAAGAATTCTCAGTAACTTCCTTGTGTTGTGTGTATTCAACTGACAGAGTTGAACTATCATTTAGAGAGAGCAGATTTGAAACACTGTTTTTGTGGAAGTTGCAAGTGGAGATTTCAAGCGCTTTGGGGCCAAAGGCAGAAAAGGAAATATCTTCGTATAAAAATTAGACAGAATCATTCTCAGAAACTGCTGCGTGATGTGTGCGTTCAACTCTCAGATTTTAACTTTTCTTTTCATTCAGCGGTTTGGAAACACTCTGTTTGTAAAGTCTGCACGTGGAAATTTTGACCACTTAGAGGCCTTCGTTGGAAACGGGTTTTTTTCATGTAAGGCTAGACAGAAGAATTCCCAGTAACTTCCCTTGTGTTGTGTGCATTCAACTCACAGAGTTGAACGTTCCCTTAGACAGAGCAGATTTGAAACACTCTATTTGTGCAATTTGCAAGTGTAGATTTCAAGCGCTTTAAGGTCAACGGCAGAAAAGGAAATATCTTCGTTTCAAAACTAGACAGAATCATTCCCACAAACTGCGTTGTGAGGTGTTCGGTAAACTCACAGAGTTTAACCTTTCTTTTCATAGAGCAGTTAGGAAACAGTCTGTTTGTAAATTCTGTAAGTGGATATTCTGACATCTTGTGGCCTTCGTTGGAAACGGGGTTTCTTCATATTCTGCTAGACAGAAGAATTCTCAGTAACTTCCTTGTGTTGTGTGTATTCAACTCACAGAGTTGAACGATCCTTTACACAGAGCAGACTTGAAACACTCTTTTTGTGGATTTTGCAAGTGGAGATTTCAGCCGCTTTGAGTTCAATGGTAGAATAGGAAATATCTTCCTATAGAAACTAGACAGAATGATTCTCAGAAACTCCTTTGTGATGTGTGCGTTCAACTCACAGAGTTTAACCTTTCTTTTCATAGAGCAGTTAGGAAACACTCTGTTTGTAAAGTCTGCAAGTGGATATTCAGACCTCTTTGTGGCCTTCGTTGGAAACGGGATTTCTTCATATTATGCTAGACAGAAGAATTCTCAGTAACTTCCTTGTGTTGTGTGTATTCAACTCACAGAGTTGAACGATCCTTTACACAGAGCAGACTTGAAACACTCTTTTTGTGGAATTTGCAAGTGGAGATTTCTGCCGCTTTGAGGTCAACGGTAGAAAAGGAAATATCTTCGTATAAAAACTAGACAGAATCATTCTCAGAAACTGCTCTGCGATGTGTGCCTTCAACTCTCAGAGTTTAACTTTTCTTTTCATTCAGCAGTTTGGAAACACTCTGTTTGTAAAGTCTGCACGTGGATATTTTGACCACTTAGAGGCCTTCGTTGGAAACGGGTTTTTTTCCTGTAAGGCTAAACAGAAGAATTCCCAGTAACTTCCTTGTGTTGTGTACATTCAACTCACAGAGTTGAACGTTCCCTTAGACAGAGCAGATTTGAAACACTCTTTTTGTGCAATTGGCAAGTGGAGATTACAAGCGCTTTAAGGTCAATGGCAGAAAAGGAAATATCTTCGTTTCAAAACTAGACAGAGTGATTCTCAGAAACTCCTTTGTGATGTCTGCGTTCAACTCACAGAGTTTAACCTTTCTTTTCATAGAGCAGTTAGGAAACACTCTGTTTGTAAAGTCTGCAAGTGCATATTCAGACCTCCTTTAGGCCTTCGTTGGAAACGGGATTTCTTCATATTCTGCTATACAGAAGAATTCTCAGAAACTTCCTTGTGTTTTGTGTATTCAACTCACAGAGTTGAACGATCCTTTAAACAGAGCAGACTTGAAACACTCTTTTTGTGGAATTTGCAAGTGGAGATTTCAGCCGCTTTGAGGTCAATGGTAGAAAAGGAAATATCTTCGTATAAAAACTAGACAGAATGATTCTCAGAAAATCTTTTGTGATGTGTGCGTTCAACTCACAGAGTTTAACTTTTCTTCTCATAGAGCAGTTAGGAAACACTCTGTTTGTAAAGTCTGCAAGTGGATATTCAGACCTCTTTGAGGCCTTCGTTGGAAACGGGATTTCGTCATATTATGCTAGACAGAAGAATTGTCAGTAACTTCCTTGTGTTGTGTGTATTCAACTCACAGAGTTGAACGATCCTTTACACAGAGCAGACTTGAAACACTCTTTTTGTGGAATTTGCATGTGGAGATTTCAGCCGCTTTGAGGTCAATGGTAGAATAGGAAATATCTTCCTATAGAAACTATACAGAATCATTCTCAGAAACTGCTGCGTGATGTGTGCGTTCAACTCTCAGAGTTTAACTTTTCTTTTCATTCAGCGGTTTGGAAACACTCTGTTTGTAATGTCTGCACGTGGATATTTTGACCACTTAGAGGCCTTCGTTGGAAACGGGTTTTTTTCATGTAAGGCTAGACAGAAGAATTCCCAGTAACTTTCCTTGTGTTGTGTGCATTCAACTCACAGAGTTGAACGTTCCCTTAGACAGAGCAGATTTGAAACACTCTATTTGTGCAATTTGCAAGTATAGATTTCAAGCGCTTTAAGGTCAACGGCAGAAAAGGAAATATCTTCGTTTCAAAACTAGACAGAATGATTCTCAGAAACTCCTTTGTGATGTGTGCGTTCAACTCACAGAGTTTAACCTTTCTTTTCATAGAGCAGTTAGGAAACACTCTGTTTGTAAAGTCTGCAAGTGGATATTCAGACCTCTTTGAGGCTTTCGTTGGAAACGGGATTTCTTTATATTCTGCTAGACAGAAGAATTCTCAGTAACTTCCTTGTGTTGTGTGTATTCAACTCACAGAGTTGAACGATCCTTTACACAGAGCAGACTTGAAACACTCTTTTTGTGGAATTTGCAAGTGGAGATTTCAGCGGCTTTGAGGTCAATAGTAGAAAAGGAAATATCTTCGTAGAAAAACTAGTCAGAATGATTCTCAGAAACTCCTTTGTGATGTGTGCGTTCAACTCACAGAGTTTAACCTTTCTTTTCATAGAGAAGTTAGGAAACACTGTGTTTGTAAAGTCTGCAAGTGGATATTCAGACCTCCTTGAGGCCTTCGTTGGAAACGGGATTTCTTCATATTATGCTAGACAGAAGAATTCCCAGTAACTTCCTTGAGTTGTGTGTATTCAACTCACAGAGTTGAACTTTCATTTACACAGAGCAGATTTGAAACACTCTTTTTGTGGAATTTGCAAATGGAGATTTCAAGCCCTTTCAGGCCAAAGGCAGAAAAGGAAATATCTTCGTATGAAAACTAGACAGAGAATCATTCTCAGTAAACTGCTGCGTGATGTGTGCGTTCAACTCTCAGAGTTTAACTTTTCTTTTCATTCAGCGGTTTGGAAACACTCTGTTTGTAAAGTCTGCACGTGGATATTTTGACCACTTAGAGGCCTTCGTTGGAAACGGGTTTTTTTCATGTAAGGCTAGACAGAAGAATTCCCAGTAACTTCCTTGTGTTGTGTGCATTCAAATCACAGAGTTGAACGTTCCCTTAGACAGAGCAGATTTGAAACACTCTATTTGTGCAATTTGCAAGTGTAGATCTCAAGCGCTTTAAGGTCAATGGGAGAAAAGGAAATATCTTCGTTTCAAAACTAGACAGAATCATTCCCACAAACTGCGTTGTGATGTGTTCGTTCAACTCACAGAGTTTAACCTTTCTTTTCATAGAGCAGTTAGGAAACAGTCTGTTTGTCAATTCTGTAAGTGGATATTCTGACATCTTGTGGCCTTCGTTGGAAACAGGATTTCTTCATATTCTGCTAGACAGAAGAATTCTCAGTAACTTCCTTGTGTTGTGTTTATTCAACTCACAGAGTTGAATGATCCTTTACACAGATTAGACTTGAAACACTCTTTTTGTGGAATTTGCAAGTGGAGATTTCTGCCTCTTTGAGGTTAATGGTAGAAAATGAAATATCTTCGTATAGAAACTAGACAGAATGATTCTCATAAACTCCTTTGTGATGTGTGCGTTCAACTCACAGAGTTTAACCTTTCTTTTCATAGAGCTGTTAGGAAACACACTGTTTGTAAAGTCTGCAAGCAGATATTCAGACCTCCTTGAGGCCTTCGTTGGAAACGGGATTTCTTCATATTCTGCTAGACAGAAGAATTCTCAGTAACTTCCTTGTGTTGTGTGTATACAACTCACAGAGTTGAACTTTCATTTAGAGAGAGCAGATTTGAAACACTGTTTTTGTGGAATTTGCAAGTGGAGATTTCAAGCGCTTTGGGGCCAAAGGCAGAAAAGGAAATATCTTCGTATAAAAACTAGACAGAAACATTGTCAGAAACTGCTGCGTGATGTGTGCGTTCAACTCTCAGAGTTTAACTTTTCTTTTCATTCAGCGGTTTGGAAACACTCTGTTTGTAAAGTCTGCACGTGGATATTTTGACCACTTAGAGGCCTTCGTTGGAAACGGGATTTATTCATGTAAGGCTAGACAGAAGAATTCCCAGTAACTTCCTTGTGTTGTGTGCATTCAACTCACAGAGTTGAACGTTCCCTTAGACAGAGCAGATTTGAAACAGTCTATTGGTGCAATTTGCAAGTGTAGATTTCAAGCGCTTTAAGGTCAATGGCAGAAAAGGAAATATCTTCGTTTCAAAACTAGAGAGAATCATTCCCACAAACTGCGTTGTGATGTGTTCGTTCAACTCACAGAGTTTAACCTTTCTGTTCATAGAGCAGTTAGGAAACACTCTGTTTGTAAAGTCTGCAAGTGGATATTCAGACCTCTTTGAGGCCTTCGTTGGAAACGGGATTTCTTCATATTATGCTACACAGAAAAATTCTCAGTAACTTCCTTGTGTTGTCTGTATTCAACTCACAGAGTTGAACGATCCTTTACACAGAGCATACTTGAAACACTCTTTTTGAGGAATCTGCAAGTGGAGATTTCAGCCGCTAAGGGGTCAATGGTAGAATAGGAAATATCTTCCTATAGAAACTAGACAGAATGATTCTCAGAAACTTCATTGTGATGTGTGCGTTCAACTCACAGAGTTTAACCTTTCTTTTCATACAGCAGTTAGGAAACACTCTGTTTGTAAACTCTGCAAGTCGATATTCTCACCTCTTTGAGGCCTTCGTTGGAAACGGGATTTCTTCATACTGTGCTAGACAGAAGAATTCTCAGTAACTTCCTTGTTTTGTGTGTATTCAACTGACAGAGTTGAAATTTCATTTAGAGAGAGCAGATTTGTAACACTGTTTTTGTGGAATTTGCAAGTGGAGATTTCAAGCGCTTTTGGGCCAAAGGCAGAAAAGGAAATATCTTCGTATAAAAACTAGACAGAATCATTCTCAGAAAGTGCTCTGTGATGTGTGCGTTCAACTCTCAGAGTTTAACTTTTCTTTTCATTCAGCAGTTTGGAAACACTCTGTTTGTAAAGTCTGCACGTGGATATTTTGACCACTTAGAGGCCTTCGTTGGAAACGGGTTTTTTTCATGTAAGGGTAGACAGAAGAATTCCCAGTAACTTCCTTGTGTTGTGTACATTCAACTCACACAGTTGAACGTTCCCTTAGACAGAGCAGATTTGAAACACTCTTTTTGTGCAATTGGCAAATGGAGATTTCAAGCGCTTTAAGGTCAATGGCAGAAAAGGAAATATCTTCGTTTCAAAACTAGACAGAATCATTCCCACAAACTGCGTTGTGATGTGTTCGTTCAACTCACAGAGTTTAACCTTTCTGTTCATAGAGCAGTTAGGAAACACTCTGTTTGTAAAGTCTGTAAGTGGATATTCTGACATCCTTGTGGCCTTCGTTGGATACGGGATTTCTTCATATTCTGCTAGACAGAAGAATTCTCAGTAACTTCCTTGTGTTGTGTGTATTCAACTCACAGAGTTGAACGATCCTTTACACAGAGCGGACTTGAAACACTCTTTTTGTGGAATGTGCAAGTGGAGATTTCAGCCGCTTTGAGGTCAATGGTAGAAAAGGAAATATCTTCTTATACAGACTAGACAGAATGATTCTCAGAAACTCCTTTGTGATGTGTGCGTTCAACTCACAGAGTTTAACCCTTCTTTTCATAGAGCAGTTAGGAAACACTCTGTTTGTAAAGTCTGCAAGTGGATATTCAGACCTCTTTGAAGCGTTCGTTGGAAACGGGTTTTTTCATATAAGGCTAGACAGAAGAATTCTCAGTAACTTCCTTGTGTTGTGTGTATTCAACTCACAGAGTTGAATGATCCTTTACACAGAACAGTCTTGAAACCCTCTTTTTGTGGAATTTGCAAGTGGAGATTTCAGCCGCTTTGAGGTCAATGGTAGAATAGGAAATATCTTCCTATAGAAACTAGACAGAATGATTCTGAGAAACTCCTTTGTGATGTGTGCGTTCAACTCACAGAGTTCAACCATTCTTTTCATAGAGCAGTTGGGAAACACTCTGTTTGTAAAGTCTGCAAGTGGATATTCAGACTTCTTTGAGGCCTTCGTTGGAAGCGGGATTTCTTCATATTCTGCTAGACAGAAGAATTCCCAGTAACTTCCTTTTGTTGTGTGTGTTCAACTCACAGAGTTGAACTTTCATTTACACAGAGCAGATTGGAAACACTCTTTTTGTGGAATTTGCCAGTGGAGATTTCAAGCGCTTTGAGGCCAAAGGCAGAAAAGGAAATATCTTCGTATAAAAACTAGACAGAATCATTCTCAGAAACTGCTCTGCGATGTGTGCGCTCAACTCTCAGAGTTTAACTTTTCTTTTCATTCAGCAGTTTGGAAACACTCTGTTTGTAAAGTCTGCACGTGGATAAATTGACTACTTAGAGGCCTTCGTTGGAAACGGGTTTTTTTCATGTAAGGCTAGACAGAAGAATTCCCAGTAACTTCCTTGTGTTGTGTACATTCAACTCACAGAGTTGAACGTTCCGTTAGACAGAGCAGATTTGAAACACTCTTTTTGTGCAATTGGCAAATGGAGATTTCAAGCGCTTTAAGGTCAATGGCAGAAAAGGAAATATCTTCGTTTCAAAACTAGACAGAATCATTCCCAGAAACTGCGTTGTGATGTGTTCGTTCAACTCACAGAGTTTAACCTTTCTGTTCATAGAGCACTTAGGAAACACTCTGTTTGTAAAGTCTGTAAGTGGATATTCTGACATCTTGTGGCCTTCGTTGGAAACGGGATTTTTTCATATTCTGCTAGACAGAAGAATTCTCAGAATCTTCCCTTGTGTTGTGTGTATTCAACTCACAGAGTTGAACGATCCTTTACACAGAGCAGACTTGAAACACTCTTTTTGTGGAATTTGCATGTGGAGATTTCAGCCGCTTTGAGGTCCATGGTAGAAAAGGAAATATCTTCGTATAAAAACTAGACAGAATGATTCTCAGAAACTCCTTTGTGATGTGTACGTTCAACTCACAGAGTTTAACCTTTCTTTTCTTAGAGCAGTTAGGAAACACTCTGTTTGTAAAGTCTGCAAGTGGATATTCAGACCTCTTTGAGGCCTTCGTTGGAAACGGGTTTTTTTCATATAAGGCTAGACAGAAGAATTCTCAGCAACTTCCTTGTGTTGTGTGTATTCAACTGACAGAGTTGAACTTTCATTTAGAGAGAGCAGATTTGAAACACTGTTTTTGTGGAATTTGCAAGTGGAGATTTCAAGCGCTTGGGGGCCAAAGGCAGAAAAGGAAATATCTTCGTATAAAAACTAGACAGAATCATTCTCAGAAACTGCTGCGTGATGTGTGCGTTCAACTCTCAGAGTTTAACTTTTCTTTTCATTCAGCGGTTTGGAAACACTCTGTTTCTAAAGTCTGCACGTGGATATTTTGACCACTTAGAGGCCTTCGTTGGAAACGGGTTTTTTTCATGTAAGGCTAGACAGAAGAATTCCCAGTAACTTCCTTGAGTTGTGTGCATTCAACTCACAGAGATGAACATTCCCTTAGACAGAGCAGATTTGAATCACTCTATTTGTGTAATTTACAAGTGTAGATTTCAAGCGCTTTAAGGTCAATGGCAGAAAAGGAAACATCTTCGTTTCAAAACTAGACAGAATCATTCCCACAAACTGCGTTGTGAGGTGTTCGTTCAACTCACAGAGTTTAACCTTTCTTTTCATAGAGCAGTTAGGAAACAGTCTGTTTGTAAATTCTGTAAGTGGATATTCTGACATCTTGTGGCCTTCGTTGGAAACGGGATTTCTTCATATTCTGCTAGACAGAAGAATTCTCAGTAACTTCCTTGTGTTGTGTGTTTTCAACTCACAAGAGTTGAACGATCCTTTACACAGAGCAGACTTGAAACACTCCTTTTGTGGAATTTGCAAGTGGAGATTTCAGCCGCTTTGAGGTCAATGGTAGAATAGGAAATATCTTCCTATAGAAACTAGACAGAATCATTCTCAGAAACTCCTTTGTGATGTGTGTGTTCAACTCACAGAGTTTAACCTTTCTTTTCATAGAGCAGTTAGTAAACACTCTGTTTATAAAGTCTGCAAGTGGATATTCAGACCCCTTTGAGGCCTTCGTTGGAAACGGGATTTCTTCATATTATTCTAGACAGAAGAATTCTCAGTAACTTCCTTGTGTTGTGTGTATTCAACTGACAGAGTTGAACTTTCATTTAGAGAGAGCAGATTTGAAACACAGTTTTTGTGGAATTTGCAAGTGGAGATTTCAAGCGCTATGGGGCCAAAGGCAGAAAAGGAAATATATTCGTATAAAAACTAGACAGAATCATTCTCAGAAACTGCTCTGTGATGTGTGCGTTCAACTCTCAGAGTTTCACTTTTCTTTTCATTCAGCATTTTGGAAATACTCTGTTTGTAAAGTCTGCACGTGGATATTTTGACCACTTAGAGGCCTTCGTTGGAAACGGGTTTTTTTCATGTAAGGCTAGACAGAAGAATTCCCAGTAACTTCCTTGTGTTGTGTGCATTCCACTCACAGAGTTGAACGTTCCCTTAGACAGAGCAGATTTGAAACACTCTATTTGTGCAATTTGCAAGTGTAGATTTCAAGCGCTTTAAGGTCAATGGCAGAAAAGGAAATATCTTCGTTTCAAAACTAGACAGAATCATTCCCACAAACTGCGTTGTGATGTGTTCGTTCAACTCACAGAGTTTAACCTTTCTGTTCATAGAGCAGTTAGGAAACACTCTGTTTGTAAAGTCTGTAAGTGGATATTCTGACATCCTTGTGGCCTTCGTTTGAAAAGGGATTTCTTCATATTCTGCTAGACAGAAGAATTCTCAGAAACTTCCTTGTGTTGTGTGATTTCAACTCACAGAGTTGAACGATCCTTTACACAGAGCAGACTTGAAACACTCTTTTTGTGGAATTTGCAAGTGGAGATTTCAGCCGCTTTGAGGTCAATGGTAGAATAGGAAATATCTTCCTATAGAAACTAGACAGAATGATTCTCAGAAACTCCTTTGTGATGTGTACGTTCAACTCACAGAGTTTAACCTTTCTTTTCATAGAGCAGTTAGGAAACACTCTGTTTGTAAAGTCTGCAAGTGGATATTCAGACCTCTTTGAGGCCTTCGTTGGAAACGGGTTTTTTTCATATAAGGCTAGACAGAAGAATTCTCAGTAACTTCCTTGTGTTGTGTGTATTCAACTGACAGAGTTGAACTTTCATTTAGAGAGAGCAGATTTGAAACACTGTTTTTGTGGAATTTGCAAGTGGAGATTTCAAGCGCTTTGTGGCCAAAGGTAGAAAAGGAAATATCTTCGTATAAAAACTAGACAGAATCATTCTCAGAAACTGCTGCGTAATGTGTGCGTTCAACTCTCAGAGTTTAACTTTTCTTTTCATTCAGCGGTTTGGAAACACTCTGTTTCTAAAGTCTGCACGTGGAAATTTTGACCATTTAGAGGCCTTCGTTGGAAACGGGTTTTTTTCATGTAAGGCTAGACAGAAGAATTCCCAGTAACTTCCTTGTGTTGTGTGCATTCAACTCACAGAGTTGAACGTTCCCTTAGACAGACCAGATTTGAAACACTCTATTTGTGCAATTTGCAAGTGTAGATTTCAAGCGCTTTAAGGTCAATGGCAGAAAAGGAAATATCGTCGTTTCAAAACTAGACAGAATCATTCCCACAAACTGCGTTGTGATGTGTTCGTTCAACTCACAGAGTTTAACCTTTCTGTTCATAGAGCAGTTAGGAAACACTTTCTTTGTAAAGTCTGTAAGTGGATATTCTGATATCTTGTGGCCTTCGTTGGAAACGGGATTTCTTCATATTCTGCTAGACAGAAGAATTCTCAGTAACTTCCTTGTGTTGTGTGTATTCAACTCACAGAGTTGAACGATCCTTTACACAGAGCAGACATGAAACACTCTTTTTGTGGAATTTGCAAGTGGAGATTTCAGCCGCTTTGAGGTCAATGGTAGAAAAGGAAATATCTTCGTATAAAAACTAGACAGAATGATTCTCAGAAACTCCTTTGTGATGTGTGCGTTCAACTCACAGAGTTCAACCTTTCTTTTCATAGAGCAGTTGGGAAACACTCTGTTTGTAAAGTCTGCAAGTGGATATTCAGACTTCTTTGAGGCCTTCCTTGGAAGCGGGATTTCTTCATATTCAGCTAGACAGAAGAATTCTCAGTAACTTCCTTGTGTTGTGTGTATTCAACTCACAGAGTTGAACGATGCTTTACACAGAGCAGACTTGAAACACTCTTTTTGTGGTATTTGCAAGTGGAGATTTCAGCCGCTTTGAGGTCAATGTTAGAAAAGGAAATATCTTCGTATAAAAACTAGACAGAATCATTCTCAGAAACTGCTCTGCGATGTGTGTGTTCAACTCTCAGAGTTTAACTTTTCTTTTCATTCAGCAGTTTGGAAGCACTCTGTTTGTGAAGTCTGCACGTGGATATTTTGAACACTTAGAGGCCGTCTTTGGAAACGGGTTTTTTTCCTGTAAGGCTAGACAGAAGAATTCCCAGTAACTTCCTTGTGTTGTGTGCATTCAACTCACAGAGTTGAACGTTCCTTAGACAGAGCAGATTTGAAACACTCTATTCGTGCAATTTGCAAGTGTAGATTTCAAGCGCTTTAAGGTCAATGGCAGAAAAGGAAATATCTTCGTTTCAAAACTAGACAGAATCATTCCCACAAACTGCGCTGTGATGTGTTCGTTCAACTCACAGAGTTTAACCTTTCTGTTCATAGAGCAGTTAGGAAACACTCTGTTTGTAAAGTCTGTAAGTGGATATTCTGACATTTTGTGGCCTTCATTGGAAATGGGATTTCTTCATATTCTCCTAGACAGAAGAATTCTCAGTAACTTCCTTGTGTTGTGTGTATTCAACTCACAGAGTTGAACGATCCTTTACACAGAGCAGACTTGTAACACTCTTTTTGTGTAATTTGCAAGTGGAGATTTCAGCCGCTTTGAAGTCAAAGGTAGAAAAGGAAATATCTTCCTATAAAAACTAGACAGAATGATTCTCAGAAACTCCTTTGTGATGTGTGCGTTCAACTCACAGAGTTTAACCTTTCTTTTCATAGAGCAGTTAGGAAACACTCTGTTTGTAAAGTCTGCAAGTGGATATTCAGACGTCTTTGAGGCCTTCGTTGGAAACGGGTTTTTTTCATATAAGGCTAGACAGAAGAACTCCCAGTAACTTCCTTGTGTTGTGTGTGTTCAACTCACAGAGTTGAACTTTCCTTTACACAGAGCAGATTTGAAACACTCTTTTTGTGGAATTTGCAAATGGAGATTTCAGCCGCGTTGAGGTCAATGGTAGAAAAGGAAATATCTTCGTTTCAAAACTAGACAGAATCATTCTCAGAAACTGCTCTGCGATGTGTGCTTTCAACTCTCAGAGTTTAACTTTTCTTTTCATTCAGCAGTTTGGAAACACTCTGTTTGTAAAGTCTGCACGTGGATATTTTGACCACTTAGAGGCCTTCGTTGGAAACGGGTTTTTTTCCTGTAAGGCTAGACAGAAGAATTCCCAGTAACTTCCTTGTGTTGTGTACATTCAACTCACAGAGTTCAACGTTCCCTTAGACAGAGCAGATTTGAAACACTCTTTTTGTGCAATTGGCAAGTGGTGATTTCAGCCGCTTTGAGGTCAATGGTAGAAAAGGAAATATCTTCGTATAAAAACTAGACAGAATCATTCCCACAAACTGCGTTGTGATGTGTTCGTTCAACTCACAGAGTTTAACCTTTCTTTTCATAGAGCAGTTAGGAAACAGTCTGTTTGTAAATTTTGTAAGTGGATATTCTGACATCTTGTGCCCTTCGTTGGAAACGGGATTTCTTCATATTCTGCTAGACAGAAGAATTCTCAGAATCTTCCTTGTGTTGTGTGTATTCAACTCACACAGTTGAACGATACTTTACACAGAGCAGACTTGAAACGCTCTTTTTGTGGAATTTGCAAGTGGAGATTTCAGCCGCGTTGAGGTCAATGGTAGAAAAGGAAATATCTTCGTATAAAAACTAGACAGAATGATTCTCAGAAACTCCTTTGTGATGTGTGCGTTCAACTCACACAGTTTAACCTTTCTTTTCATAGAGCAGTTAGGAAACACTCTGTTTGTAAAGTCTGCAGGTGGATATTCAGACCTCCTTGAGGCATTCGTTGGAAACGGGATTTCTTCATATTATGCTAGACAGAAGAATTCCCAGTAACTTCCTTGTGTTGTGTGTGTTCAACTCACAGAGTTAAACTTTCATTTACCCAGAGCAGATTTGAAACACTCTTTTTGTGGAATTTGCAAGTGGAGATTTCAAGCGCTTTGAGGCCAAAGGCAGAAAAGGAAATATCTTCGTTTCAAAACTAGACAGAATCATTCTCAGAAACTGCTGCGTGATGTGTGCGTTCAACTCTCAGAGTTTAACTTTTCTTTTCATTCAGCGGTTTGGAAACATTCTGTTTGTAAAGTCTGCACGTGGATATTTTGACCACTTAGAGGCCTTCTTTGGAAACGGGTTTTTTTCATGTAAGGCTAGACAGAAGAATTCCCAGTAACTTCCATGTGTTGTGTGCATTCAACTCACAGAATTGAACGTTCCCTTAGACAGAGCAGATTTGAAACACTCTATTTCTGCAATTTGCAAGTGTAGATTTCAAGCGCTTTAAGGTCAATGGCAGAAAAGGAAATATCTTCGTTTCAAAACTAGACAGAATCATTCCCACAAACTGCGTTGTGATGTGTTCGTTCAACTCACAGGGTTTAACCTTTCTTTTCATAGAGCAGTTAGGAAACAGTCTGTTTGTCATTTCTGTAAGTGGATATTCTGACATCTTGTGGCCTTAGTTGGAAACGGGATTTCTTCATATTCTGCTAGACAGAATAATTCTCAGTAACTTCCTTGTGTTGTGTGTATTCAACTCACAGAGTTGAAGGATCCTTTACAGAGAGCAGGCTTGAAACACTGTTTTTGTCGAATTTGCAAGTGGAGATTTCAGCCGCTTTGAGGTCAATGGTAGAATAGGAAATATCTTCTTATAGAAACTAGACAGAATGATTCTGAGAAAGTCCTTTGTGATGTGTGCGTTCAACTCACAGAGTTTAACCTTTTTTTTCATAGAGCAGTTAGGAAACACTCTGTTTGTAAAGTCTGCAAGTGGATATTCAGACCTCTTTGAGGCCTTCGTTGGAAATGGGATTTCTTCATATTATGCTAGACAGAAGAATTCCCAGTAACTTCCTTGTGTTGTGTGTGTTCAACTCACAGAGTTGAACTTTCATTTACACAGAGCAGATTTGAAACTCTCTTTTTGTGGAATTTGCAAGTGGAGATTTCAAGCGCTTTGAGGCCAAAGGCAGAAAAGGAAATATCTTCGTTTCAAAACTAGACAGAATCATTATCAGAAACTGCTGCGTGATGTGTGCGTTCAACTCTCAGAGTTTAACTTTTCTTTTCATTCAGCGGTTTGGAAACACTCTGTTTGTAAAGTCTGCACGTGGATATTTTGACCACTTAGAGGCCTTCGTTGGAAACGGGTTTTTTTCATGTAACGCTAGACAGAAGAATTCCCAGGAACTTCCTTGTGTTGTGTACATTCAACTCACAGAGTTGAACGTTCCCTTAGACAGAGCAGATTTGAAACACTCTTTTTGTGCAATTGGCAAGTGGTGATTTCAGCCGCTTTGAGGTCAATGGTAGAAAAGGAAATATCTTCGTATAAAAACTAGACAGAATGATTCTCAGAAACTCCTTTGAGATGTGTGCGTTCAACTCATAGAGTTTAACTTTTCTTTTCATAGAGCAGTTAGGAAACACTCTGTTTGTAAAGTCTGCAGGTGGATATTCAGACCTCTTTGAGGCCTTCGTTGGAAACGGGATTTCTTCATATTCTGCTAGACAGAAGAATTCTCAATAACTTCCTTGTGTTGTGTGTATTCAACTCACAGAGTTGAACGATCCTTTACACAGAGCAGACTTGAAACACTCTTTTTGTGGAATTTGCAAGTGGAGATTTCAGCCGCTATGAGGTCAATAGTAGAAAAGGAAATATCTTCGTAGAAAAACTAGACAGAATGATTCTCAGAAACTCCTTTGTGATGTGTGCGTTCAACTCACAGAGTTTAACCTTTCTTTTCATAGAGCAGTTAGGAAACACTCTGTTTGTAAAGTCTGCAAGTGGATATTCAGACATCCTAGAGGCTTTCGTTGGAAACGGGATTTCTTCATATTCTGCTATACAGAAGAATTCCCAGTAACTTCCTTGTGTTGTGTGTGTTCAACTCACAGAGTTGAACTTTCATTTACCCAGAGCAGATTTGAAACACTCTTTTTGTGGAATTTGCAAGTGGAGATTTCAAGCGCTTTGAGGCCAAATGCAGAAAAGGAAATATCTTCGTTTCAAAACTAGACAGAATCCTTCTCAGAAACTGCTGCGTGATGTGTGCGTTCAACTCTCAGAGTTTAACTTTTCTTTTCATTCAGCGGTTTGGAAACACTCTGTTTGTAATGTCTGCACGTGGATAATTTGACCACTTAGAGGCCTTCGTTGGAAACGGGTTTTTTGCACGTAAGGCTAGGCAGAAGAATTCCCAGTAACTTCCCTTGTGTTGGGTGCATTAAACTCACAGAGTTGAACGTTCCCTTAGACAGAGCAGATTTGAAACACTCTATTTGTGCAATTTGCAAGTGTAGATTTCAAGCGCTTTAAGGTCAATGGCAGAAAAGGAAATATCTTCGTTTCAAAACTAGACAGAACGTTTCTCAGAAACTCCTTTGTGATGTGTGCGTTCAACTCACAGAGTTTAACCTTTCTTTTCATAGAGCAGTTAGGAAACACTCTGTTTGTAAAGTCTGCAAGTGGATATTCAGACCTCCTTGAGGCCTTCGTTGGAAACGGGATTTCTTCATATTCTGCTAGACAGAAGAATTCTCAGTAACTTCCTTGTGTTGTGTTTATTCAACTCACAGAGTTGAATGATCCTTTACACAGAGCAGACTTGAAACACTCTTTTTATTGAATTTGCAAGTGGAGATTTCAGCCGCTTTGAGGTCAATGGTAGAAAAGTAAATATCTTCGTATAAAGACTAGACAGAATGATTCTCAGAAACTCCTTTGTGATGTGTGCGTTCAACTCACAGAGTTTAACGTTTCTTTTCATAGAGCAGTTAGGAAACACTCTGTTTGTAAAGTCTGCAAGTGGATATTCAGACATCTTTGAGGCCTTCGTTGGAAACGGGATTTCTTCATGTTCTGCTAGACAGAAGAATTCCCAGTAACTTCCTTGTGTTGTGTGTGTTCAACTCACAGAGTTGAACTTTCATTTACACAGAGCAGATTTGAAACACTCTTTTTGTGGAATTTGCAAGAGGAGATTTCAAGCGCTTTGAGGCCAAAGACAGAAAAGGAAATATCTTCGTATAAAAACTAGACAGAATCATTCTCAGAAACTGCTGCGTGATGTGTGCGTTCAACTCTCAGAGTTTAACTTTTCTTTTCATTCAGCGGTTTGGAAACACTCTGTTTGTAAAGTCTGCACGTGGATATTTTGACCACTTAGAGGCCTTCGTTCGAAACGGGATTTTTTCATGTAAGGCTAGACAGAAGAATTCCCAGTAACTTCCTTGTGTTGTGTACATTCAACTCACAGAGTTGAACGTTCCCTTAGACAGAGCAGATTTGAAACACTCTTTTTGTGCAATTGGCAAGTGGAGATTTCAAGCGCTTTAAGTTCAATGGCAGAAAAGGAAATATCTTCGTTTCAAAACTAGACAGAATCATTCCCACAAACTGCGTTGTGAGGTGTTCGTTCAACTCACAGAGTTTAACCTTTCTTTTCATAGAGCAGTTAGGAAACAGTCTGTTTGTAAATTCTGTAAGTGGATATTCTGACATCTTGTGGCCTTCGTTGGAAACGGGATTTCTTCATATTCTGCTAGACAGAAGAATTCTCAGTAACTTCCTTCTGTTGTGTTTATTCAACTCACAGAGTTGAATGATCCTTTACACAGAGCAGACTTGAAACACTCTTTTTGTGGAATTTGCAAGTGGAGGTTTCAGCCGCTTTGAGGTCAATGGTAGAAAAGTAAATATCTTCGTATAAAGACTAGACAGAATGATTCTCAGAAACTCCTTTGTGATGTGTGCGTTCAACTCACAGAGTTCAACCTTTCTTTTCATAGAGCAGTTGGGAAACACTCTGTTTGTAATGTCTGCAAGTGGATATTCAGACTTCTTTGAGGCTTTCGTTGGAAGCGGGATTTCTTCATATTCTGCTAGACAGAAGAATTCTCAGTAACTTCCTTGTGTTGTGTGTATTCAACTCACAGAGTTGAACGATCCTTTACACAGAGCAGACTTGAAACACTCTTTTTGTGGAATTTGCAAGTGGAGATTTCAAGCGCTTTGGGGCCAAAGGCAGAAAAGGAAATATCTTCGTATAAAAACTAGACAGAATCATTCTCAGAAACTGCTGTGTGATGTGTGCGTTCAACTCTCAGAGTTTAACTTTTCTTTTCATTCAGCGGTTTGGAAACACTCTGTTTGTAAAGTCTGCACGTGGATATTTTGACCACTTAGAGGCCTTCGTTGGAAACGGGTTTTTTTCATGTAAGGCTAGACAGAAGAATTCCCAGTAACTTCCTTGTGTTGTGTGCATTCAACTCACAGAGATGAACGTTCCCTTAGACAGAGCAGATTTGAAACACTCTATTTGTGCAATTTGCAAGTGTAGTTTTCAAGCTCTTTAAGGTCAACGGCAGAAAAGGAAATATCTTGGTTTCAAAACTAGACAGAATCATTGTCACAAACTGCGTTGTGATGTGTTCGTTCAACTCACAGAGTTTAACCTTTCTTTTCATAGAGCAGTTAGGAAACACTCTGTTTGTAAAGTCTGCAAGTGGATATTCAGACATCTTTGAGGCTTTCTTTGGAAACGGGATTTCTTCATATTCTTCTAGACAGAAGAATTCTCAGTAACTTTCCTTGTGTTGTGTGCATTCAACTCACAGAGTTGAACGATCCTTTACACAGAGCAGACTTGAGACACTCTTTTTGTGGAATTTGCAAGTGGAGATTTCAGCCGCTTTGAGGTCAATGGTAGAAAAGGAAATATCTTCGTATAAAAACTAGACAGAATGATTCTCATAAACTCCTTTGTGATGTGTGCGTTCAACTCACAGAGTTTAACTTTTCTTTTCATAGAGCAGTTAGGAAACACTCTGTTTGTAAAGTCTGCAAGTGGATATTCAGACCTCCTTGAGGCCATTCGTTGGAAACGGGATTTCTTCATATTCTGCTAGACAGAAGAATTCCCAGTAACTTCCTTGTGTTGTGTGTGTTCAACTCACAGAGTTGAACTTTCATTTACACAGAGCAGATTTGAAACACTCTTTTTGTGGAATTTGCAAGTAGAGATTTCAAGCGCTTTGAGGCCAAAGGCAGAAAAGGAAATGTATTCGTATAAAAACTAGACAGAATCATTCTCAGAAACTGCTCTGCGATGTGTGCGTTCAACTCTCAGAGTTTAACTTTTCTTTTCATTCAGCAGTTTGGAAACACTCTGTTTGTAAAGTCTGCAAGTGGATATTCAGACCTCTTTGAGGCCTTCGTTGGAAACGGGTTTTTTACATATAAGGCTAAACAGAAGAATTCCCAGTAACTTCCTTGTGTTGTGTGCATTCAACTCACAGAGTTGAACGTTCCCTTAGACAGAGCAGATTTGAAACACTCTATTTGTGCAATTTGCAAGTGTAGATTTCAAGCGCTTTAAGGTCAATGGGAGAAAAGGAAATATCTTCGTTTCAAAACTAGACAGAATCATTCCCACAAACTGCGTTGTGATGTGTTCGTTCAACTTACAGAGTTTAACATTTCTGTTCATAGAGCAGTTAGGAAACACTCTGTTTGTAAAGTCTGTAAGTGGATATTCAGACATCTTGTGGCCTTCGTTGGAAACGGGATTTCTTCCTATTCTGCTAGACAGAAGAATTCTCAGTAACTTCCTTGTGTTGTGTGTACTCAACTCACAGAGTTGAAGGATCCTTTACAGAGAGCAGGCTTGAAACACTCTTTTTGTCGAATTTGCAAGTGGAGATTTCAGCCGCTTTGAGGTCAATGGTAGAATAGGAAATATCTTCTTATAGAAACTAGACAGAATGATTATCAGAAAATCCTTTGTGATGTGTGCGTTCAACTCACAGAGTTTAACTTTTCTTTTCATAGAGCAGTTAGGAAACACTCTGTTTGTAAAGTCTGCAAGTGGATATTCAGACCTCTTTGAGGCCTTCGTTGGAAACGGGATTTCTTCATATTATGCTAGACAGAAGAATTCTCAGTAACTTCCTTGTGTTGTGTGTATTCAACTGACAGAGTTGAACTTTCATTTAGAGAGAGCAGATTTGAAACACTGTTTTTGTGGAATTTGCAAGTGGAGATTTCAAGCGCTTTGGGGCCAAAGGCAGAAAAGGAAATATCTTGGTATAAAAACTAGACAGAATCATTCTCAGAAAATGCTCTGCGATGTGTGCGTTCAACTCTCAGAGTTTAACTTTTCTTTTCATTCAGCAGTTTGGAAACACTCTGTTTGTAAAGTCTGCACGTGGATAATTTGATCACTTAGAGGCCTTCGTTGGAAACGGCTTTTTTTCATGTAAGGCTAGACAGAAGAATTCCCAGTAACTTCCTTGTGTTGTGTGCATTCAACTCACAGAGTTGAACGTTCCCTTAGACAGAGCAGATTTGAAACACTCTATTTGTCCAATTTGCAAGTGTAGATTTCAAGCGCTTTAAGGTCAACGGCAGAAAAGGAAATATCTTCGTTTCAAAACTAGACAGAATCATTCCCACAAACTGCGTTGTGATGTGTTCGTTCAACTCACAGAGTTTAACCTTTCTTTTCATAGAGCAGTTAGGAAACAGTCTGTTTGTAAATTCTGTAAGTGGATATTCTGACATCTTGTGGCCTTGGTTGGAAACGGGATTTCTTCATATTCTGCTAGACAGAAGAATTCTCAGTAACTTCCTTGTGTTGTGTGTATTCAACTCACAGAGTTGAACTATCCTTTACACAGAGCAGACTTGTAACACTCTTTTTGTGGAATTTGCAAGTGGAGATTTCAGCCGCTTTGAAGTCAAAGTAGAAAAGGAAATATCTTCCTATAAAAACTAGACAGAATGATTCTCATAAACTCCTTTGTGATGTGTGCGTCCAACTCACAGAGTTTAACCTTTCTTTTCATAGAGCAGTTAGGAAACACTCTGTTTGTAAAGTCTGCAAGTGGATATTCAGACCTCCTTGAGGCCTTCGTTGGAAACGGGATTTCTTCATATTCTGCTAGACAGAAGAATTCTCAGTAACTTCCTTGTGTTGTGTGTATTCAACTGACAGAGTTGAACTTTCATTTAGAGAGAGCAGATTTGAAACACTGTTTTTGTGGAATTTGCAAGTGGATATTTCAAGCGCTTTGGGGCCAAAGGCAGAAAACGAAATATCTTCGTATAAAAACTAGACAGAATCATTCTCAGAAACTGCTGCGTGATGTGTGCGTTCAACTCTCAGAGTTTAACTTTTCTTTTCATTCAGCGGTTTGGAAACACTCTGTTTGTAAAGTCTGCACGTGGACATTTTGACCACTTAGAGGTCTTCTTTGGAAACGGGTTTTTTTCATGTAAGGCTAGACAGAAGAATTCCCAGTAACTTCCTTGTGTTGTGTGCATTCAACTCACAGAGTTGAACGTTCCCTTAGACAGAGCAGATTTGAAACACTCTATTTGTGCAATTTGCAAGTGTAGATTTCAAGCGCTTTAAGGTCAATGGCAGAAAAGGAAATATCTTAGTTTCAAAACTAGACAGAATCATTCTCACAAACTGCGTTGTGATGTGTTCGTTCAACTCACAGAGTTTAACCTTTCTTTTCATAGAGCAGTTAGGAAACAGTCTGTTTGTCAATTCTGTAAGTGGATATTCTGACATCTTGTGGCCTTCGTTGGAAACGGGATTTCTTCATATTCTGCTAGACAGAAGAATTCTCAGTAACTTCCTTGTGTTGTGTGTATTCAACTCACAGAGTTGAACGATCCTTTATAGAGAGCAGACTTTAAACACTCTTTTTGTGGAATTTGCAAGTGGAGATTTCAGCCGCTTTGAGGTCAATGGTAGAAAAGGAAATATCTTCGTATAAAGACTAGACAGAATGATTCTCAGAAACTCCTTTGTGATGTGTGCGTTCAACTCACAGAGTTTAACCTTTCTTTTCATAGAGCAGTTAGGAAACACTCTGTTTGTTAAGTCTGCAAGTGGATATTCAGACCTCTTTGAGGCCTTCGTTGGAAACGGGTTTTCTTCATATTATGCTAGACAGAAGAATTCCCAAGTAACTTCCATGTGTTGTGTGTGTTCAACTCACAGAGTTGAACTTTCATTTACACAGAGTAGATTTGAAACACTCTTTTTGTGGAATTTGCAAATGGAGATTTCAAACTCTTTGAGGCCAAAGGCAGAAAAGGAAATATCTTCGTATAAAAACTAGACAGAAATCATTCTCAGAAACTGCTCTGCGATGTGTGCGTTCAACTCTCAGAGTTTAACTTTTCTTTTCATTCAGCAGTTTGGAAACACTCTGTTTGTAAAGTCTGCACGTGGATAACTTGACCACTTAGAGGACTTCGTTGGAAACGGGTTTTTTTCCTGTAAGGCTAGACAGAAGAATTCCCAGTAACTTCCTTGTGTTGTGTACATTCAACTCACAGAGTTGAACGTTCCCTTAGACAGAGCAGATTTGAAACACTCTTTTTGTGCAATTGGCAAATGGAGATTTCAAGCGCTTTAAGTTCAATGGCAGAAAAGGAAATATCTTCGTTTCAAAACTAGACAGAAATCATTCCCACAAACTGCGTTGTGATGTGTTCGTTCAACTCACAGAGTTTAACCTTTCTTTTCATAGAGCAGTTAGGAAACAGTCTGTTTGTCAATTCTGTAAGTGGATATTCTGACATCTTGTGGCCTTCGTTGGAAACGGGATTTCTTCATATTCTGCTAGACAGAAGAATTCTCAGTAACTTCCTTGTGTTGTGTGTATTCAACTCACAGAGTTGAACGATCCTTTACACAGAGCAGACTTGAAACACTCTTTTTGTGGAATTTGCAAGTGGAGATTTCAGCCGATTTGACGTCAATGGTAGAATAGGAAATATCTTCCTATAGAAACTAGACAGAATGATTCTCAGAAACTCCTTTGTGATGTGTGTGTTCAACTCACAGAGTTTAACCTTTCTGTTCATAGAGCAGTTAGGAAACACTCTGTTTGTAAAGTCTGCAAGTGGATATTCAGACCTCCTTGAGGCCTTCGTTGGAAACGGGATTTCTTCATATTCTGCTAGACAGAAGAATTCCCAGTAACTTCCTTGTGTTGTGTGTGTTCAACTCACAGAGTTGAACTTTCATTTACACAGAGCAGATTTGAAACACTCTTTTTGTGGAATTTGCAAATGGAGATTTCAAGCGCTTTGAGGCCAAAGGCAGAAAAGGAAGTATCTTCGTATAAAAACTAGACAGAATCATTCTCAGAAACTGCTCTGCGATGTGTGCGTTCAACTCTCAGAGTTTAACTTTGCTTTTCATTCAGCAGTTTGGAAACACTCTGTTTGTAAAGTCTGCACGTGGATAATTTGACCACTTAGAGGCCTTCGTTGGAAACGGGTTTTTTTCATGTAAGGCTAGACAGAAGAATTCCCAGTAACTTCCTTGTGTTGTGTGCATTCAACTCACGGAGTTGAACGTTCCCTTAGAGCAGATTTGAAACACTCTATTTGTGCAATTTGCAAGTGTAGATTTCAAGCGCTTTAAGGTCAATGGCAGAAAAGGAAATATCTTCGTTTCAAAACTAGACAGAATCATTCCCACAAACTGCGTTGTGATGTGTTCGTTCAACTCACAGAGTTTAACCTTTCTGTTCATAGAGCAGTTAGGAAACACTCTGTTTGTAAAGTCTGCAAGTGGATATTCAGACCTCCTAGAGGCCTTCGTTGGAAACGGGATTTCTCCATATTCTGCTAGACAGAATAATTCTCAGTAACTTCCTTGTGTTGTGTGTATTCAACTCACAGAGTTGAACGATCCTTTACACAGAGCAGACTTGAAACACTCTTTTTGTGGAATTTGCAAGTGGAGATTTCAGCCGCTTTGAGGTCAATGGTAGAAAAGGAAACTATCTTCGTATAAAGACAAGACAGAATGATTCTGAGAAACTCCTTTGTGATGTGTGCGTTCAACTCACAGAGTTTAACCTTTCTTTTCATAGAGCAGTTAGGAAACACTCTGTTTGTAAAGTCTGCAAGTGGATATTCAGACCTCCTTGAGGCCTTCGTTGGAAACGGGATTTCTTCCTATTATGCTAGACAGAAGAATTCTCAGTAACTTCCTTGTGTTGTGTGTATTCAACTCACAGAGTTGAATGATCCTTTACACAGAGCAGACTTGAAACACTCTTTTTGTGGAATTTGCAAGTGGAGATTTCAGCCGTTTTGAGTTCAATGGTAGAATAGGAAATATCTTCCTATAGAAACTAGACAGAATCATTCTCAGAAACTGCTCTGCGATGTGTGCGTTCAACTCTCAGAGTTTAACTTTTCTTTTCATTCAGCAGTTTGGAAACACTCTGTTTGTAAAGTCTGCACGTGGATAATTTGACCACTTAGAGACCTTCGTTGGAAACGGGTTTTTTTCATGTAAGGCTAGACAGAAGAATTCTCAGTAACTTCCTTGTGTTGTGTGTATTCAACTCACAGAGTTGAACGATCCTTTACACAGAGCAGACTTGAAACACTCTTTTTGTGGAATTTCCAAGTGGAGATTTCAGCCGCTATGTGGTCAATGGTAGAATAGCAAATATCTTCCTATAGAAACTAGACAGAATGATTCTCAGAAACTCCTTTGTGATGTGTGCGTTCAACTCACAGATTTTAACCGTTCTTTTCATAGAGCAGTTAGGAAACACTCTGTTTGTAAAGTCTGCAAGTGGATATTCAGACCTCTTTGAGGCCTTCGTTGGAAATGGGATTTCTTCATATTCTGCTAGACAGAAGAATTCTCAGTAACTTCCTTGTGTTGTGTGCATTCAACTCACAGAGTTGAACGATCCTTTACACAGAGCAGACTTGAAACACTCTTTTCGTGGAATTTGCAAGTGGAGATTTCTGCCGCTTTGAGGTCAATTGTAGAATAGGAAATATCTTCCTGTAGAAACTAGACAGAATGATTCTCAGAAACTCCTTTGTGATGTGTGCGTTCAACTCACAGACTTTAACCTTTCTTTTCATAGAGCAGTTAGGAAACACTCTGTTTGTAAAGTCTGCAAGTGGATATTCAGACCTCTTTGAGGCCTTCGTTGGAAACGGGTTTTTTTCATATAAGGCTAGACAGAAAGAATTCCCAGTAACTTCCTTGTGTTGTGTGTGTTCAACTCACAGAGTTGAGCTTTCATTTACACAGAGCAGATTTGAAACACTCTTTTTGTGGAATTTGCAAGTGGAGATTTCAAGCGCTTTGAGGCCAAAGGCAGAAAAGGAAATATCTTCGTATAAAAACTAGACAGAATCATTCTCAGAAACTGCTCTGCGATGTGTGCGTTCAACTCTCAGAGTTTAACTTTTGTTTTCATTCAGCAGTTTGGAAACACTCTGTTTGTAAAGTCTGCACGTGGATAATTTGACCACTTAGAGGCCTTCGTTGGAAACGGGTTTTTTTCATGTAAGGCTAGACAGAAGAATTCTCAGTAACTTCCTTGTGTTGTGTGTATTCAACTGACAGAGTTGAACTTTCATTTAGAGAGAGCAGATTTGAAACACTGTTTTTGTGGAATTTGCAATTGGAGATTTCAAGCACTTTGGGGCCAAAGGCAGAAAAGGAAATATCTTCGTTTCAAAACTAGACAGAATCATTCCCACAAACTGCGTTGTGATGTGTTTGTTCAACTCACACAGTTTAACCTTTCTGTTCATAGAGCAGTTAGGAAACACTCTGTTTGTAAAGTCTGCAAGTGGATATTCAGACCTCCGTGAGGCCTTCGTTGGAAACGGGATTTCTTCATATTCTGCTAGACAGAAGAATTCTCAGTAACTTCCTTGTGTTGTGTGTATTCAACTCACAGAGTTGAACGATCCTTTACACAGAGCAGACTTGAAACACTCTTTTTGTGGAATTTGCAAGTGCAGATTTCAGCCGCTTTGAGGTCAATGGTAGAATAGGAAATATCTTCCTATAGAAACTAGACAGAATGATTCTCAGAAACTCCTTTGTGATGTGTGCGTTCAACTCACAGAGTTTAACCTTTCTTTTCATAGAGCAGTTAGGAAACACTCTGTTTGTAAAGTCTGTAAGTGGATATTCAGACATCCTTGAGGCTTTCGTTGGAAACGGGATTTCTTCATATTCTGCTAGAAAGAAGAATTCTCAGTAACTTCCTTGTGTTGTGTGTATTCAACTCACAGAGTTGAATGATCCTTTACACAGAACAGTCTTGAAACACTCTTTTTGTGGAATTTGCAAGTGGAGATTTCAGCCGCTTTGAGGTCAACGGTAGAATAGGAAATATCTTCCTATAGAAACTAGACAGAATCATTCTCAGAAACTGCTCTGCGATGTGTGCGTTCAACTCTCAGAGTTTAACTTTTCTTTTCATTCAGCAGTTTGGAAACACTCTGTTTGTAAAGTCTGCACGTGGATATTTTGACCACTTAGAGGCTCTTCGTTGGAAACGGGTTTTTTTCCTGTAAGGCTAGACAGTAGAATTCCCAGTAACTTCCTTGTGTTGTGTACATTCAACTCACAGAGTTGAACGTTCCCTTAGACAGAGCAGATGTGAAACACTCTTTTTGTGCAATTGGCAAGTGGAGATTTCAAGCGCTTTAAGGTCAATGGCAGAAAAGGAAATATCTTCGTTTCAAAACTAGACAGAATCATTCCCACAAACTGCGTTGTGATGTGTTCGTTCAACTCACCAGAGTTTAACCTTTCTTTTCATAGAGCAGTTAGGAAACACTCTGTTTGTAAATTCT
Organism: Homo sapiens; assembly: GCF_000001405.40. Taxonomy (NCBI): domain Eukaryota; kingdom Metazoa; phylum Chordata; class Mammalia; order Primates; family Hominidae; genus Homo; species Homo sapiens. The sequence goes on from NC_000005.10 coordinate 48,481,321, forward strand.
GTAAGTGGATATTCTGACATCTTGTGGCCTTCGTTGGAAACGGGATTTCTTCATATTCTGCTAGACAGAAGAATTCTCGGAATCTTCCTTGTGTTGTGTGTATTCAACTCACAGAATTGAACGATGGTTTACACAGAGCAGATTTGAAACACTCTTTTTGTGGAATTTGCAAGTGGAGATTTCAGCCGCTTTGAGGTCAATGGTAGAAAAGGAAATATCTTCGTATAAAAACTAGACAGAATGATTCTCAGAAACTTCTTTGTGATGTGTGCGTTCCACTCACAGAGTTTAACCTTTCTTTTCATAGAGCAGTTAGGAAACACTCTGTTTGTAAACTCTGCAAGTGGATATTCAGACCTCTTTGAGGCCTTCGTTGCAAACGGGATTTCTTCATATTATGCCTGAGAGAAGAATTCTCAGTAACTTCCTTGTGTTGTGTGTATTCAACTGACAGAGTTGAACTTTCATTTAGAGAGAGCAGATTTGAAACACTGTTTTTGTGGAATTTGCAAGTGGAGATTTCAAGCGCTATGGGGCCAAAGGCAGAAAAGGAAATATCTTTGTATAAAAACTAGACAGAATCATTCTCAGAAACTGCTCTGCGATGTGTGTGTTCAACTCTCACAGTTTAACTTTTCTTTTCATTCAGCAGTTTGGAAACACTCTGTTTGTAAAGTCTGCACGTGGATAATTTGACCACTTAGAGGCCTTCGTTGGAAACGGGTTTTTTTCATGTAAGGCTAGACAGAAGAATTCCCAGTAACTTCCTTGTGTTGTGTACATTCAACTCACAGAGTTGAACGTTCCCTTAGACAGAGCAGATTTGAAACACTCTTTTTGTGAAATTGGCAAGTGGTGATTTCAAGCGCTTTAAGGTCAATGGCAGAAAAGGAAATATCTTCGTTTCAAAACTAGACAGAATCATTCCCACAAACTGCGTTGTGAGGTGTTCGTTCAACTCACAGAGTTTAACCTTTCTTTTCATAGAGCAGTTAGGAAACAGTCTGTTTGTAAATTCTGTAAGTGGATATTCTGACATCTTGTGGCCTTAGTTGGAAACGGGATTTCTTCATATTCTGCTAGACAGAAGAATTCTCAGTAACTTTCCTTGTGTTGTGTGTATTCAACTCACAGAGTTGAACGATCCTTTACACAGAGCAGACTTGTAACACTCTTTTTGTGGAATTCGCAAGTGGAGATTTCAGCAGCTTTGAAGTCAAAGGTAGAAAAGGAAATATCTTCCTATAAAAACTAGACAGAATGATTCTCAGAAACTTCTTTGTGATGTGTGCGTTCAACTCACAGAATTTAACCTTTCTTTTCATAGAGCAGTTAGGAAACACTCTGTTTGTAAACTCTGCAAGTGGATATTCAGACCTGTTTGAGGCCTTCGTTGGAAACGGGATTTCTTCATACTATGCTAGACAGAAGAATTCTCAGTAACTTCCTTGTGTTGTGTGTATTCAACTCACAGAGTTGAACGATCCTTTACACAGAGCAGACTTGTAACACTCTTTTTGTGGAATTTGCAAGTGGAGATTTCAGCCGCTTTGACGTCAAAGGTAGAAAAGGAAATATCTTCCTATACAAACTAGACAGAATCATTCTCAGAAACTGATCTGTGATGTTTGCGTTCAACTCTCAGAGTTTAACTTTTCTTTTCATTCAGCAGTTTGGAAACACTCTGTTTGTGAAGTCTGCACGTGGATAATTTGACCACTTTGAGGCCTTCGTTGGAAACGGGTTTTTTTCCTGTAAGGCTAGACAGAAGAATTCTCAGAAACTTCCTTGTGTTGTGTGTTTTCAAATCACAGAGTTGAACGATGCTTTACACAGAGTAGACTTGAAACACTCTTTTTGTGTAATTTGCAAGTGGAGATTTCAGCCGCTTTGAGGTCAATGGTAGAAAAGGAAATATCTTCGTATAAAAATTAGACAGAATGATTCTCAGAAACTCCTTTGTGATGTGTGCGTTCAACTCACAGAGTTTAACCTTTCTTTTCATAGAGTAGTTAGGAAACACTCTGTTTGTAAAGTCTGCAAGTGGATATTCAGACCTCCTTGAGACCTTCGTTGGAAACGGGATTTCTTCATATTATGCTAGACAGAAGAATTCTCAGTAACTTCCTTGTGTTGTGTGTATTCAACTCACAGAGTTGAACGATCCTTTACACAGAGCAGACTTGAAACACTCTTTTTGTGGAATTTGCAAGTGGAGATTTCAGCCGCTTTGAGGTCAACGGTAGAATAGGAAATATCTTCCTATAGAAACTAGACAGAGTGATTCTCATAAACTCCTTTGTGATGTGTGCGTTCAACTCACAGAGTTTAACCTTTCTTTTCATAGAGCAGTTAGGAAACACTCTGTTTGTAAAGTCTGCAAGTGGATATTCAGACCTCCTTGAGGCCTTCTTTGGAAACGGGATTTCTTCATATTCTGATAGACAGAAGAATTCTCAGAAACTTCCTTGTGTTGTGTGTTTTCAACTCACAGAGATGAACGATCCTTTACACAGAGCAGACTTGAAACACTCCTTTTGTGGAATTTGCAAGTGGAGATTTCAGCCGCTTTGAGTTCAATGGTAGAATAGGAAATATCTTCCTATAGAAAGTAGACAGAATGATTCTCAGAAACTCCTTTGTGATGTGTACGTTCAACTCACAGAGTTTAACCTTTCTTTTCATAGAGCAGTTAGGAAACACTCTGTTTGTAAAGTCTGCATGTGGATATTGAGACCTCTTTGAGGCCTTCGTTGGAAACGGGTTTTTTTCATATAAGGCTAGACAGAAGAATTCCCAGTAACTTCCTTGTGTTGTGTGTGTTCAACTTACAGAGTTGAACTTTCATTTACACAGAGCAGATTTGAAACACTCTTTTTGTGGAATTTGTAAGTGGAGATTTCAAGCGCTTTGAGGCCAAAGGCAGAAAAGGAAATATCTTCGTATAAAAACTAGACAGAATCATTCTCAGAAACTGCTGTGTGATGTGTGCGTTCAACTCTCAGAGTTTAACTTTTCTTTTCATTCAGCGGTTTGGAAACACTCTGTTTGTAAAGTCTGCACGTGGATATTTTGACCACTTAGAGGCCTTCGTTGGAAACGGGTTTTTTTCATGTAAGGCTAGACAGAAGAATTCCCAGTAACTTCCTTGTGTTGTGTGCATTCAACTCACAGAGTTGAACGTTCCCTTAGACACAGCAGATTTGAAACACTCTATTTGTGCAATTTGCAAGTGTAGATTTCAAGCGCTTTAAGGTCAATGGCAGAAAAGGAAATATCTTCGTTTCAATACTAGACAGAATCATTCCCACAAACTGCGTTGTGATGTGTTCGTTCAACTCACAGAGTTTAACCTTTCTTTTCATAGAGCAGTTAGGAAACACTCTGTTGGTAAATTCTGTAAGTGGATATTCTGACATCCTTGTGGCCTTCAGTGGAAACGGGATTTCTTCATATTCTGCTAGACAGAAGAATTCTCAGAATCTTCCTTGTGTTGTGTGTATTCAACTCACACAGTTGAACGATTGTTTACACAGAGCAGATTTGAAACACTCTTTCTCTGGAATTTGCAAGTGGAGATTTCAGCCGCTTTGAGGTCCATGGTAGAAAAGGAAATATCTTCGTATAACAACTAGACAGAATGATTCTCAGAAACTCCTTTGTGATGTGTGCGTTCAACTCACAGAGTTTAACCTTTCTATTCATAGAGCAGTTAGGAAACACTCTGTTTGTAAAGTCTGCAAGTGGATATTCAGACCTCTTTGAGGCCTTCGTTGGAAACGGGTTTTTTTCATATAAGGCTAGACAGAAGAATTCCCAGTAACTTCCTTGTGTTGTGTGTGTTCAACTCACAGAGTTGAACTTTGATTTACACAGAGCAGATTTGAAACACTCTTTTTGTGGACTTTGCAAGTGGAGATTTCAAGCGCTTTGAGGCCAAAGGCAGAAAAGGAAATATCTTCGTTTCAAAACTAGACAGAATCATTCTCAGAAACTGCTCTGCGATGTGTGCGTTCAACTCTCAGAGTTTAACTTTTCTTTTCATTCAGCAGTTTGGAAACACTCTGTTTGTAAAGTCTGCACGTGGATATTTTGACCACTTAGAGGCCTTCGTTGGAAACGGGTTTTTTCCTGTAAGGCTAGACAGAAGAATTCCCAGTAACTTCCTTGTGTTGTGTACATTCAACTCACAGAGTTGAACGTTCCCTTAGACAGAGCAGATTTGAAACACTCTATTTGTGCAATTGGCAAGTGGAGATTTCAAGCGCTTTAAGGTCAATGGCAGAAAAGGAAATATCTTCGTTTCAAAACTAGACAGAATCATTCCCACAAACTGCGTTGTGATGTGTTCGTTCAACTCACAGAGTTTAACCTTTCTTTTCATAGAGCAGTTAGGAAACACTCTGTTGGTAAATTCTGTAAGTGGATATTCTGACATCTTGTGGCCTTCGTTGGAAACAGGATTTCTTCATATTCTGCTACACAGAAGAATTCTCAGTAACTTCCTTGTGTTGTGTGTATTCAACTCACAGAGTTGAACGATCCTTTACACAGAGCAGACTTGGAACACTCTTTTTGTGGAATTTGCAAGTGGAGATTTCAGCCGCTTTGAGGTCCATGGTAGAAAAGGAAATATCTTCGTATAAAAACTAGACAGAATGATTCTCAGAAACTCCTTTGTGATGTGTGCGTTCAACTCACAGAGTCTAACCTTTCTTTTCATAGAGCAGTTAGGAAACACTCTGTTTGTAAAGTCTGCAAGTGGATATTCAGACATCTTTGAGGCTTTCGTTGGAAACGGGATTTCTTCATATTCTGCTAGACAGAAGAATTCTCAGTAACTTCCTTGTGTTGTGCGTATTCAACTGACAGAGTTGAACTTTCATTTAGAGAGAGCAGATTTGAAACACTGTTTTTGTGGAATTTGCAAGTGGAGATTTCAAGCGCTTTGGGGCCAAAGGCAGAAAACGAAATATCTTCGTATAAAAACTAGACAGAAATCATTCTCAGAAAACTGCTGCGTGATGTGTGCGTTCAACTCTCAGAGTTTAACTTTTCTTTTCATTCAGCGGTTTGGAAACACTCTGTTTGTAAAGTCTGCACGTGGATATTTTGACCACTTAGAGGCCTTCGTTGGAAACGGGTTTTTTTCATGTAAGGCTAGACAGAAGAATTCCCAGTAACTTCCTTGTGTTGTGTACATTCAACTCACAGAGTTGAACGTTCCCTTAGACAGAGCAGATTTGAAACACTCTTTTTGTGCAATTGGCAAGTGGAGATTTCAAGCGCTTTGAGGTCAATGGCAGAAAAGGAAATATCTTCGTTTCAAAACTAGACAGAATCATTCCCAAAAATTGCGTTGTGATGTGTTCGTTAAACTCACAGAGTTTAACCTTTCTGTTCATAGAGCAGTTAGGAAACACTCTGTTTGTAAAGTCTGTAAGTGGAAATTCTGACATCTTGTGGCCTTCGTTGGAAACGGGATTTCTTCATATTATGCTAGACAGAAGAATTCTCAGAAACTTCCTTGTGTTGTGTGTTTTCAACTCACAGAGTTGAACGATCCTTTACACAGAGCAGACTTGAAACACTCCTTTTGTGGAATTTGCAAGTGGAGATTTCAGCCGCTTTGAGGTCAATGGTAGAAAAGGAAATATCTTCGTATAAAAACTAGACAGAATGATTCTCATAATCTCCTTTGTGATGTGTCCGTTCAACTCACAGAGTTTAACCTTCCTTTTCATAGAGCAGTTAGGAAACACTCTGTTTGTAAAGTCTGCAAGTGGATATTCAGACCTCCTTGAGGCCTTCGTTGGAAACGGGATTTCTTCATATTCTGCTAGACAGAAGAATTCCCAGTAACTTCCTTGAGTTGTGTGTGGTCAACTCACAGAGTTGAACTTTCATTTACACAGAGCAGATTTGAAACACTCTTTTTGTATAATTTGCAAATGGAGATTTCAAGCGCTTTGAGGCCAAAGGCAGAAAAGGAAATATCTTCTTATAAAAACTAGACAGAATCATTCTCAGAAACTGCTCTGCGATGTGTGCGTTCAACTCTCAGAGTTTAACTTTTCTTTTCATTCAGCAGTTTGGAAACACTCTGTTTGTAAAGTCTGCACGTGGATATTTTGACCACTTAGAGGCCTTCGTTGGAAACGAGTATTTTTTCCTGTAAGGCTAGACAGAAGAATTCCCAGTAACTTCCTTGTGTTGTGTACATTCAACTCACAGAGTTGAACGTTCCCTTAGACAGAGCAGATTTGAAAGACTCTTTTTCTGCAATTGGCAAATGGAGATTTCAAGCGCTTTAAGGTCAATGGCAGAAAAGGAAATATCTTCGTTTCAAAACTAGACAGAATGATTCTCATAAACTCCTTTGTGATGTGTGCGTTCAACTCACAGAGTTTAACTTTTCTTTTCATAGAGCAGTTAGGAAACACTCTGTTTGTAATGTCTGCAAGTGGATATTCAGACCTCCTTGAGGCCTTCGTTGGAAACGGGATTTCTTCATATTCTGCTAGACAGAAGAATTCTCAGTAACATCCTTGTGTTGTGTGTATTCAACTCACAGAGTTGAACGATCCTTTACACAGAGCAGACTTGAAACACTCTTTTTGTTGAATTTGCAAGTGGAGATTTCAGCCGCTTTGAGGTCAATGGTAGAAAAGGAAATATCTTCGTATAAAAACTAGACAGAATGATTCTCAGAAACTCCTTTGTGATGTGTGCGTTCATCTCACAGAGTTTAACTTTTCTTTTCATAGAGCCGTTAGGAAACACTCTGTTTGTAAAGTCTGCAAGTGGATATTCAGACCTCTTTGAGGCCTTCGTTGGAAACGGGATTTCTTCATATTATGCTAGACAGAAGAATTCCCAGTAACTTCCATGTGTTGTGTGTGTTCAACTCACAGAGTTGAACTTTCATTTACACAGAGCAGATTTGAAACACTCTTTTTGTGGAATTTGCAAATGGAGATTTCAAGCGGTTTGAGGCCAAAGGCAGAAAAGGAAATATCTTCGTATAAAAACTAGACAGAATCATTCTCAGAAACTGCTGCGTGATGTGTGCGTTCAACTCTCAGAGTTTAACTTTTCTTTTCATTCAGCGGTTTGGAAACACTCTGTTTGTAAAGTCTGCACGTGGATATTTTGACCACTTAGAGGCCTTCGTTGGAAACGGGTTTTTTCATGTAAGGCTAGACAGAAGAATTCCCAGTAACTTCCTTGTGTTGTGTGCATTCAACTCACAGAGTTGAACGTTCCCTTAGACAGAGCAGATTTGAAACACTCTATTTGTGCAATTTCCAAGTGTAGATTTCAAGCGCTTTAAGGTCAACGGCAGAAAAGGAAATATCTTCGTTTCAAAACTAGACAGAATCATTCCCACAAACTGCGTTGTGATGTGTTCGTTCAACTCACAGAGTTTAACCTTTGTGTTCATAGAGCAGTTAGGAAACACTCTGTTTGTAAAGTCTGTAAGTGGATATACTGACATCTTGTGGCCTTCGTTGGAAACCGGATTTCTTCATATTCTGCTAGACAGAAGAATTCTCAGTAACTTCCTTGTGTTGTGTGTATTAAACTCACAGGGTTGAACGATCCTTTAAACAGAGCAGACTTGAAACACTCTTTTTGTGGAATTTGCAAGTGGAGATTTCAGCCGCTTTGAGGTCAATGGTAGAAAAGGAAAGTATCTTCGTATAAAGACTAGACAGAATGATTCTCAGAAACTCCTTTGTGATGTGTGTGTTCAACTCACAGAGTTTAACCTTTCTTTTCATAGAGCAGTTAGGAAACACTCTGTTTGTAAAGTCTGCAAGTGGATATTCAGACCTCTTTGAGGCCTTCGTTGGAAACGGGTTTTTTTCATATGAGGCTAGACAGAAGAATTCCCAGTAACTTCCTTGTGTTGTGTGTGTTCAACTCACAGAGTTGAACTTTCATTTACACAGAGCAGATTGGAAACACTCTTTTTGTGAAATTTGCAAGTGGAGATTTCAAGTGCTTTGAGGCCAAAGGCAGAAAAGGAAATATCTTCGTATAAAAACTAGACAGAATCATTCTCAGAAACTGCTCTGCGATGTGTGCTGTTCAACTCTCAGAGTTTAACTTTTCTTTTCATTCAGCAGTTTGGAAACACTCTGTTTGTAAAGTCTGCACGTGGATATTTTGACCACTTAGAGGCCTTCGTTGGAAACGGGTTTTTTTCCTGTAAGGCTAGACAGAAGAATTCCCAGTAACTTCCTTGTGTTGTGTACATTCAACTCACAGAGTTGAACGTTCCCTTAGACAGAGCAGATTTGAAACACTCTTTTTGTGCAATTGGCAAGTGGTGATTTCAGCCGCTTTGAGGTCAATGGTAGAAAAGGAAATATCTTCGTATAAAAACTAGACAGAATCATTCCCACAAACTGCGTTGTGATGTGTTCGTTCAACTCACAGAGTTTAACCTTTGTGTTCTTAGAGCAGATAGGAAACACTCTGTTTGTAAAGTCTGTAAGTGGATATTCTGACATCCTGTGGCCTTCGTTGGAAACGGGATTTCTTCATATTCTGCTAGACAGAAGAATTCTCAGTAACTTCCTTATGTTGTGTGTATTCAACTCACAGAGTTGAACTATCCTTTACACAGAGCAGACTTGAAACACTCTTTTTGTGGAATTTGCAAGTGGAGATTTCAGCCGCTTTGAGGTCAATGGTAGAATAGGAAATATCTTCCTATAGAAACTAGACAGAATGATTCTCAGAAACTCCTTTGTGATGTGTGCGTTCAACTCACAGAGTTTAACCTTTCTTTTCATAGAGCAGTTAGGAATCACTCTGCTTGTAAAGTCTGCAAGTGGATATTCAGCCCTCTTTGAGGCCTTCGTTGGAAACGGGTTTTTTTCATATAAGGCTAGACAGAAGAATTCCCAGTAACTTCCTTGTGTTGTGTGTGTTCAACTCACAGAGTTGAACTTTCATTTAAACAGAGCAGATTTGAAACACTCTTTTTGTGGAATTTGCAAGTGGAGATTTCAAGCGCTTTGAGGCCAAAGGTAGAAAAGGAAATATCTTCGTTTCAAAACTAGACAGAATCATTCTCAGTAAACTGCTCTGCGATGTGTGCGTTCAACTCTCAGAGTTTAACTTTGCTTTTCATTCAGCAGTTTGGAAACACTCTGTTTGTAAAGTCTGCACGTGGATAATTTGACCACTTAGAGGCCTTCGTTGGAAACGGGTTTTTTTCATGTAAGGCTAGACAGAAGAATTCCCAGTAACTTCCTTGTGTTGTGTGCATTCAACTCACAGAGTTGAACGTTCCCTTAGACAGAGCAGATTTGAAACTCTCTATTTGTGCAATTTGCAAGTGTAGATTTCAAGCGCTTTAAGGTCAATGGCAGAAAAGGAAATATCTTCGTTTCAAAACTAGACAGAATCATTCCCACAAACTGCGTTGTGATGTGTTCGTTCAACTCACAGAGTTTAACATTTCTGTTCATAGAGCAGTTAGGAAACACTCTGTTTGTAAAGTCTGCAAGTGGATATTCAGACCTCCTTGAGGCCTTCGTTGGAAACGGGATTTCTTCATATTCTGCTAGACAGAAGAATTCTCAGTAACTTCCTTGTGTTGTGTGTATTCAACTCACAGAGTTGAACGATCCTTTACACTGAGCAGACTTGAAACATTCTTTTTGTGGAATTTGCAAGTGGAGATTTCAGCCGCTTTGTGGTCAATGGTAGAATAGGAAATATCTTCCTATAGAAACTAGTCAGAATGATTCTCAGAAACTCCTTTGTGATGTGTGCGTTCAACTCACAGAGTTTAACCTTTCTTTTCATAGAGCAGTTAGTAAACACTCTGTTTGGAAAGTCTGCAAGTGGATATTCAGACCTCTTTGAGGCCTTCGTTGGAAACGGGATTTCTTCATATTCTGCTAGACAGAAGAATTCCCAGTAACTTTCTTGTGTTGTGTGTGTTCAACTCACAGGGTTGAACTTTCATTTACACAGAGCAGATTTGAAACACTCTTTTTGTGGAATTTGCAAATGGAGATTTCAAGCGCTTTGAGGCCAAAGGCAGAAAAGGAAATATCTTCGTATAAAAACTAGACAGAATCATTCTCAGAAACTGCTGCGTGATGTGTGCGTTCAACTCTCAGAGTTTAACTTTTCTTTTCATTCAGCGGTTTGGAAACACTCTGTTTGTAAAGTCTGCACGTGGATATTTTGACCTCTTAGAGGCCTTCGTTGGAAACGGGTTTTTTTTCATGTAAGGCTAGACAGAAGAATTCTCAGTAACTTCCTTGTGTTGTGTGTATTCAACTGACAGAGTTGAACTTTCATTTAGAGAGAGCAGATTTGAAACACTCTATTTGTGCAATTTGCAAGTGTAGATTTCAAGCGCTTTAAGGTCAATGGCAGAAAAGGAAATATCTTCGTTTTAAAACTAGACAGAATCATTCCCACAAACTGCGTTGTGATGTGTTCGTTCAACTCACAGAGTTTAACCTTTCTGTTCATAGAGCACTTAGGAAACACTCTGTTTGTAAAGTCTGTAAGTGGATATTCTGACATCTTGTGGCCTTCGTTGGAAACGGGATTTCTTCATATTCTGCTAGACAGAAGAATTCTCAGAAACTTCCTTGTGTTGTGTGTATTCAACTCACAGAGTTGAACGATCGTTTACACAGAGCAGACTTGAAACACTCTTGTTGTGGAATTTGCAAGTGGAGATTTCAGCCGCTTTGAGGTCAATGGTAGAATAGTAAATATCTTCCTAAAGAAACTAGACAGAATGATTCTCAGAAACTCCTTTGTGATGTGTGTGTTCAACTCACAGAGTTTAACCTTTCTTTTCATAGAGCAGTTAGTAAACACTCTGTTTATAAAGTCTGCAAGTGGATATTCAGACCCCTTTGAGGCCTTCGTTGGAAACGGGATTTCTTCATATTTTGCTAGACAGAAGAATTCTCAGTAACTTGCTTTTGTTGTGTGTATTCAACTGACAGAGTTGAACTTTCATTTAGACAGAGCAGAATTGAAACACTCTTTTTCTGGAATTTGCAAGTGGAGATTTCAAGCGCTTTGAGGCCAAAGGCAGAAAAGGATATATCTTCGTATAAAAACTAGACAGAATCATTCTCAGAAACTGCTCTGCGATGTATGCGTTCAACTCTCAGAGTTTAACTTTTCTTTTCATTCAGCAGTTTAGAAACACTCTGTTTGTAAAGTCTGCACGTGGATATTTTGACCACTTAGAGGCCTTCGTTGGAAACGGGTTTTTTTCATGTAAGGCTAGACAGAAGAATTCTCAGTAACTTCCTTGTGTTGTGTGTATTCAACTCACAGAGTTGAACGATCCTTTACACAGAGCAGACTTGAAACACTCTTTTTGTGGAATTTGCAAGTGGAGATGTCAGCCGCTTTGTGGTCAATGGTAGAATAGGAAATATCTTCCTATAGAAACTAGACAGAATGATTCTCAGAAACTCCTTTGTGATGTGTGCATTCAACTTACAGAGTTCAACCTTTCTTTTCATAGAGCAGTTGGGAAACACTCTGTTTGTAAAGTCTGCAAGTGGATATTCGGACTTATTTGAGGCCTTCGTTGGAAGCGGGATTTCTTCATATTCTGCTAGACAGAAGAATTCTCAGTAACTTCCTTGTGTTGTGTGTATTCAACTCACAGAGTTGAACGATCCTTTACACAGAGCAGACTTGAAACACTCTTTTTGTGGAATTTGCAAGTGGAGATTTCAGCCGCTTTGAGGTCAATGGTAGAATAGGAAATATCTTCCTATAGGAAACTAGACAGAATGATTCTCAGAAACTCCTTTGTGATGTGTGCGTTCAACTCACAGAGTTCAACCTTTCTTTTCATAGAGCAGTTGGGAAACACTCTGTTTGTAAAGTCTGCAAGTGGATATTCAGACATCCTTGAGGCTTTCGTTGGAAACGGGATTTCTTCATATTATGCTAGAAAGAAGAATTCTCAGTAACTTCCTTGTGTTGTGTGTATTCAACTGACAGAGTTGAACTTTCATTTAGAGAGAGCAGATTTGAAACACTGATTTGTGAAATTTGCAAGTGGAGATTTCAAGCGCTTTGGGGCCAAAGGCAGAAAAGGAAATATCTTCGTATAAAAACTAGACAGAATCATTCTCAGAAGCTGCTGCGTGATGTGTGCGTTCAACTCTCAGAGTTTAACTTTTCTTTTCATTCAGCGGTTTGGAAACACTCTGTTTGTAAAGTCTGCACGTGGATATTTTGACCACTTAGAGGCCTTCGTTGGAAACGGGTTTTTTTCATGTAAGGCTAGACAGAAGAATTCCCAGTAACTTCCTTGTGTTGTGTGCATTCAACTCACAGAGTTGAACGTTCCCTTAGACAGAGCAGATTTGAAACACTCTATTTGTGAAATTTCCAAGTGTAGATTTCAAGCGCTTTAAGGTCAACGGCAGAAAAGGAAATATCTTCGTTTCAAAACTAGACAGAATGATTCTCAGAAACTCCTTTGTGATGTGTGCGTTCAACTCACAGAGTTTAACCTTTCTTTTCATAGAGCAGTTAGGAAACACTCTGTTTGTAAAGTCTGCAAGTGGATATTCAGACCTCTTTGAGGCCTTCTTTGGAAACGGGATTTCTTCATATTCTGCTAGAGAGAAGAATTCTCAGTAACTTCATTGTGTTGTGTGTATTCAACTCACAGATTTCAACGATCCTTTACACAGAGCAGACTTGAAACACTCTTTTTCTGGAATTTGCAAGTGTAGATTTCAGCCGCTTTGAGGTCAATGGTAGAATAGGAAATATCTTCCTATAGAAACTAGACAGAATGATTCTCAGAAACTCCTTTGTGATGTGTGCGTTCAACTCACAGAGTTCAACCTTTCTTTTCATAGAGCAGTTAGGAAACACTCTGTTTGTAAAGTCTGCAAGTGGATATTCAGACATCCTTGAGGCTTTCGTTGGAAACGGGATTTCTTCATATTATGCTAGAAAGAAGAATTCTCAGTAACTTCTTTGTGTTGTGTGTATTCAACTGACAGATTTGAACTTTCATTTAGAGAGAGCAGATTTGAAACACTGTTTTTGTGGAATTTGCAAGTGGAGATTTCAAGCGCTTTGGGGCCAAAGTCAGAAAAGGAAATATCTTCGTATAAAAACTAGACAGAATCATTCTCAGAAACTGCTGCGTATTGTGTGCGTTCAACTCTCAGAGTTTAACTTTTCTTTTCATTCAGCGGTTTGGAAACACTCTGTTTGTAAAGTCTGCACGTGGATATTTTGACCACTTAGAGGCCTTCGTTGGAAACGGGATTTTTTCATGTAAGGCTAGACAGAAGAATTCCCAGTAACTTCCTTGTGTTGTGTGCATTCACCTCACAGAGTTGAACGTTCCCTTAGACAGAGCAGATTTGAAACACTCTATTTGTGCAATTTGCAAGTGTAGATTTCAAGCGCTTTAAGGTCAATGGCAGAAAAGGAAATATCTTCGTTTCAAAACTAGACAGAATGATTCTCAGAAACTCCTTTGTGATGTGTGCGTTCAACTCACAGAGTTCAACCTTTCTTTTCATAGAGCAGTTGGGAAACACTCTGTTTGTAAAGTCTGCAAGTGGATATTCAGACTTCTTTGAGGCCTTCGTTGGAAGCGGGATTTCTTCATATTCTGCTAGACAAAAGAATTCTCAGTAACTTCCTAGTGTTGTGTGTATTCAACTCACAGAGTTGAACGATCCTTTACACAGAGCAGACTTGAAACACTCTTTTTGTGGAATTTGCAAGTGGAGATTTCAGCCGCTTTGAGGTCAATGGTAGAATAGGAAATATCTTCGTATAGAAACTAGACAGAATGACTCTCATAAACTCCTTTGTGATGTGTGCGTTCAACTCACAGAGTTTAACCTTTCTTTTCATAGAGCAGTTAGGAAACACTCTGTTTGTAAAGTCTGCAAGTGGATATTCAGACCTCCTTGAGGCCTTCATTGGAAACGGGATTTCTTCATATTCTGCTAGACAGAAGAATTCCCAGTAACTTCCTTGTGTTGTGTGTGTTCAACTCACAGAGTTGAACTTTCATTTACCCAGAGCAGATTTGAAACACTCTTTTTGTGGAATTTGCAAGTGGAGATTTCAAGCGCTTTGAGGCCAAAGGCAGAAAAGGAAATATCTCCGTTTCAAAACTAGACAGAATCATTCTCAGAAACTGCTCTGCGATGTGTGCGTTCAACTCTCAGAGTTTAACTTTTGTTTTCATTCGGCAGTTTGGAAACACTCTGTTTGTAAAGTCTGCACGTGGATAATTTGACCACTTAGAGGCCTTCGTTGGAAACGGGTTTTTTTCATGTAAGGCTAGACAGAAGAATTCTCAGTAACTTCCTTGTGTTGTGTGTATTCAACTCACACAGTTGAACGATCCTTTACAGAGAGCAGACTTGTAACACTCTTTTTGTGGAATTTGCAAGTGGAGATTTCAGCCGCTTTGAAGTCAAAGTAGAAAAGGAAATATCTTCCTATAAAAACTAGACAGAATGATTCTCAGAAACTCCTTTGTGATGTGTGCATTCAACTCACAGAGTTTAACCTTTCTTTTCATAGAGCAGTTAGGAAACACTCTGTTTGTAAAGTCTGCAAGTGGATATTCAGACCTATTTGAGGCCTTCGTTGGAAACGGGATTTCTTCATATTCTGCTAGAGAGAAGAATTCTCAGTAACTTCATTGTGTTGTGTGTATTCAACTCACAGATTTCAACGATCCTTTACACAGAGCAGACTTGAAACACTCTTTTTCTGGAATTTGCAAGTGGAGATTTCAGCCGCTTTGAGGTCAATGGTAGAATAGGAAATATCTTCCTATAGAAACTAGACAGAATGATTCTCAGAAACTCCTTTGTGATGTGTGCGTTCAACTCACAGAGTTTAACCTTTCTTTTAATAGAGCAGTTAGGAAACACTCTGTTTGTAAAGTCTGCAAGTGGATATTCAGACCTCTTTGAGGCCTTCGTTGGAAACGGGTTTTTTTCATATAAGGCTAGACAGAAGAATTCCCAGTAACTTCCTTGTGTTGTGTGTGTTCAACTCACAGAGTTGAACGTTCCCTTAGACAGAGCAGATTTGAAGCACTCTTTTTGTGGAATTTGCAAGTGGAGATTTCAAGCGCTTTGAGGCCAAAGGCAGAAAAGGAAATATCTTCGTATAAAAACTAGACAGAATCATTCTCAGAAACTGCTCTGCGATGTGTGCGTTCAACTCTCAGATTTTAACTTTTCTTTTCATTCAGCAGTTTGGAAACACTCTGTTTGTAAAGTCTGCACGTGGATATTTTGACCACTTAGAGGCCTTCGTTGGAAACGGGTTTCTTTCTTGTAAGGCTAGACAGAAGAATTCCCAGTAACTTCCTTGTGTTGTGTACATTCAACTCACAGAGTTGAACGTTCCCTTAGACAGAGCAGATTTGAAACACTCTTTTTGTGCAATTGGCAAGGGGAGATTTTAAGCGCTTTAAGGTCAATGGCAGAAAAGGAAATATCTTCCTTTCAAAACTAGACAGAATGATTCTCAGAAACTCCTTTGTGATGTGTGCGTTAAACTCACAGAGTTTAACCTTTCTTTTCATAGAGCAGTTAGGAAACACTCTGTTTGTAAAGTCTGCAAGTGGATATTCAGACATCCTTGAGGCTTTCGTTGGAAACGGGATTTCTTCATATTCTGCTAGAAAGAAGAATTCTCAGTAATTTCCTTGTGTTGTGTGTATTCAACTCACAGAGTTGAACGATCCTTTACAGAGAGCAGACTTGAAACACTCTTTTTGTGGAATTTGCAAGTGGAGATTTCAGCCGCTTTGAAGTCAATGGTAGAATAGGAAATATCTTCCTACAGAAAAGAGACAGAATGATTCTCAGAAACTCCTTTGTGATGTGTGCGTTGAACTCAGAGAGTTTAACCTTTCTTTTCATAGAGCAGTTAGGAAACACTCTGTTTGTAAAGTCTGCAAGTGGATATTCAGACATCCTTGAGGCTTTCGTTGGAAACGGGATTTCTTCATATTCTGCTAGAAAGAAGAATTCCCAGTAACTTCCTTGTGTTGTGTGTGTTCAACTCACAGAGTTGAACTTTCATTTACACAGAGCAGATTTGAAAGACTCTTTTTGTGGAATTTGCAAGTGGAGATTTCAAGCGCTGTGAAGCCAAAGGCAGAAAAGGAAATATCTTCGTATAAAAACTAGACAGAATCATTCTCAGAAACTGCTGCGTGATGTGTGCGTTCAACTCTCAGAGTTTAACTTTTCTTTTCATTCAGCGGTTTGGAAATACTGTGTTTGTAAAGTCTGCACGTGCATATTTTGACCACTAAGAGGCCTTCGTTGGAAACGGGTTTTTTTCATGTAAGGCTAGACAGAAGAATTCCCAGTAACTTCCTTGTGTTGTGTGCATTCAACTCACAGAGTTGAACGTTCCCTTAGACAGAGCAGATTTGAAACACTCTATTTGTCCAATTTGCAAGTGTAGATTTCAAGCGCTTTAAGGTCAACGGCAGAAAAGGAAATATCTTCGTTTCAAAACTAGACAGAATCATTCCCACAAACTGCGTTGTGATGTGTTCGTTCAACTCACAGAGTTTAACCTTTCTGTTCATAGAGCAGTTAGGAAACACTCTGTTTGTAAACTCTGTAAGTGGATATTCTGACATCTTGTGGCCTTCGTTGGAAACGGGATTTCTTCACATTCTGCTAGACAGAAGAATTCTCAGAATCTTCCTTGTGTAGTGTGTATTCAACTCACAGAGTTGAACGATCCTTTACACAGAGCAGACTTGAAACACTCTTTTTGTGGAATTTGCAAGTGGAGATTTCAGCCGCTTTGAGGTCCATGGTAGAAAAGGAAATATCTTCGTATAAAAACTAGACAGAATGATTCTCAGAAACTTCTTTGTGATGTGTGCATTCAACTCACAGAGTTTAACCTTTCTTTTCATAGAGCAGTTAGGAAACACTCTGTTTGTAAACTCTGCAAGTGGATATTCAGACCTCTTTGAGGCCTTCGTTGGAAACGGGATTTCTTCATACTATGCTAGACAGAAGAATTCTCAGTAACTTCCTTGTGTTGTGTATTCAACTGACAGAGTTGAACTTTCATTTAGAGAGAGCAGATTTGAAACACTGTTTTTGTGGAATTTGCAAGTGGAGATTTCAAGCGCTTTGGGGCCAAAGGCAGAAAAGGAAATATCTTCGTATAAAAACTAGACAGAATCATTCTCAGAAACTGCTCTGCGATGTGTGCGTTCAACTCTCAGAGTTTAACTTTTCTTTTCATTCAGCAGTTTGGAAACACTCTGTTTGTAAAGTCTGCACGTGGATATTTTGACCACTTAGAGGCCTTCGTTGGAAATGGGTTTTTTTCCTGTAAGGCTAGACAGAAGAATTCCCAGTAACTTCCTTGTGTTGTGTGCATTCAACTCACAGAGATGAACATTCCCTTAGACAGAGCAGATTTGAAACACTCTATTTGTGTAATTTGCAAGTGTAGATTTCAAGCGCTTTAAGGTCAATGGCAAAAAAGGAAATATCTGCGTTTCAAAACTAGACAGAATCATTCCCACAAACTGCGTTGTGATGTGTTCGTTCAACTCACAGACTTTAACCTTTCTGTTCATAGAGCAGTTAGGAAACACACTGTTTGTAAAGTCTGCAAGTGGATATTCAGACCTCCTTGAGGCCTTCGTTGGAAACGGTATTTCTTCATATTCTGCTAGACAGAAAAATTCTCAGTAACTTCCTTGTGTTGTGTGTATTCAACTCACAGAGTTGAACTATCCTTTACAAAGAGCAGACTTGAAACACTCTTTTTGTGGAATTTGCAAGTGGAGATTTCAGCCGCTTTGAGGTCAATGGTAGAAAAGGAAATATCTTCGTATAAAAACTAGACAGAATGATTCTCATAAACTACTTTGTGATGTGTGCGTTCAACTCACAGAGTTTAACTTTTCTTTTCATAGAGCAGTTAGGAAACACTCTGTTTGTAAAGTCTGCAAGTGGATATTCAGACCTCTTTGAGGCCTTCGTTGGAAACGGGATTTCTTCATATTCTGCTAGACAGAAGAATTCTCAGCAACTTCCTTGTGTTGTGTGTATTGAACTCACAGAGTTGAACGATCCTTTACACAGAGCAGACTTGAAACACTCTATTTGTAGAATTTGCAAGTGGAGATTTCAGCCGCTTTGAGGTCAATAGTAGAAAAGGAAATATCTTCGTAGAAAAACTAGACAGAATGATTCTCAGAAACTCCTTTGTGATGTGTGTGTTCAACGCACAGAGTTTAACCTTTCTTTTCATAGAGCAGTTAGGAAACACTCTGTTTGTAAAGTCTGCAAGTGGATATTCAGACCTCTTTGAGGCCTTCGTTGGAAACGGGTTTTTTTCATATAAGGCTAGACAGAAGAATTCCCAGTAACTTCCTTGTGTTGTGTGTGTTCAACTCACAGAGTTGAACTTTCGTTTACACAGAGCAGATTTGAAACACTCTTTTTGTGGAATTTGCAAGTGGAGATTTCAAGCGCTTTGAGGCCAAAGGCAGAAAAGGAAATATCTTCGTTTCAAAACTAGACAGAATCATTCTCAGAAACTGCTCTGTGATGTGTGCGTTCAACTCTCAGAGTTTAACTTTTCTTTTCATTCAGCACTTTGGAAACACTCTGTTTGTAAAGTCTTCACGAGGATATTTTGACCACTTAGAGGTCTTTGTTGGAAACGGGTTTTTTTCACATAAGGCTAGACAGAAGAATTCCCAGTAACTTCCTTGTGTTGTGTGCATTCAACTCACAGAGTTGAACGTTCCTTAGACACAGCAGATTTGAAACACTCTATTTGTGCAATTTGCAAGTGTAGATTTCAAGCGCTTTAAGGTCAATGGCAGAAAAGGAAATATCTTCGTTTCAAAACTAGACAGAAATCATTCCCACAAACTGCGTTGTGATGTGTTCGTTCAACTCACAGAGTTTAACCTTTCTGTTCATAGAGCAGTTAGGAAACACTCTGTTTGTAAAGTCTGTAAGTGGATATTCAGACATCTTGTGGCCTTCGTTGGAAACGGGATTTCTTCATATTCTGCTAGACAGAAGAATTCTCAGTAACTTCCTTGTGTTGTGTGTATTCAACTCACAGAGTTGAACGATCCTTTACACAGAGCAGAGTTGAAACACTCTTTTTGTGGAATATGCAAGGGGAGATTTCTGCCGCTTTGAGTCAATGGTAGAAAAGGAAATATCTTCGTATAAAGACTAGACAGAATGATTCTCAGAAACTCCTTTGTGATGTGTGCGTTCAACTCACACAGTTTAACCTTTCTTTTCATAGAGCAGTTGGGAAACACTCTGTTTGTAAAGTCTGCAAGTGGATATTCAGACCTCCTTGAGGCCTTCGTTGGAAACGGGATTTCTTCATATTATGCTAGACAGAAGAATTCTCAGTAACTTCCTTGTGTTGTCTGTATTCAACTCACAGAGTTGAACGATCCTTTACACAGAGCAGACTTGAAACACTCTTTTTGTGGAATTTGCAAGTGGAGATTTCAGCCGCTTTGAAGTCAATGGTAGAATAGGAAATATCTTCCTATAGAAACTAGACAGAATGATTCTGAGAAACTCCTTTGTAATGTGTGCGTTCAACTCACAGAGTTTAACCTTTCTTTTCATAGAGCAGTTAGGAAACACTCTGTTTGTAAAGTCTGCAAGTGGATATTCAGACCTCCTTGAGGCCTTCGTTGGAAACGGGATTTCTTCATATTATGCTAGACAGAAGAATTCCCAGTAACTTCCTTGTGTTGTGTGTGTTCAACTCACAGAGTTGAACTTTGATTTACACAGAGCAGATTTGAAACACTCTTTTTGTGGAATTTGCAAGTTTAGATTTCAAGCGCTTTGAGGCCAAAGGCAGAAAAGGAAATATCTTCGTATAAAAACTAGACAGAATCATTCTCAGAAACTGCTCTGTGATGTGTGCGTCCAACTCTCAGAGTTTAAATTTTCTTTTCATTCAGCAGTTTGGAAACACTCTGTTTGTAAAGTCTGCACGTGGATATTTTCAGCACTTAGAGGCCTTCGTTGGAAACTGTTTTTTTTCATGTAAGGCTAGACAGAAGAATTCCCAGTAACTTCCTTGTGTTGTGTGCATTCAACTCACAGAGTTGAACGTTCCCTTAGACAGAGCACATTTGAAACACTCTATTTGTGCAATTTGCAATTGTAGATTTCAAGCGCTTTAAGGTCAATGGCAGAAAAGGAAATATCTTCGTTTTAAAAATAGACAGAATCATTCCCACAAACTGCGTTGTGATGTGTTCGTTCAACTCACAGAGTTTAACCTTTCTGTTCATAGAGCAGTTAGGAAACACTCTGTTTGTAAAGTCTGTAAGTGGATATTCTGACATATTGTGGCCTTCGTTGGAAACGGGACTTCTTCATATTCTGCTAGACAGAAGAATTCTCAGTAACTTCCTTGTGTTGTGTGTATTCAACTCACAGAGTTGCACGATCCTTTACACAGAGCGGACTTGAAACACTCTTTTTGTGGAATTTGCAAGTGGAGATTTTAGCCGATTTGAGGTCAATGGTAGAATAGGAAATATCTTCCTATAGAAACTAGACAGAATGATTCTCAGAAACTCCTTTGTGATGTGTGTGTTCAACTCACAGAGTTTAACCTTTCTTTTCATAGAGCAGTTAGTAAACACTGTGTTTATAAAGTCTGCAAGTGGATATTCAGACCCCTTTGAGGCCTTCGTTGGAAACGGGATTTCTTCATATTATGCTAGACAGAAGAATTCTCAGTAACTTCCTTGTGTTATGTGTATTCAACTGACAGAGTTGAACTTTCATTTAGAGAGAGCAGATTTGAAACACTGTTTTTGTGGAATTTGCAAGTGGAGATTTCAAGCGCTTTGGGGCCAAAGGCAGAAAAGGAAATATCTTCGTATGAAAACTAGACAGAATCATTCTCAGAAACTGCTGCGTGATGTGTGCGTTCAACTCTCAGAGTTTAACTTTTCTTTTCATTCAGCGGTTTGGAAACACTCT
Source organism: Homo sapiens (assembly GCF_000001405.40). NCBI lineage: Eukaryota > Metazoa > Chordata > Mammalia > Primates > Hominidae > Homo > Homo sapiens. Next base: position 48,502,380 of record NC_000005.10, read on the forward strand.
GTTTGTAAAGTCTGCACGTGGATATTTTGACCACTTAGAGGCCTTCCTTGGAAACGGGTTTTTTTCATGTAAGGCTAGACAGAAGAATTCCCAGTAACTTCCTTGTGTTGTGTGCATTCAACTCACAGAGTTGAACGTTCCCTTAGACAGAGCAGATTTGAAACACTCTATTTGTGCAATCTGCAAGTGTAGATTTCAAGCGCTTTAAGGTCAACGGCAGAAAAGGAAATATCTTCGTTTCAAAACTAGACAGAATCATTCCCACAAACTGCGTTGTGATGTGTTCGTTCAACTCACAGAGTTTAACCTTTCTGTTCATAGAGCACTTAGGAAACACTCTGTTTGTAAAGTCTGCATGTGGATATTCAGACCTCCTAGAGGCCTTCGTTGGAAACGGGATTTCTTCATATTCTGCTAGACAGAAGAATTCTCAGTAACTTCCTTGTGTTGTGTGTATTCAAGTCACAGAGTTGAACGATCCTTTACACAGAGCAGATTTGAAACACTCTTTTTGTGGAATTTGCAAGTGGAGATTTCTGCCGCTTTGTGGTCAATGGTGGAAAAGGAAATATCTTCATATAAAAACAAGACAGAATGATTCTCATAAACTCCTTTGTGATGTGTGCGTTCAACTCACAGAGTTTAACTTTTCTTTTCATAGAGCAGTTAGGAAACACTCTGTTTGTAAAGTCTGCAAGTGGATATTCAGACCTTTTTGAGGCCTTCGTTGGAAACGGGATTTCTTCATATTATGCTAGACAGAATAATTCTCAGTAACTTCCTTGTGTTGTGTGTATTCAACTGACAGAGTTGAACTTTCATTTAGAGAGAGCAGATTTGAAACACTGTTTTTGTGGAATTTGCAAGTGTAGATTTCAAGCGCTTTGGGGCCAAAGGCAGAAAAGGAAATATCTTCGTATAAAAAGTAGACAGAATCATTCTCAGAAACTGCTCTGCGATGTGTGCGTTCAACTCTCAGAGTTTAACTTTTCTTTTCATTCAGCAGTTTGGAAACACTCTGTTTGTAAAGTCTGCACGTGGATAATTTGACCACTTAGAGGCCTTCGTTGGAAACGGGTTTTTTTCGTGTAAGGCTAGACAGAAGAATTCCCAGTAACTTCCTTGTGTTGTGTGCATTCCACTCACAGAGTTGAACGTTCCCTTAGACAGAGCAGATTTGAAACACTCTATTTGTGCAATTTGCAAGTGTAGATTTCAAGCGCTTTAAGGTCAATGGCAGAAAAGGAAATATCTTCGTTTCAAAACTAGACAGAATCATTCCCACAAACTGCGTTGTGATGTGTTCGTTCAACTCACAGAGTTTAACCTTTCTGTTCATAGAGCAGTTAGGAAACACTCTGTGTGTAAAGTCTGCAAGTGGATATTCAGACCTCTTTGAGGCCTTCGTTGGAAACGGGATTTCTTCATATTCTGCTAGACAGAAGAATTCTCAGTAACTTTCCTTGTGTTGTGTGTATTCAACTCACAGAGTTGAATGATCCTTTACACAGAACAGTCTTGAAACACTCTTTTTGTGGAATTTGCAAGTGGAGATTTCAGCCGCTTTGAGGTCAATGGTAGAATAGGAAATATCTTCCTATAGAAACTAGACAGAATGATTCTCAGAAACTCCTTTGTGATGTGTGCGTTGAACTCACAGAGTTTAACCTTTCTTTTCATAGAGCAGTTAGGAAACACTCTGTTTGTAAAGTCTGCAAGTGGATATTAAGACCTCTTTGACGCCTTCGTTGGAAACGGGATTTCTTCATATTCTGCTAGACAGAAGGAATTCCCAGTAACTTCCTTGTGTTGTGTGTGTTCAACTCACAGAGTTGAACTTTCATTTACACAGAGCAGATTTGAAACACTCTTTTTGTGGAATTTCCAAGTGGAGATTTCAAGCGCTTTGAGGCCAAAGGCAGAAAAGGAAATATCTTCGTATAAAAACTAGACAGAATCATTCTCAGAAACTGCTCTGCGATGTGTGCGTTCAACTCTCAGAGTTTAACTTTTCTTTTCATTCAGCAGTTTGGAAACACTCTGTTTGTAAAGTCTGCAAGTGGATATTTTGACCATTTAGAGGCCTTCGTTGGAAACGGGTTTTTTTCCTGTAAGGCTAGAGAGAAGAATTCCCAGTAACTCCCTTGTGTTGTGTGCATTCAACTCACAGAGTTCAACGTTCCCTTAGACAGAGCAGATTTGAAACACTCTATTTGTGCAATTTGCAAGCGTAGATTTCAAGCGCTTTAAGGTCAATGGCAGAAAAGGAAATATCTTCGTTTCAAAACTAGACAGAATAATTCCCACAAACTGCGTTGTGATGTGTTCGTTCAACTCACAGAGTTTAACCTTTCTGTTCATAGAGCAGTTAGGAAACACTCTGTTTGTAAAGTCTGTAAGTGGATATTCTGACATCTTGAGGCCTTCGTTGGAAACGGGATTTCTTCATATTCTGCTAGACAGAAGAATTCTCAGTAACTTCCTTGTGTTGTGTGTATTGAACTCACAGAGTTGAACGATCCTTTACACAGAGCAGTCTTGAAACACTGTTTTTGTGGAATTTGCAAGTGGAGATTTCTGCCGCTTTGAGGTCAATGGTAGAATAGGAAATATCTTCCTATAGAAACTAGACAGAGTGATTCTCAGAAACTCCTTTGTGATGTGTGCGTTCAACTCACAGAGTTTAACCTTTCTTTTCATAGAGCAGTTAGGAAACACTCTGTTTGTAACGTCTGCAAGTGGATATTCAGACCTCCTTGAGGCCTTCGTTGGAAACGGGATTTCTTCATATTCTGCTACAGAGAAGAATTCTCAGTAACTTCCTTGTGTTGTGTGTATTCAACTCACAGAGTTGAACGTTCCTTTACACAGAGCAGGACTTGAAACACTCTTTTTGTGGAATTTGCAAGTGGAGATTTCAAGCGCTTTGAGGCCAAAGGCAGAAAAGGAAATATCTTCGTATAAAAACTAGACAGAATCATTCTCAGAAACTGCTCTGCGATGTGTGTGTTCAACTCTCAGAGTTTAACTTTTCTTTTCATTCAGCAGTTTGGAAACACTCTGTTTGTAAAGTCTGCACGTGGATATTTTGACCACTTAGAGGCCTTCGTTGGAAACGGGTTTTTTTCCTGTAAGGCTAGACAGAAGAATTCCCAGTAACTTCCTTGTGTTGTGCACATTCAACTCACAGAGTTGAACGTTCCCTTAGACAGAGCAGATTTGAAACACTCTTTTTGTGCAATTGGCAAGTGGAGATTTCAAGCGCTTTGAGGTCAATGGCAGAAAAGGAAATATCTTCGTTTCAAAATTAGACAGAATGATTCTCAGAAACTCCTTTGTGATGTGTGCATTCAACTCACAGAGTTTAACCTTTCTTTTCATAGAGCAGTTAGGAAACACTCTGTTTGTATAGTCTGCAAGTGGATATTCAGACCTCTTTGAGGCCTTCGTTGGAAACGGGATTTCTTCATATTATGCTAGACAGAAGAATTCTCAGTAACTTCCTTGTGTTGTGTGTATTCAACTCACAGAGTTGAATGATCCTTTACACAGAACAGACTTGAAACACTCTTTTTGTGGAATTTGCAGGGGGAGATTTCAGCCGCTTTGAGGTCAATGGTAGAAAAGGAAATATCTTCCTATAGAAACTAGACAGAATGATTCTCAGAAACTCCTTTGTGATGTGTGCGTTCAACTCACAGAGTTTAACCTTTCTTTTCATAGAGCAGTTAGGAAACACTCTGTTTGTAAAGTCTGCAAGTGGATATTCAGACATCCTTGAGGCTTTCGTTGGAAAAGGGATTTCTTCATATTCTGCTAGAAAGAAGAATTCTCAGAAACTTCCTTGAGTTGTGTGTATTCAACTCACAGAGTTGAACGATCGTTTACACAGAGCAGACTTGAGACACTCTTTTTGTGGAATTTGTAAGTGGAGATTTCAGCCGATTTGAGGTCAATGGTAGAAAAGGAAATATCTTCATATAAAAACTAGACAGAATCATTCTCAGAAACTGCTCTGCGATGTGTGCGTTCAACTCTCAGAGTTTAACTTTTCTTTTCATTCAGCAGTTTGGAAACACTCTGTTTGTAAAGTCTGCACGTGGATAACTTGACCACTTAGAGGACTTCGTTGGAAACGGGTTTTTTTCCTGTAAGGCTAGACAGAAGAATTCCCAGTAACTTCCTTGTGTTGTGTACATTCAACTCACAGAGTTGAACGTTTCCTTAGAGAGAGCAGATTTGAAACACTCTTTTTGTGCAATTGGCAAGTGGTGATTTCAGCCGCTTTGAGGTCAATGGTGGAAAAGGAAATATCTTCGTATAAAAACTAGACAGAATCATTCTCAGAAAATGCTCTGTGATGTGTGCGTTCAACTCTCAGAGTTTAACTTTTCTTTTCATTCAGCACTTTGGAAACACTCTGTTTGTAAAGTCTGCACGAGGATCTTTTGACCACTTAGAGGTCTTTGTTGGAAACGGGTTTTTTTCACGTAAGGCTAGACAGAAGAATTCCCAGTAACTTCCTTGTGTTGTGTATATTCAACTCACAGAGTTGAACGATCCTTTACACAGAGCAGATTTGAAACACTCTTTTTGTGGAATTTGCAAGTGGAGATTTCAGCCGCTTTGAGGTCAATGGTAGAAAAGGAAATATCTTCGTTTCAAAACTAGACAGAATGATTCTCAGAAACTCCTTTGTGATGTGTGCGTTCAACTCACAGAAGTTTAACCTTTCTTTTCATAGAGCAGTTAGGAAACACTCTGTTTGTAAAGTCTGCAAGTGGATATTCAGACATCTTTGAGGCTTTCGTTGGAAACGGGATTTCTTCATATTCTGCTAGACAGAAGAATTCTCAGAAACTTCCTTGTGTTGTGTGTATTCAACTCACAGAGTTGAACGATCCTTTACACAGAGCAGACTTGAAACACTCCTTTTCTGGAATTTGCAGGTGGAGATTTCAGCCGCTTTGAGGTCAATGGTAGAATAGTAAATATCTTCGTATAAAAACTAGACAGTATCATTCTCAGAAACTGCTCTGCGATGTGTGCGTTCAACTCTCAGAGTTTAACTTTTCTTTTCATTCAGCAGTTTGGAAACACTCTGTTTGTAAAGTCTGCACGTGGATATTTTGACCACTTAGAGGCCTTCGTTGGAAATGGGTTTTTTTCCTGTAAGGCTAGACAGAAGAATTCCCAGTAACTTCCTTGTGTTGTGTACATTCAACTCACAGAGTTGAACGTTCCCTTAGACAGAGCAGATTTGAAACACTTTTTTTGTGCAATTGGCAAATGGAGATTTCAAGCGCTTTAAGGTCAATGGCAGAAAAGGAAATATCTTCGTTTCAAAACTAGACAGAATCATTCCCACAAACTGCGTTGTGAGGTGTTCGTTCAACTCACAGAGTTTAACCTTTCTTTTCATAGAGCAGTTAAGAAACAGTCTGTTTGAAAATTCTGTAAGTGGATATTCTGACATCTTGTGGCCTTCGTTGGAAACGGGATTTCTTCATATTCTGCTAGACAGAAGAATTCTCAGAATCTTCCTTGTGTTGTGTGTATTCAACTCACAGAGTTGAACGATGGTTTACAAAGAGCAGATTTGAAACACTCATTTGGTGGAATTTGCAAGTGGAGATTTCAGCCGCTTTGAGGTCAATGGTAGAAAAGGAAATATCTTCGTATAACAACTAGACAGAACGATTCTCAGAAACTCCGTTGTGATGTTTGCGTTCAACTCACAGAGTTTAACCTTTCTTTTCATAGAGCAGTTAGGAAACACTCTGTTTGTAAAGTCTGCAAGTGGATATTCAGACCTCTTTGAGGCCTTCGTTGGAAACGGGATTTCTTCCTATTCTGCTAGACAGAAGAATTCCCACTAACATCCTTGTGTTGTGTGTGTTCAACTCACAGAGTTGAACTTTCATTTACACAGAGCAGATTTGAAAGACTCTTTTTGTGGAATTTGCAAATGGAGATTTCAAGCGCTTTGAGGCCAAAGGCAGAAAAGGAAATATCTTCGTTTCAAAACTAGACAGAATCATTCTCAGAAACTGCTGCGTGATGTGTGCGTTCAACTCTCAGAGTTTAACTTTTCTTTTCATTCAGCGGTTTGGAAACACTCTGTTTGTAAAGTCTGCAAGTGGATATTTTGACCACTTAGAGGCCTTCGTTGGAAACGGGTTTTTTTCATGTAAGGCTAGACAGAAGAATTCCCAGTAACTTCCTTGTGTTGTGTGCATTCAACTCACAGAGTTGAACGTTCCCTTAGACAGAGCAGATTTGAAACACTCTATTTGTGCAATTTGCAAGTGTAGATTTCAAGCGCTTTAAGGTCAATGGCAGAAAAGGAAATGTCTTCGTTTCAAAACTAGACAGAATCATTCCCACAAACTGCGTTGTGATGTGTTCGTTCAACTAACAGAGTTTAACCTTTCTTTTCATAGAGCAGTTAGGAAACAGTCTGTTTGTAAATTCTGTAAGTGGATATTCTGACATCTTGTGGCCTTCGTTGGAAACGGGATTTCTTCATATTCTGCTAGACAGAAGAATTCCCAGTAACTTCCTTGTGTTGTGTGTGTTCAACTCACAGTAGTTGAACTTTCATTTACACAGAGCAGATTTGAAACACTCTTTTTGTGGAATTTGCAAATGGAGATTTCAGCCGCGTTGAGGTCAATGGTAGAAAAGGAAATATCTTCGTTTCAAAACTAGACAGAATGATTCTCAGAAACTCCTTTGTGATGTGTGTGTTCAACTCACAGAGTTTAACCTTTCTTTTCATAGAGCAGTTAGTAAACACTCTGTTTATAAAGTCTGCAAGTGGATATTCAGACCCCTTTGAGGCCTTCTTTGGAAACGGGATTTCTTCATATTCTGCTAGACAGAAGAATTCCCAGTAACTTCCTTGTATTGTGTGTGTTCAACTCACAGAGTTGAACTTTCATTTACACAGAGCAGATTTGAAACACTCTTTTTGTGGAATTTGCAAGTGGAGATTTCAAGCGCTTTGAGGCCAAAGGCAGAAAAGGAAATATCTTCGTATAAAAACTAGACAGAATCATTCTCAGAAACTGCTCTGTGATGTGTGCGTTCAACTCTCAGAGTTTAACTTTTCTTTTCATTCAGCAGTTTGGAAACACTCTGTTTGTAAAGTCTGCACGTGGATAATTTGACCACTTAGAGGCCTTCGTTGGAAACGGGTTTTTTTCATGTAAGGCTAGACAGAAGAATTCCCAGTAACTTCCTTGTGTTGTGTACATTCAACTCACAGAGTTGAACCTTCCCTTAGACAGAGCAGATTTGAAACACTCTTTTTGTGCAATTGGCAAGTGGAGATTTCAAGCGCTTTGAGGTCAATGGCAGAAAAGGAAATATCTTCGTTTCAAAACTAGACAGAATCATTCCCACAAACTGCGTTGTGATGTGTTCGTTCAACTCACAGCAGTTTAACCTTTCTGTTCATAGAGCAGTTAGGAAACACTCTGTTTGTAAAGTCTGTAAGTGGATATTCTGACATCTTGTGGCCTTCGTTGGAAACGGGATTTCTTCATATTCTGCTAGACAGAAGAATTCTCAGTAACTTCTTTGTGTTGTGTGTATTCAACTCACAGAGTTGAACGATCCTTTACACAGAGCAGACTTGAAACACTCTTTTTGTGGAATTTGCAAGTGGAGTTTTCAGCCGCTTTGAGGTCAATGGTAGAATAGGAAACATCTTCCTATAGAAACTAGACAGAATGATTCTCAGAAACTCCTTTGTGATGTGTGCGTTCAACTCACAGAGTTTAACCTTTCTTTTCATAGAGCAGTTGGGAAACACTCTGTTTGTAAAGTCTGCAAGTGGATATTCAGACCTCCTTGAGGCTTTCGTTGGAAACGGGATATCTTCATATTCTGCTAGAAAGAAGAATTCTCAGAAACTTCCTTGTGTTGTGTGTATTCAACTCACAGAGTTGAACGTTCGTTTACACAGAGCAGACTTGAGACACTCTTTTTGTGGAATTTGTAAGAGGAGATTTCAGCCGCTTTGAGGTCAATGGTAGAAAAGGAAATATCTTCATATAAAAACTAGACAGAATGATTCTCAGAAACTCCTTTGTGATGTGTGCGTTCAACTCACAGAGTTTAACCTTTCTTTTCATAGAGCAGTTAGTAAACACTCTGTTTATAAAGTCTGCAAGTGGATATTCAGACCCCTTTGAGGCCTTCGTTGGAAACGGGATTTGTTCATATTCTGCTAGACAGAAGAATTCCCAGTAACTTCCTTGTGTTGTGTGTGTTCAACTCACAGAGTTGAACTTTCATTTACACAGAGCAGATTTGAAACACTTTTTTTGTGGAATTTGCAAGTGGAGATTTCAAGCGCTTTGAGGCCAAAGGCAGAAAAGGAAATATCTTCGTATAAAAACTAGACAGAATCATTCTCAGAAACTGCTCTGCGATGTGTGCGTTCAACTCTCAGAGTTTAACTTTGCTTTTCATTCAGCAGTTTGGAAACACTCTGTTTGTAAAGTCTGCACGTGGATAATTTGACCACTTAGAGGCCTTCGTTGGAAACGGGTTTTTTTCATGTAAGGCTAGACAGAAGAATTCCCAGTAACTTCCTTGTGTTGTGTACATTCAACTCACAGAGTTGAACGTTCCCTTAGACAGAGCAGATTTGAAACACTCTTTTTGTGCAATTGGCAAATGGAGATTTCAAGCGCTTTAAGGTCAATGGCAGAAAAGGAAATATCTTCGTTTCAAAACTGGACAGAATGATTCTCATAAACTCCTTTGTGATGTGTGCGTTCAACTCACACAGTTTAACCTTTCTTTTCATAGAGCAGTTAGGAAACACTCTGTTTGTAAAGTCTGCAAGTGGATATTCAGACCTCTTTGAGGCCTTCGTTGGAAACCGGATTTCTTCATATTCTGCTAGACAGAAGAATTCTCAGTAACTTCCTTGTGTTGTGTGTATTCAACTCACAGAGTTGAACGATCCTTTACACAGAGCAGACTTGAAACACTCTTTTTGTGGAATTTGGAAGTGGAGATTTCAGCCGCTTTGAGGTCAATAGTAGAAAAGGAAATATCTTCGTAGAAAAACTAGACAGAATGATTCCCAGAAACTCCTTTGTGATGTGTGCGTTCAACTCACAGAGTTTAACCTTTCTATTCATAGAGCAGTTAGGAAACAATCTGTTTGTAAAGTCTGCAAGTCGATATTCAGACGTCTTTGCGGCCTTCGTTGGAAACGGGTTTTTTTCATATAAGGCTAGACAGAAGAATTCTCAGTAACTTCCTTGTGTTGTGTGTATTCAACTGACAGAGTTGAACTTTCATTTAGATAGAGCAGATTTGAAACACTGTTTTTGTGGAATTTGCAAGTGGAGATTTCAAGCGCTTTGGGGCCAAAGGCAGAAAAGGAAATATCTTCGTATAAAAACTAGACAGAATCATTCTCAGAAACTGCTGCGTGATGTGTGCGTTCAACTCTCAGAGTTTAACTTTTCTTTTCATTCAGCGGTTTGGAAACACTCTGTTTGTAATGTCTGCACGTGGATATTTTGACCACTTAGAGGCCTTCATTGGAAACGGGTTTTTTTCATGTAAGGCTAGACAGAAGAATTCCCAGTAACTTCCTTGTGTTGTGTGCATTCAACTCACAGAGTTGAACGTTCCCTTAGACAGAGCAGATTTGAAACACTCTATTTGTGCAATTTGCAAGTGTAGATTTCAAGCGCTTTAAGGTCAACGGCAGAAAAGGAAATATCTTCGATTCAAAACTAGACAGAATCATTTCCACAAACTGCGTTGTGAAGTGCTCGTTCAACTCACATAGTTTAACCTTTCTGTTCATAGAGCAGTTAGGAAACACTCTGTTTGTAGTGTCTGTAAGTGGATATTCTGACATCTTGTGGCCTTCGTTGGAAACGGAATTTCTTCATATTCTGCTAGACAGAAGAATTCTCAGAAACTTCCTTGTGTTGTGTGTATTCAACTCACAGAGTTGAACGATCCTTTACACAGAGCAGACTTGAAACACTCTTTTTGCGGAATTTGCAAGTGGAGATTTCAGCCGCTTTGAGGTCAATGGTAGAATAGGAAATATCTTCCTATAGAAACTAGACAGAATGATTCTCATAAACTCCTTTGTGATGTGTGCGTTCAACTCCCAGAGTTTAAACTTTCTTTTCATAGAGCAGTTAGGAAACACTCTGTTTGTAAAGTCTGCAAGTGGATATTCAGACCTGCTTGAGGCCTTCTTTGGAAACGGGATTTCTTCATATTATGCTAGACAGAAGAATTCTCAGTAACTTCCTTGTGTTGTGTGTATTCAACTGACAGAGTTGAACTTTCATTTCGAGAGAGCAGATTTGAAACACTGTTTTTGTGGAATTTGCAAGTGGAGATTTCAAGCGCTTTGGGGCCAAAGGCAGAAAAGGAAATATCTTCGTATAAAAACTAGACAGAATCATTCTCAGAAACTGCTCTGCGATGTGTGCGTTCAACTCTCAGAGTTTAACTTTTCTTTTTATTCAGCAGTGTGGAAAAACTCTGTTTGTAAAGTCTGCACGTGGATATTTTGACCACTTAGAGGCCTTCGTTGGAAACGGGTTTTTTTCCTGTAAGGCTAGACAGAAGAATTCCCAGTAACTTCCTTGTGTTGTGTACATTCAACTCACAGAGTTGAACGTTCCCTTAGACAGAGCAGATTTGAAACACTCTTTTTGTGCAATTGGCAAGTGGTGATTTCAGCCGCTTTGAGGTCAATGGTAGAAAAGGAAATATCTTCGTATTAAAACTAGACAGAATGATTCTCAGAAACTCCTTTGTGATGTGTGCGTTCAACTCACAGAGTTTAACCTTTCTTTTCATAGAGCAGTTGGGAAACACTCTGTTTGTAATGTCTGCAAGTGGATATTCAGACTTCTTTGAGGCCTTCGTTGGAAGCGGGATTTCTTCATGTTCTGCTAGACAGAAGAATTCTCAGAAACTTCCTTGTGTTGTGTGTTTTCAACTCACAGAGTTGAACGATCCTTTACACAGAGCAGACTTGAAACACTCCTTTTGTGGAATTTGCACGTGGAGATTTCAGCCGCTTTGAGGTCAATGGTAGAATAGGAAATATCTTCCTATAGAAAGTAGACAGAATGATTCTCAGAAAATCCTTTGTGATGTGTGCGTTCAACTCACAGAGTTTAACTTTTCTTTTCATAGAGCAGTTAGGAAACACTCTGTTTGTAAAGTCTGCAAGTGGATATTCAGACCTCTTTGAGGCCTTGGTTGGAAACCGGATTTCTTCATATTATGCTAGACAGAAGAATTCTCAGTAACTTCCTTGTGTTTTGTGTATTCAACTGACAGAGTTGAACTTTCATTTAGAGAGAGCAGATTTGAAACACTGTTTTTGTGGAATTTGCAAGTGGAGATTTCAAGCGCTTTGGGGCCAAAGGCAGAAAACGAAATATCTTCGTATAAAAACTAGACAGAATCATTCTCAAAAACTGCTCTGCGATGTGTGCGTTCAACTCTCAGAGTTTCACTTTTCTTTTCATTCAGCAGTTTGGAAACACTCTGTTTGTAAAGTCTGCACGTGGATAATTTGACCACTTAGAGGCTTTGGTTGGAAACGGGTTTTTTTCATGTAAGGCTAGACAGAAGAATTCCCAGTAACTTCCTTGTGTTGTGTACATTCAACTCACAGAGTTGAACGTTCCCTTAGACAGAGCAGATTTGAAACACTCTTTTTGTGCAATTGGCAAGTGGAGATTTCAAGCGCTTTGAGGTCAATGGCAGAAAAGGAAATATCTTCGTTTCAAAACTAGACAGAATCATTCCCAAAAACTGCGTTGTCATGTGTTCGTTCATCTCACAGAGTTTAACCTTTCTTTTCATAGAGCAGTTAGGAAACAGTCTGTTTGTAAATTCTGTAAGTGGATATTCTGACATCTTGTGGCCTTCGTTGGAAACGGGATTTCTTCATATTCTGCTAGATAGAAGAATTCTCAGAATCTTCCTTGTGTTGTGTGTATTCAACTCACAGAGTTGAACGATGGTTTACACAGAGCAGATTTGAAACACTCTTTTTGTGGAATTTGCAAGTGGAGATTTCAGCCGCTTTGAGGTCAATGGTAGAAAAGGAAATATCTTCCTATAAAAACTAGACAGAACGATTCTCAGAAATTCCTTTGTGATGTGTGCGTTCAACTCACAGAGTTTAACCTTTCTTTTCATAGAGCAGTTAGGAAACACTCTGTTTGTAAAGTCTGCAAGTGGATATTCAGACCTCTTTGAGGCCTTCGTTGGAAACGGGATTTCTTCCTATTCTGCTAGACAGAAGAATTCCCAGTAACTTCCATGTGTTGTGTGTGTTCAACTCACAGAGTTGAACGTTCCCTTAGACAGAGCAGATTTGAAACACTCTTTTTGTAGAATTTGCAAGTGGAGATTTCAAGCGCTTTGAGGCCAAAGGCAGAAAAGGAAATATCTTCGTATAAAAACTAGACAGAATCATTCTCAGAAACTGCTCTGCGATGTGTGCGTTCAACTCTCAGAGTTTAACTTTTCTTTTCATTCAGCAGTTTGGAAACACTCTGTTTGTAAAGTCTGCACGGGGATATTTTGACCACTTAGAGGCCTTCGTTGGAAACGGGTTTTTTTCCTGTAAGGCTAGACAGAAGAATTCCCAGTAACTTCCTTGTGTTGTGTGCATTCAACTCACAGAGTTGAACGTTCCCTTAGACAGAGCAGATTTGAAACACTCTATTTGTCCAATTTGCAAGTGTAGATTTCAAGCGCTTTAAGGTCAACGGCAGAAAAGGAAATATCTTCGTTTCAAAACTAGACAGAATGATTCTCAGAAACTCCTTTGTGATGTGTGCGTTCAACTCACAGAGTTTAACCTTTCTTTTCATAGAGCAGTTAGGAAACACTCTCTTTGTAAAGTCTGCAAGTGGATATTCAGACCTCTTTGAGGCCTTTGTTGGAAACGGGATTTCTTCATATTATGCTAGACAGAAGAATTCTCAGTAACTTCCTTGTGTTGTGTGTATTCAACTCACAGAGTTGAACGATCCTTTACACAGAGCAGACTTGAAACACTCTTTTTGTGGAAATTGCAAGTGGAGATTTCAGCCGCTTTGAAGTCAATGGTAGAAAAGGAAATATCTTCGTATAAAAACTAGACAGAATGATTCTCAGAAACTTCTTTGTGATGTGTGCGTTCAACTCACAGAGTTTAACCTTTCTTTTCATAGAGCAGTTAGGAAACACTCTGTTTGTAAACTCTGCAAGTGGATATACAGACCTCTTTGAGGCCTTCGTTGGAAACGGGATTTCTTCATACTATGCTAGACAGAAGAATTCTCAGTAACTTCCTTGTGTTGTGTGTATTCAACTGACAGAGTTGAACTTTCATTTAGAGAGAGCAGATTTGAAACACTGTTTTTGTGGAATTTGCAAGTGGTGACTTCAAGCGCTTTGGGGCCAAAGGCAGAAAAGGAAATATCTTCGTATAAAAACTAGACAGAATCATTCTCAGAAACTGCTCTGCGATGTGTGCGTTCAACTCTCAGAGTTTAACTTTTCTTTTCATTCAGCAGTTTGGAAACACTCTGTTTGTAAAGTCTGCACGTGGATAATTTGACCACTTAGAGGCCTTCGTTGGAAACAGGTTTTTTTCATGTAAGGCTAGACAGAAGAATTCCCAGTAACTTCCTTGTGTTGTGTGCATTCAACTCACAGAGTTGAACGTTCCCTTAGACAGAGCAGATTTGAAACACTCTATTTGTGCAATATGCAACTGTAGATTTCAAGCGCTTTAAGGTCAATGGCAGAAAAGGAAATATCTTCGTTTCAAAACTAGACAGAATCATTCCCACAAACTGCGTTGTGATGTGTTCGTTCAACTCACAGAGTTTAACCTTTCTGTTCATAGAGCAGTTAGGAAACACTCTGTTTGTAAAGTCTGTAAGTGGATATTCTGACATCTTGTGGCATTCGTTGGAAACGGGATTTCTTCATATTCTGCTAGACAGAAGAATTCTCAGTAACTTCCTTGTGTTGTGTGTATTCAACTCACAGAATTGAACGATCCTTTACACAGAGCAGACTTGAAACACACTTTTTGTGGAATTTGCAAGTGGAGATTTCAGCCGCTTTGAGGTCAATGGTAGAAAAGGAAATATCTTCGTATAGAAACAAGACAGAATGATTCTCAGAAACTCCTTTGTGATGTGGGTGTTCAACTCACAGGGTTTAACTTTCTTTTCATAGAGCAGTTAGGAAACACACTGTTTCTAAAGTCTGCAAGTGGATATTTTCACCTCTTTGAGGCCTTCGTTGCAAACGGCTTTTTTTTCATGTAAGGCTAGACAGAAGAATTCTCAGTAACTTCCTTTTGTTGTGTGTATTCAACTGACAGAGTTGAACTTTCATTTAGACAGAGCAGATTTGAAACACTCTTTTTCTGGAATTTGCAAGTGGAGATTTCAAGCGCTTTGAGGCCAAAGGCAGAAAAGGATATATTTTCGTATAAAAACTAGACAGAATCATTCTCAGAAACTGCTCTGCGATGTATGCGTTCAACTCTCAGAGTTTAACTTTTCTTTTCATTCAGCAGTTTGGAAACACTCTGTTTGTAAAGTCTGCACGTGGATATTTTGACCACTTAGAGGCCTTCGTTGGAAACGGGTTTTTTTCATGTAAGGCTAGACAGAAGCATTCCCAGTAACTTCCTTGTGTTGTGTGCATTCAACTCACAGAGATGAACGTTCCCTTAGACAGAGCAGATTTGAAACACTCTATTTGTGCAATTTGCAAGTGTAGATTTCAAGCGCTTTAAGGTCAATGGCAGAAAAGGAAATATCTTCGTTTCAAAACTAGACAGAATGATTCTCAGAAACTTCTTTGTGATGTGTGCGTTCAACTCACAGAGTTTAACCTTTCTTTTCATAGAGCAGTTAGGAAACACTCTGTTTGTAAATTCTGTAAGTGGATATTCTGAAATCTTGTGGCCTTCGTTGGAAACGGGATTTCTTCATATTCTGCTAGACAGAAGAATTCTCAGTAACTTCCTTGTGTTGTGTGTATTCAACTCACAGAGTTCAACGATCCTTTACACAGAGCAGACTTGTAACACTCTTTTTGTGGAATTTGCAAGTGGAGATTTCAGCCGCTTTGAAGTCAAAGGTAGAAAAGGAAATATCTTCCTATAAAAACTAGACAGAAAGATTCTCAGAAACTCCTTTGTGATGTGTGCGTTCAACTCACAGAGTTTAACCTTTCTTTTCATAGAGCAGTTAGGAAACACTCTGTTTGTAAAGTCTGCAAGTGGATATTCAGACCTCTTTGAGGCCTTCGTTGGAAACGGGATTTCTTCATACTGTGCTAGACAGAAGAATTCTCAGTAACTTCCTTGTGTTGTGTGTATTCAACTGACAGAGTTGAACTTTCATTTAGAGAGAGCAGATTTGAAACACTGTTTTTGTGGAATTTGCAAGTGGAGATTTCAAGCGCTTTGGGGCCAAAAGCAGAAAAGGAAATATCTTCGTAGAAAAACTAGACAGAATCATTCTCAGAAACTGCTCTGCGATGTGTGCGTTCAACTCTCAGAGTTTAACTTTTCTTTTCATTCAGCAGTTTGGAAACACTCTGTTTGTAAAGTCTGCACGTGGATATTTTGACCACTTAGACGCCTTCGTTGGAAACGGGTTTTTTTCCAGTAAGGCTAGACAGAAGAATTCCCAGTAACTTCCTTGTGTTGTGTGCATTCAACTCACAGAGTTGAACGTTCCCTTAGACAGAGCAGATTTGAAACACTCTATTTGTGCAATTTGCAAGTGTAGATTTCAAGCGCTTTAAGGTCAATGGTAGAAAAGGAAATATCTTCGTTTTAAAACTAGACAGAATCATTCCCACAAACTGCGTTGTGATGTGCTCGTTCAACTCACAGAGTTTAACCTTTCTGTTCATAGAGCAGTTAGGAAACACTCTGTTTGTAAAGTCTGCAAGTGGATATTCAGACCTCTTTGAGGCCTTCGTTGGAAAAGGGATTTCTTCATATTCTGCTAGACAGAAGAATTCTCAGTAACTTCCTTGTGTTGTGTGTATACAACTCACAGAGTTGAACGATCCTTTACACAGAGCAGACTTGAGACACTCTTTTTGTGGAATTTGCAAGTGGAGATTTCAGCCGCTTTGAGTTCAATGGTAGAATAGGAAATATCTTCCTATAGAAACTAGACAGAATGATTCTCAGAAACTCCTTTGTGATGTGTGCGTTCAACTCACAGAGTTTAACTTTTCTTTTCATAGAGCAGTTAGGGAACACTCTGTTTGTAAAGTCTGCAAGTGGATATTCAGACCTCTTTGAGGCCTTCGTTGGAAACGGGATTTCTTCATATTCTGCTAGACAGAAGAATTCTCAGAAACTTCCTTGTGTTGTGTGTTTTCAACTCACAGAGTTGAACGATCCTTTACACAGAGCAGACTTGAAACACTCCTTTTGAGGAATTTGCAAGTGGAGATTTCAGCCGCTTTGAGGTCAATGGTAGAATAGGAAATATCTTCCTATAGAAACTAGACAGAATGATTCTCAGAAACTCCTTTGTGATGTGTGCGTTCAACTCACAGAGTTTAACCTTTCTTTTCATAGAGCAGTTAGGAAACACTCTGTTTGTAAAGTCTGCAAGTGGATATTCAGACCTGTTTGAGGCCTTCGTTGGAAACGGGTTTCTTTCATATAAGGCTAGACAGAAGAATTCTCAAGTAACTTCCTTGTGTTGTGTTTATTCAACTCACAGAGTTGAATGATCCTTTACACAGAGCAGACTTGAAACACTCTTTTTGTGGAAATTGCAAATGGAGATTTCAGCCGCTTTGAGGTCAATGGTAGAAAAGTAAATATCTTCGTATAAAGACTAGACAGAATGATTCTCAGAAACTCCTTTTTGATGTGTGCGTTCAACTCACAGAGTTTAACCTTTCTGTTCATAGAGCAGTTAGGAAACACTCTGTTTGTAAAGTCTGCAAGTGGATATTCAGACCTCCTAGAGGCCTTCGTTGAAAACGGGATTTCTTCATATTCTGCTAGACAGAAGAATTCCCAGTAACTTCCTTGTGTTGTGTACATTCAACTCACAGAGGTGAACGTTCCCTTAGACAGAGCAGATTTGAAACACTCTTTTTGTGCAATTGGCAAGTGGAGATTTCAAGCGCTTTGAGGTCAATGGCAGAAAAGGAAATATCTTCCTTTCAAAACTAGACAGAATCATTCTCAGAAACTGCTCTGCGATGTGTGCGTTCAACTCTGAGAGTTTAACTTTTCTTTTCATTCAGCAGTTTGGAAACACTCTGTTTGTAAAGTCTGCACGTGGATAATTTGACCACTTAGAGGCCTTCGTTGGAAACGGGTTTTTTTCATGTAAGGCTAGACAGAAGAATTCTCAGTAACTTCCTTGTGTTGTGTGTATTCAACTCACAGAGTTGAACGATCCTTTACACAGAGCAGACTTGTAACACTCTTTTTGTGGAATTTGCAAGTGGAGATTTCTGCCGCTTTGAAGTCAAAGGTAGAAAAGGAAATATCTTCCTATAAAAACTAGACAGAATGATTCTCAGAAACTTCTTTGTGATGTGTGCGATCAACTCACAGAGTTTAACCTTTCTTTTCATAGAGCAGTTAGGAAACACTCTGTTTGTAAACTCTGCAAGTGGATGTTCAGACCTGTTTGAGGCCTTCGTTGGAAACGGGATTTCTTCATACTATGCTAGACAGAAGAATTCTCAAGTAACTTCCTTGTGTTGTGTGTATTCAACTGACAGAGTTGAACTTTCATTTAGAGAGAGCAGATTTGAAACTCTGTTTTTGTGGAATTTGCAAGTGGAGATTTCAAGCGCTTTGGGGCCAAAGGCAGAAAAGGAAATATCTTCGTATAAAAACTAGACAGAATGATTCTCAGAAACTCCTTTGTGATGTGTGCGTTCAACTCTCAGAGTTTAACTTTTCTTTTCATTCAGCAGTTTGGAAACACTCTGTTTGTAAAGTCTGCACGTGGATATTTTGACCACTTAGAGGCCTTCGTTGGAAACGGGTTTTTTTCCTGTAAGGCTAGACAGAAGAATTCTCAGTAACTTCCTTTTGTTGTGTGTATTCAACTCACAGAGTTGAACGATCGTTTACACAGAACAGATTAGAAACACTCTTTTTGTGGAATTTGCAAGTGGAGATTTCAGCCGCTTTGAGGTCAATGGTAGAATAGGAAATATCTTCCTATAGAAACTAGACAGACTGATTCTCAGAAACTCCTTTGTGATGTGTGCGTTCAACTCACAGAGTTTAACCTTTCTTTTCATAGAGCAGTTAGGAAACACTCTGTTTGTAAAGTCTGCAAGTGGATATTCAGACATCTTTGAGGCTTTCGTTGGAAACGGGGTTTCTTCATATTCTGCTATAGAGAAGAATTCTCAGAAACTTCCTTGTGTTGTGTGTTTTCAACTCACAGAGTTGAACGATGCTTTACACAGAGTAGACTTGAAACACTCTTTTTGTGGAATTTGCAAGTGGAGATTTCAGCCGCTTTGACGTCAATGGTAGAAAAGGAAATATCTTCGTATAAAAACTAGACAGAATGATTCTCAGAAACTCCTTTGTGATGTGTGCGTTCAACTTACAGAGTTTAACCTTTCTTTTCATAGAGCAGTTAGGAAACACTCTGTTTGTAAAGTCTGCAAGTGGATATTCAGACCTCTTTGAGGCCTTCGTTGGAAACGGGATTTCTTCATACTATGCTAGACAGAAGAATTCCCAGTAACTTCCTTGTGTGTGTGTGTTCAACTCACAGAGTTGAACTTTCATTTACACAGAGCAGATTTGAAACACTCTTTTTGTGGAATTTGCAAATGGGGATTTCAAGCGCTTTGAGGCCAAAGGCAGAAAAGGAAATATCTTCGTATAAAAACTAGACAGAATCATTCTCAGAAACTGCTCTGCGATGTGTGCGTTCAACTCTCAGAGTTTAACTTTTCTTTTCATTCAGCAGTTTGGAAACACTCTGTAAAGTCTGCACGTGGATATTTTGACCACTTAGAGGCCTTCGTTGGAAACGGGTTTTTTTCCTGTAAGGCTAGACAGAAGAATTCCCAGTAACTTCCTTGTGTTGTGTGCATTCAACTCACAGAGTTGAACGTTCCCTTAGACAGAGCAGATTTGAAACACTCTATTTGTGCAATTTGCAAGTGTAGTTTTCAAGCTCTTTAAGGTCAACGGCAGAAAAGGAAATATCTTCGTTTCAAAACTAGACAGAATCATTCCCACAAACTACGTTGTGAGGTGTTCAGTAAACTCACAGAGTTTAACCTCTCTTTTCATAGAGCAGTTGGGAAACAGTCTGTTTGTAAATTCTGTAAGTGGATATTCTGACAACTTGTGGCCTTCGTTGGAAACGGGATTTCTTCATATTCTGCTAGACAGAAGAATTCTCAGTAAATTCCTTGTGTTGTGTGTATTCATCTCACAGAGTTGAACGATCCTTTACACAGAGCAGACTTGAAACACTCTTTTTGTGGAATTTGCAAGTGGAGATTTCAGCCGCTTTGAGGTCAATGGTAGAAAAGGAAATATCTTCGTATAAAAACTAGACAGAATGATTCTCAGAAACACCTTTGTGATGTGTGCGTTCAACTCACAGAGTTTAACCTTTCTTTTCATAGAGCAGTTAGGAAACACTCTGTTTGTGAAGTCTGTAAGTGGATATTCAGACCTCCTTGAGGCCTTCGTTGGAAACGGGATTTCTTCATATTATGCTAGACAGAAGAATTCTCAGTAACTTCCTTGTGTTGTGTGTATTCAAGTGACAGAGTTGAACTTTCATTTAGAGAGAGCAGATTTGAAACACTGTTTTTGTGGAATTTGCAAGTGGAGATTTCCAGCGCTTTGGGGCCAAAGGCAGAAAAGGAAATATCTTCGTATAAAAACTAGACAGAATCATTCTCAGAAACTGCTGTGCGATGTGTGCGTTCAACTCTCAGAGTTTAACTTTTCTTTTCATTCAGCAGTTTGGAAACACTCTGTTTGTAAAGTCTGCACGTGGATATTTTGACCACTTAGAGGCCTTCGTTGGAAACAGGTTTTTTTCCTGTAAGGCTAGACAGAAGAATTCCCGGTAACTTCCTTGTGTTGTGTACATTCAACTCACAGAGTTGAACGTTCCCTTAGACAGAGCAGATTTGAAACACTCTTTTTGTGCAATTGGCAAATGGAGATTTCAAGCGCTTTAAGGTCAATGGCAGAAAAAGAAATATCTTCGTTTCAAAACTAGACAGAATCATTCCCACAAACTGCGTTGTGATGTGTTCGTTCAACTCACAGAGTTTAACCTTTCTTTTCATAGAGCAGTTAGGAAACAGTCTGTTTGTCAATTCTGTAAGTGGATATTCTGACGTCTTGTGGCCTTCGTTGGAAACGGGTTTTCTTCATATTCTGCTAGACAGAAGAATTCTCAGTAACTTCCTTGTGTTGTGTGTATTCAACTCACAGAGTTGAACGATCCTTTACACAGAGCAGACTTGAAACACTCTTTTTGTGGAATTTGCAAGTGGAGATTTCAGCCGCTTTGAGGTTAATGGTAGAAAATGAAATATCTTCGTATAGAAACTAGACAGAAATGATTCTCAGAAACTCCTTTGTGATGTGTGTGTTCAACTCACAGAGTTTAACCTTTCTTTTCATAGAACAGTTAGGAAACACTCTGTTTGTAAAGTCTGCAAGTGGATATTCAGAACTCTTTGGGGCCTTCGTTGGAAACGGGTTTTTTTCATATAAGGCTAGACAGAAGAATTCCCAAGTAACTTCCTTGTGTTGTGTGTGTTCAACTCACAGAGTTGAACTTTCATTTACACAGAGCAGATTTGAAACACTCTTTTTGTGGAATTTGCAAGTGGAGATTTCAAGCGCTGTGAGGCCAAAGGCAGAAAAGGAAATATCTTCGTATAAAAACTAGACAGAATCATTCTCAGAAACTGCTCTGCGATGTGTGCGTTCAACTCTGAGAGTTTAACTTTTCTTTTCATTCAGCAGTTTGGAAACACTCTGTTTGTAAAGTCTGCACGTGGATATTTTGACCACTTAGAGGCCTTCGTTGGAAACGGGTTTTTTTCCTGTAAGGCTAGACAGAAGAATTCCCAGTAACTTCCTTCTGTTGTGTACATTCAACTCACAGAGTTGAACGTTCCCTTAGACAGAGCAGATTTGAAACACTCTTTTTGTGCAATTGGCAAATGGAGATTTCAAGCGCTTTAAGGTCAATGGCAGAAAAGGAAATATCTTCGTTTCAAAACTAGACAGAATCATTCCCACAAACTGCGTTGTGATGTGTTCGTTCAACTCACAGAGTTTAACCTTTCTTTTCATAGAGCAGTTAGGAAACACTCTGTTGCTAAATTCTGTAAGTGGATATTCTGACATCTTGTGGCCTTCGTTGGAAACGGGATTTCTTCATATTCTGCTAGACAGAGGAATTCTCAGTAACTTCCTTGTGTTGTGTGTATTCAACTCACAGAGTTGAACGATCCTTTACACAGAGCAGACTTGAAACACTCTTTTTGTGGAATTTGCAAGTGGAGATTTCAGCCGCTTTGAGTTCAATGGTAGAATAGGAAATATCTTCCTATAGAAACTACACAGAATGATTCTCAGAAACTCGTTTGTGATGTGCGCGTTCAACTCACAGAGTTCAACCTTTCTTTTCATAGAGCAGTTGGGAAACACTCTGTTTGTAAAGTCTGCAAGTGGATATTCAGACTTCTTTGAGGCCTTCGTTGGAAGCGGGATTTCTTCATATTCTGCTAGACAGAAGAATTCCCAGTAACTTCCTTGTGTTGTGTGTGTTCAACTCACAGAGTTGAACTTTCATTTACACAGAGCAGATTTGAAACACTCTTTTTGTGGAATTTGCAAGTGGAGATTTCAAGCGCTTTGAGGACAAAGGCAGAAAAGGAAATATCTTCGTATAAAAACTAGACAGAATCATTCTCAGAAACTGCTGCGTGATGTGTGCTTTCAACTCTCAGAGTTTAACTTTTCTTTTCATTCAGCGGTTTGGAAACACTCTGTTTGTAAAGTCTGCACGTGGAAATTTTGACCACTTAGAGGCCTTCGTTGGAAACGGGTTTTTTTCATGTAAGGCTAGACAGAAGAATTCCCAGTAACTTCCTTCTGTTGTGTACATTCAACTCACAGAGTTGAACGTTCCCTTAGACAGAGCAGATTTGAAACACTCTTTTTGTGCAATTGGCAAGTGGTGATTTCAGCCGCTTTGAGGTCAATGGTAGAAAAGGAAATATCTTCGTATAAAAACTAGACAGAATCATTCCCACAAACTGCATTGTGATGTGTTCGTTCAACTCACAGAGTTTAACCTTTCCGTTCATAGAGCAGTCAGGAAACACACTGTTTGTAAAGTCTCTAAGTGGATATTCTGACATCTTGTGGCCTTCGTTGGAAACGGGATTTCTTCATATTCTGCTAGACAGAAGAATTCTCAGTAACTTCCTTGTGTTGTGTGTATTCAACTCACAGAGTTGAACGATCCTTTACACAGAGCAGACTTGAAACACTCTTTTTGTGGAATTTGCAAGTGGAGATTTCAGCAGCTTTGAGGTCAATGGTAGAAAAGGAAATATCTTCGTATAAAGACTAGACAGAATGATTCTCAGAAACTCCTTTGTGATGTGTGTGTTCAACTCACAGAGTTTAACTTTTCTTTTCATAGAGCAGTTAGGAAACACTCTGTTTGTAAAGTCTGCAAGTGGATATTCAGACCTCTTTGAGGCCTTCGTTGGAAACGGGATTTCTTCATATTATGCTAGACAGAAGAATTCTCAGTAACTTCCTTGTGTTGTGTGTATTCAACTGACAGAGTTGAACTTTCATTTAGAGAGAGCAGATTTGAAACACTGTTTTTGTGGAGTTTGCAAGTGGAGATTTCAAGCGCTTTTGGGCCAAAGGCAGAAAAGGAAATATCTTCGTATAAAAACTAGACAGAATCATTCTCAGAAACTGCTGCGTGATGTGTGCGTTCAACTCTCAGAGTTTAACTTTTCTTTTCATTCAGCAGTTTGGAAACACTCTGTTTGTAAAGTCTGCACGTGGAAATTTTGACCACTTAGAGGCCTTCGTTGGAAACGGGTTTTTTTCATGTAAGGCTAGACAGAAGAATTCCCAGTAACTTCCTTGTGTTGTGTGCATTCAACTCACAGAGTTGAACGTTCCCTTAGACAGAGCAGATTTGAAACACTCTATTTGTGCAATTTGCAAGTGTAGTTTTCAAGCTCTTTAAGGTCAACGGCAGAAAAGGAAATATCTTCGTTTCAAAACTAGACAGAATCATTCCCACAAACTGCGTTGTGAAGTGCTCGTTCAACTCACAGATTTTAAACTTTCTGTTCATAGAGCAGTTAGGAAACACTCTGTTTGTAAAGTCTGTAAGTGGATATTCTGACATCTTGTGGCCTTCGTTGGAAACGGAATTTCTTCATATTCTGCTAGACAGAAGAATTCTCAGTAACTTCCTTGTGTTGTGTGTATTCAACTCACAGAGTTGAACGATCCTTTACACAGAGGAGACTTGAAACACTCCTTTTGTGGAATTTGCAAGTGGAGATTTCAGCCGCTTTGAGGTCAATGGTAGAATAGGAAATATCTTCCTATAGAAACTAGACAGAATGATTCTGAGAAATCCTTTGTGATGTGTGCGTTCAACTCACAGAGTTTAACCTTTCTTTTCATAGAGCAGTTAGGAAACACTCTGTTTGTAAAGTCTGCAAGTGGATATTCAGACCTCCTTGAGGCCTTCGTTGGAAACGGGATTTCTTCATATTATGCTAGAAAGAAGAATTCCCAGTAACTTCCTTGTGTTGTGTGTGTTCAACTCACAGAGTTGAACTTTCATTTACACAGAGCAGATTGGAAACACTCTTTTTGTGGAATTTGCAAGTGGAGATTTCATGCGCTTTGAGGCCAAAGGCAGAAAAGGAAATATCTTCGTATAAAAACTAGACAGAATCATTCTCAGAAACTGCTCTGCGATGTGTGCGTTCAACTCTCAAGAGTTTAACTTTTCTTTTCATTCAGCAGTTTGGAAACACTCTGTTTGTAAAGTCTGCACGTGGATAACTTGACCACTTAGAGGACTTCGTTGGAAACGGGTTTTTTTCCTGTAAGGCTAGACAGAAGAATTCCCAGTAACTTCCTTGTGTTGTGTACATTCAACTCACAGAGTTGAACGTTCCCTTAGACAGAGCAGATTTGAAACACTCTTTTTGTGCAATTGGCAAATGGAGATTTCAAGCGCTTTAAGGTCAATGGCAGGAAAGGAAATATCTTCGTTTCAAAACTAGACAGAATAATTCCCACAAACTGCGTTGTGATGTGTTCGTTCAACTCACAGAGTTTAACCTTTCTTTTCATAGAGCACTTAGGAAACAGTCTGTTTGTAAATTCTGTAAGTGGATATTCTGACATCTTGTGGCCTTCGTTGGAAACGGGATTTCTTCATATTCTGCTAGACAGAAGAATTCTCAGAAACTTCCTTGTGTTGTGTGTTTTCAACTCACAGAGTTGAACGATGCTTTACACAGAGTAGACTTGAAACACTCTTTTTGTGTAATTTGCAAGTGGAGATTTCAGCCGCCTTGAGGTCAATGGTAGAAAAGGAAATATCTTCGTATAAAAACTAGACAGAAATGATTCTCAGAAACTCCTTTGAGATGTGTGTGTTCAACTCACAGAGTTTAACCTTTCTTTTCATAGAGCAGTTAGGAATCACTCTGTTTGTAAAGTCTGCAGGTGGATATTCAGACCTCTTTGAGGCCTTCGTTGGAAACGGGTTTTTTTCATATAAGGCTAGAGAGAAGAATTCTCAGTAACTTCCTTGTGTTGTGTGTATTCAACTGACAGAATTGAACTTTCATTTAGAGAGAGCAGATTTGAAACACTGTTTTTGTGGAATTTGCAATTGGAGATTTCAAGCGCTTTGGGGCCAAAGGCAGAAAAGGAAATATCTTCGTATAAAAAGTAGACAGAATCATTCTCAGAAACTGCTGCGTGATGTGTGCGTTCAACTCTCAGAGTTTAACTTTTCTTTCCATTCAGCGGTTTGGAAACACTCTGTTTGTAAAGTCTGCACGTGGATATTTTGACCACTTAGAGGCCTTCGTTGGAAACGGGTTTTTTTCATGTAAGGCTAGACAGAAGAATTCCCAGTAACTTCCTTGTGTTGTGTACATTCCACT
The DNA here is from genome assembly GCF_000001405.40 of Homo sapiens. Classification (NCBI taxonomy): domain Eukaryota; kingdom Metazoa; phylum Chordata; class Mammalia; order Primates; family Hominidae; genus Homo; species Homo sapiens. The sequence goes on from NC_000005.10 coordinate 48,527,655, forward strand.
CACAGAGTTGAACGTTCCCTTAGACAGAGCAGATTTGAAACACTCTTTTTGTGCAATTGGCAAGTGGAGATTTCAAGCGCTTTAAGGTCAATGGCAGAAAAGGAAATATCTTCGTTTCAAAACTAGACAGAATCATTCCCACAAACTGCGTTGTGATGTGTTCGTTCAACTCACAGAGTTTAACCTTTCTGTTCATAGAGCTGTTAGGAAACACTCTGTTTGTAAAGTCTGTAAGTGGATATTCTGACATCTTGTGGCCTTCGTTGGAAACGGGATTTCTTCATATTCTGCTAGACAGAATAATTCTCAGTAACTTCCTTGTGTTGTGTGTATTCAACTCACAGAGTTGAAGGATCCTTTACAGAGAGCAGGCTTGAAACACTCTTTTTGTCGAATTTGCAAGTGGAGATTTCAGCCGCTTTGAGGTCAATGGTAGAATAGGAAATATCTTCTTATACAAACTAGACAGAATGATTCTCAGAAACTCCTTTGTGATGTGTGTGTTCAACTCACAGAGTTTAACCTTTCTTTTCATAGAGCAGTTAGGAAACACTCTGTTTCTAAAGTCTGCAAGTGGATATTCAGACCTCTTTGAGGCCTTCGTTGGAAACGGGTTTTTTTCATATAAGGCTAGACAGAAGAATTCCCAGTAACTTCCATGTGTTGTGTGTGTTCAACTCACAGAGTTGAACTTTCATTTACACAGAGTAGATTTGAAACACTCTTTTTGTGGAATTTGCAAATGGAGATTTCAAACTCTTTGAGGCCAAAGGCAGAAAAGGAAATATCTTCGTATAAAAACTAGACAGAATCATTCTCAGAAACTGCTCTGCGATGTGTGCGTTCAACTCTCAGAGTTTAACTTTTCTTTTCATTCAGCAGTTTGGAAACACTCTGGTTGTAAAGTCTGCACGTGGATATTTTGACCACTTAGAGGCCTTCGTTGGAAACGGGTTTTTTTCCTGTAAGGCTAGACAGAAGAATTCCCAGTAACTTCCTTGTGTTGTGTGCATTCAACTCACAGAGTTGAACATTCCCTTAGACAGAGCAGATTTGAAACACTCTATTTGTGCAATTTGCAAGTGTAGATTTCAAGCGCTTTAAGGTCAATGGCAGAAAAGGAAATATCTTCGTTTCAAAACTAGACAGAATCATTCCCACAAACTGCGTTGTGATGTGTTCGTTCAAGTCACAGAGTTTAACTTTTCTGTTCATAGAGCAGTTAGAAAACACTCTGTTTGTAAAGTCTGCAAGTGGATATTCAGACCTCCTTGAGGCCTTCGTTGGAAACGGGATTTCTTCATATTCTGCTAGACAGAAAGAATTCTCAGTAACTTCCTTGTGTTGTGTGTATTCAACTCACAGAGTTGAACGATCCTTTACACAGAGCAGACTTGTAACACTCTTTTTGTGGAATTTGCAAGTGGAGATTTCAGCCGCTTTGAAGTCAAAGGTAGAAAAGGAAATATCTTCCTATAAAAACTAGACAGAATGATTCTCAGAAACTCCTTTGTGATGTGTGCGTTCAACTCACAGAGTTTAACCTTTCTTTTCATAGAGCAGTTAGGAAACACTCTGCTTGTAAAGTCTGCAAGTGGATATTCAGCCCTCTTTGAGGCCTTCGTTGGAAACGGGTTTTTTTTATATAAGGCTAGACAGAAGAATTCTCAGTAACTTCCTTGTGTTGTGTTTATTCAACTCACAGAGTTGAATGATCCTTTACACAGAGCAGAATTGAAACACTCTTTTTGTGGAATTTGCAAGTGGAGATTTCAGCCGCTTTGAGGTCAACGGTAGAAAAGTAAATATCTTCGTATAAAGACTAGACAGAATCATTCTCAGAAACTGCTCTGCGATGTGTGCGTTCAACTCTCAGAGTTTAACTTTTCTTTTCATTCAGCAGTTTGGAAACACTCTGTTTGTAAAGTCTGCACGTGGATAATTTGACCACTTAGAGGCCTTCATTGGAAACGGGTTTTTTTCCTGTAAGGTTAGACAGAAGAATTCCCAGTAACTTCCTTGTGTTGTGTACATTCAACTCACAGAGTTGAACGTTCCCTTAGACAGAGCAGATTTGAAACACTCTTTTTGTGCAATTGGCAAGGGGAGATTTCAAGCGCTTTAAGGTCAATGGCAGAAAAGGAAATATCTTCGTTTCAAAACTAGACAGAATCATTCCCAAAAACTGCGTTGTGATGTGTTCGTTCAACTCACAGAGTTTAACCTTTCTTATCATAGAGCAGTTGGGAAACAGTCTGTTTGTAAATTCTGTAAGTGGATATTCTGACATCTTGTGGTCTTCGTTGGAAACGGGATTTCTTCATATTCTGCTAGACAGAATAATTCTCAGTAACTTCCTTGTGTTGTGTGTATTCAACTCACAGAGTTGAACGATCCTTTACAGAGATCAGGATTGAAACACTCTTTTTGTCGAATTTGCAAGTGGAGATTTCAGCCGCTTTGAGGTCAATGGTAGAATAGGAAATATCTTCTTATAGAAACTAGACAGAATGATTCTCAGAAACTCTTTTGTGATGTGGGTGTTCAACTCACAGAGTTTAACTTTCTTTTCATAGAGCAGTTAGGAAACACTCTGTTTATAAAGTCTGCAAGTGGATATTTTCACCTCTTTGAGGCCTTCGTTGGAAACGGGTTTTTTTTCATGTAAGGCTAGACAGAAGCATTCTCAGAAACTGCTCTGCGATGTGTGCGTTCAACTCTCAGAGTTTAACTTTTCTTTTCATTCAGCAGTTTGGAAACACTCTGTTTGTAAAGTCTGCACGTGGATATTTTGACCACTTAGAGGCCTTCGTTGGAAACGGGTTTTTTTCCTGTAAGGCTAGACAGAAGAATTCCCAGTAACTTCCTTGTGTTGGGTGCATTCAACTCACAGAGTTGAACGTTCCTTAGACACAGCAGATTTGAAACACTCTATTTGTGCAATTTGCAAGAGTAGATTCCAAGCGCTTTAAGGTCAATGGCAGAAAAGGAAATATCTTCGTTTCAAAACTAGACAGAATCATTCCCACAAACTGCGTTGTGATGTGTTCGTTCAACTCACAGAGTTTAACCTTTCTTTTCATAGACCAGTTAGGAAACAGTCTGTTTGTAAATTCTGTAAGTGGATATTCTGACATATTGTGGCCTTCGTTGGAAACGGGATTTCTTCATATTCTGCTAGACAGAAGAATTCTCAGTAACTTCCTTGTGTTGTGTGTATTCAACTCACAGAGTTGAACGATCCTTTACACAGAGCAGACTTGAAACACTCTTTTTGCGGAATTTGCAAGTGGAGATTTCAGCCGCTTTGAGGTCAATGGTAGAATAGGAAATATCTTCCTATAGAAACTAGACAGAATGATTCTCAGAAACTCCTTTGTGATGTGTGGGTTCAACTCACAGAGTTTAACCTTTCTTTTCATAGAGCAGTTAGGAAACACTCTGTTTGTAAAGTCTGCAAGTGGATATTCAGACCTCTTTGAGGCCTTCGTTGGAAACGGGATTTTTTCATATAAGGCTAGACAGAAGAATTCCCAGTAACTTCCTTGTGTTGTGTGTGTTCAACTCACAGAATTGAACTTTCATTTACACAGAGCAGATTTGAAACACTCTTTTTGTGGAATTTGCAAATGGAGATTTCAAGCGCTTTGAGGCCAAAGGCAGAAAAGGAAATGTCTTCGTTTCAAAACTAGACAGAATGATTCTCAGAAACTGCTCTGCGATGAGTGCGTTCAACTCTCAGAGTTTAACTTTTCTTTTCATTCAGCAGTTTGGAAACACTCTGTTTGTAAAGTCTGCACGTGGATATTTTGACCACTTAGAGGCCTTCGTCGGAAACGGGTTTTTTTCATGTAAGGCTATAGAGAAGAATTCCCAGTAACTTCCTTGTGTTGTGTACATTCAACTCACAGAGTTGAACGTTCCCTTAGACAGAGCAGATTTGAAACACTCTTTTTGTGCAATTGGCAAGTGGTGATTTCAACCGCTTTGAGGTCAATGGTAGAAAAGGAAATATCTTCGTATAAAAACTAGACAGAATCATTCCCACAAACTGCGTTGTGATGGTTCGTTCAACTCACAGAGTTTAACCTTTCTTTTCATAGAGCAGTTAGGAAACAGTCTGTTTGTCAATTCTGTAAGTGGATATTCTGACATCTTGTGGCCTTCGTTGGAAACGGGATTTCTTCATATTTTCCTAGACAGAGTAATTCTCAGTAACTTCCGTGTGTTGAGTGTATTCAACTCAGAGAGTTGAACGATCCTTTACAGAGAGCAGACTTGAAACACTCTTTTTGTGGAATTTGCAAGTGGAGATTTCATCCGCTTTGAGGTCAATGGTAGAAAAGGAAATATCTTCGTATAAAGACTAGACAGAATGATTCTCAGAAACTTCTTTGTGATGTGTGCGTTCAACTCACAGAGTTTAACCTTTCTTTTCATAGAGCAGTTAGGAAACACTCTGTTTGTAAACTCTGCAAGTGGATATTCAAACCTCTTTGAGGCCTTCGTTGGAAACGGGATTTCTTCATACTGTGCTAGACAGAAGAATTCTCAGTAACTTCCTTGTGTTGTGTGTATTCAACTGACAGAGTTGAACTTTCATTTAGAGAGAGTAGTTTTGAAACACTGTTTTTGTGGAATTTGCAAGTGGAGATTTCAAGCGCTTTGGGGCCAAAGGCAGAAAAGGAAATATCTTCGTATAAAAACTAGACAGAATCATTCTCAGAAACTGCTGCGTGATGTGTGCGTTCAACACTCAGAGTTTAACTTTTCTTTTCATTCAGCGGTTTGGAAACACTCTGTTTGTAAAGTCTGAACGTGCATATTTTGACCACTTAGAGGCCTTCGTTGGAAACGGGTTTTTTTCATGTAAGGCTAGACAGAAGAATTCTCAGTAACTTCCTTGTGTTGTGTTTATTCAACTCACAGAGTTGAATGATCCTTTACACAGAGCAGATTTGAAACACTCTATTTGTGCAATTTGCAAGTGTAGATTTCAAGCGCTTTAAGGTCAACGGCAGAAAAGGAAATATCTTCGTTTCAAAACTAGACAGAATCATTCCCACAAACTACGTTGTGATGTGTTCGTTCAACTCACAGAGTTTAACCTTTCTTTTCATAGAGCAGTTAGGAAACAGTCTGTTTGTCAATTCTGTAAGTGGATATTCTGACATCTTGTGGCCTTCGTTGGAAACGGGATTTCTTCATATTCTGCTAGACAGAAGAATTCTCAGTAACTTCCTTGTGTTGTGTGTATTCCACTCACAGAGTTGAACGATCCTTTACACAGAGCAGACTTGTAACACTCTTTTTGTGGAATTTTCAAGTGGAGATTTCAGCCGCTTTGAAGTCAAAGTTAGAAAAGGAAATATCCTCCTATAAAAACTAGACAGAATGATTCTCAGAAACTCCTTTGTGATGTGTGTGTTCAACTCACAGAGTTTAACGTTTCTTTTCATAGAGCAGTTAGTAAACACTCTGTTTATGAAGTCTGCAAGTGGATATTCAGACCTCTTTGAGGTCTTCGTTGGAAACGGGATTTCTTCATATTATGCTAGACAGAAGAATTCTCAGAAACTTCCTTGTGTTGTGTGTTTTCAACTCACAGAGTACAACGATCCTTTACACAGAGTAGACTTGAAACACTCTTTTTGTGGAATTGGCAAGTGGAGATTTCAGCCGCTTTGAGGTCAATGGTAGAAAAGGCAATATCTTCGTATAAAAACTAGACAGAATCATTCTCAGAAACTGCTCTGCGATGTGTGCGTTCAACTCTCAGTGTTTAACTTTTCTTTTCATTCAGCAGTTTGGAAACACTCTGTTTGTAAAGTCTGCACGTGGATATTTTGACCACTTAGAGGCCTTCGTTGGAAACGGGTTTTTTTCCTGTAAGGCTAGACAGAAGAATTCCCAGTAACTTCCTTGTGTTGTGAGCATTCAACTCACAGAGTTGAACGTTCCCTTAGACCGAGCAGATTTGAAACACTCTATTTGTGCAATTTGCAAGTGTAGTTTTCAAGCTCTTTAAGGTCAACGGCAGAAAAGGAAATATCTTCGTTTCAAAACTAGACAGAATGATTCTCAGAAACTCCTTTGTGATGTGTGCGTTCAACTCACAGAGTTTAACCTTTCTTTTCATAGAGCAGTTAGGAAACAGTCTGTTTGTCAATTCTGTAAGTGGATATTCTGACATCTTGTGGCCTTCGTTGGAAACGGGATTTCTTCATATTCTGCTAGACAGAAGAATTCTCAGTAACTTCCTTGTGTTGTGTGTATTCAACTCACAGAGTTGAACGATCCTTTACACAGAGCAGACTTGAAACACTCTTTTTGTGGAATTTGCAAGTGGAGATTTCAGCCGCTTTGAGTTCAATGGTAGAATAGGAAATATCTTCCTATAGAAACTAGAGAGAATGATTCTCAGAAACTCCTTTGTGATGTGTGTGTTCAACTCACAGAGTTGAACCTTTCTTTTCATAGAGCAGTAAGTAAACACTCTGTTTATAAAGTCTGCAAGTGGATATTCAGACCCCTTTGAGGCCTTCGTTGGAAACGGGATTTCTTCATATTATGCTAGACAGAAGAATTCTCAGTAACTTCCTTGTGTTGTGTGTATTCAACTGACAGAGTTGAACTTTCATTTAGACAGAGCAGATTTGAAACACTCTTTTTGTGGAATTTGCAAGTGGAGATTTCAAGCGCTTTGAGGCCAAAGTCAGAAAAGGAAATATCTTCGTATAAAAACTAGACAGAATCATTCTCAGAAACTGCTCTGCGATGTGTGCGTTCAACTCTCACAGTTTAACTTTTCTTTTCATTCAGCAGTTTGGAAACACTCTGTTTGTAAAGTCTGCACGTGGATAATTTGACCACTTAGAGGCCTTCTTTGGAAACGGGTTTTTTTCATATAAGGCTAGACAGAAGAATTCCCAGTAACTTCCTTGTGTTGTGTACATTCAACTCACAGAGTTGAACGTTCCCTTAGACAGAGCAGATTTGAAACACTCTTTTTGTGCAATTGGCAAATGGAGATTTCAAGCGCTATAAGTTCAATGGCAGAAAAGGAAATATCTTCGTTTCAAAACTAGACAGAATGATTCTCACAAACTCCTTTGTGATGTGTGCGTTCAACTCACAGAGTTTAACCTTTCTTTTCATAGAGTAGTTAGGAAACACTCTGTTTGTAAAGTCTGCAAGTGGATATTCAGACCTGTTTGAGGCCTTCGTTGGAAACGGGATTTCTTCATACTGTGCTAGACAGAAGAATTCTCAGAAACTTCCTTGTGTTGTGTGTATTCAACTCACAGAGTTGAACGACGCTTTACACAGAGCAGACTTGAAACACTCTTTTTGTGGAATTTGCAAGTGGGGATTTCAGCCGCTTTGAGGTCAATGGTAGAATAGGGAATATCTTCCTATAGAAACTAGACAGAATGATTCTCAGAAACTCCTTTGTGATGTGTGCGTTCAACTCACAGAGTTTAACTTTTCTTTTCATAGAGCAGTTAGGAAACACTCTGTTTGTAAAGTCTGCAAGTGGATATTCAGACCTCTTTGAGGCCTTCGTTGGAAACGGGATTTCTTCATTTTCTGCTAGACAGAAGAATTCTCAGTAACTTCCTTGTGTTGTGTGTATTCAACTGACAGAGTTGAACTTTCATTTAGAGAGAGCAGATTTGAAACACTGTTTTTGTGGAATTTGCCAGTGGAGATTTCAAGCGCTTTGGGGCCAAAGGCAGAAAAGGAAATATCTTCGTATAAAAACTAGACAGAATCATTCTCAGAAACTGCTGCGTGATGTGTGCGTTCAACTCTCAGAGTTTAACTTTCCTTTTCATTCAGCGGTTTGGAAACACTCTGTTTGTAAAGTCTGCACGTGGATATTTTGACCACTTAGAGGCCTTCGTTGGAAACGGGTTTTTTTCATGTAAGGCTAGACAGAAGAATTCCCAGTAACTTCCTTGTGTTGTGTACATTCAACTCACAGATTTGAACGTTCCCTTAGACAGAGCAGATTTGAAACACTCTTTTTGTGCAATTGGCAAATGGAGATTTCAAGCGCTTTAAGGTCAATGGCAGAAAAGGGAATATCTTCGTTTCAAAACTAGACAGAATGATTGTCATAAACTCCTTTGTGATGTGTGCGTTCAACACACAGAGTTTAACCTTTCTGTTCATAGAGCAGTTAGGAAACATTCTGTTTGTAAAGTCTGTAAGTGGATATTCTGACATCTTGTGGCCTTCGTTGGAAACGGGATTTCTTCATATTCTGTTAGACAGAAGAATTCTCAGAATCTTCCTTCTGTTGTGTGTATTCAACTCAGAGAGTTGAATGATCCTTTACACAGAGCAGACTTGAACCACTCTTTTTGTGGAATTTGCAAGTGGAGATTACAGCCGCTTTGAGGTCCATGGTAGAAAAGGAAATATCTTCGTATAAAAACTAGACAGAATGATTCTCAGAAACTTCTTTGTGATGTGTGCGTTCAACTCACAGAGTTTAACCTTTCTTTTCATAGAGCAGTTGGGAAACACTCTGTTTTTAAAGTCTGCAAGTGGATATTCAGACCTACTTTGAGGCCTTCGTTGGAAACGGGTTTTTTTCATGTAAGGCTAGACAGAAGAATTCCCAGTAACTTCCTTGTGTTGTGTGTGTTCAACTCACAGGAGTTGAACTTTCATTTACACAGAGCAGATTTGAAACACTCTTTTTGTGGAATTTGCAAGTGGAGATTTCAAGCGCTTTGAGGCCAAAGGCAGAAAAGGAAATATCTTCGTTTCAAAACTAGACAGAATGATTCTCAGAAACTGCTCTGCGATGTGTGCGTTCACCTCTCAGAGTTTAACTTTTCTTTTCATTCAGCAGTTTGGAAACACTCTGTTTGTAAAGTCTGCACGTGCATAATTTGACCACTTAGAGGCCTTCGTTGGAAACGGGTTTTTTTCATGTAAGGCTAGACAGAAGAATTCCCAGTAACTTCCTTGTGTTGTGTGCATTCAACTCACAGAGATGAACGTTCCCTTAGACAGAGCAGATTTGAAACACTCTATTTGTGTAATTTGCAAGTGTAGATTTCAAGCGCTTTAAGGTCAATGGCAGAAAAGGATATATCTCCGTTTCAAAACTAGACAGAATCATTCCCACAAACTGCGTTGTGATGTGTTCGTTCAACTCACAGAGTTTAACCTTTCTGTTCTTAGAGCAGTTAGGAAACACTCTGTTTGTAAAGTCTGTAAGTGGATATTCTGACATCTTGTGGCCTTCGTTGGAAACGGGATTTCTTTATATTCTGCTAGACAGAAGAATTCTCAGCAACTTCCTTGTGTTGTGTGTATTCAACTCACAGAGTTGAACGATCCTTTACACAGAGCAGACTTGAAACACTCTTTTTGTGGAATTTGCAAGTGGAGATTTCAGCCGCTTTGAGGTCAATGGTAGAATAGGAAATATCTTCCTATAGAAACTAGACAGAATGATTCTCAGAAACTCCTTTGTGATGTGGGCGTTCGAACTCACAGAGTTTAACCTTTCTTTTCATAGAGCAGTTAGGAAACACTCTGTTTGTAAAGTCTGCAAGTGGATATTCAGACATCTTTGAGGCTTTCGTTGGAAACTGGATTTCTTCATATTCTGCTATACAGAAGAATTCCCAGTAACTTCCTTGTCTTGTGTGTGTTCAACTCCCAGAGTTGAACTTTCATTTACACAGAGCAGATTTGAAACACTCTTTTTGTGGAATTTGCAAGTGGAGATTTCAAGCGCTTTGAGGCCAAAGGCAGAAAAGGAAATATCTTCGTTTCAAAACTAGACAGAATCATTCTCAGAAACTGCTGCGTGATGTGTGCGTTCAACTCTCAGAGTTTAACTTTTCTTTTCATTCAGCGGTTTGGAAACACTCTGTTTTTAAAGTCTGCACGTGGATATTTTGACCACTTAGAGGCCTTCGTTGGAAACGGGTTTTTTTTCATGTAAGGCTAGACAGAAGAATTCTCAGTAACTTCCTTGTGTTGTGTGTATTCAACTCACACAGTTGAACGATCCTTTACACAGAGCAGACTTGTAACACTCTTTTTGTGGGATTTGCAAGTGGAGATTTCAGCCGCTTTGAAGTCAAAGGTAGAAAAGGAAATATCTTCCTATAAAAACTAGACAGAATCATTCCCACAAACTGCGTTGTGATGTGTTCGTTCAACTCACAGAGTTTAACCTTTCTGTTCATAGAGCAGTTAGGAAACACTCTGTTTGTAAAGTCTGCAAGTGGATATTCAGACCTCTTTGAAGCCTTCGATGGAAACGGGATTTCTTCATATTCTGCTAGACAGAAGAATTCTCAGTAACTTCGTGGTGTTGTGTGTTTTCAACTCACAGAGTTGAATGATCCTTTACACAGAACAGTCTTGAAACACTCTTTTTGTGGAATTTGCAAGTGGAGATTTCAGCCGCTTTGAGGTCAATGGTAGAATAGGAAATATCTTCCTATAGAAACTAGACAGAATGATTCTCAGAAACTCCTTTGTGATGTGTGCGTTCAACTCACAGAGTTTAACCTTTCTTTTCATAGAGCAGTTAGGAAACACTCTGTTTGTAAAGTCTGCAAGTGGATATTCAGACCTCTTTGAAGCCTTCGTTGGAAACGGGATTTCTTCATATTCTGCTAGACAGAAGAATTCTCAGTAACTTCCTTGTGTTGTGTGTATTCAACTCACAGAGTTGAACGAACCTTTACACAGAGCAGACTTGAAACACTCTTTTTGTGGAATTTGCAAGTGGAGATTTCAGCCGCTTTGAGGTCAATTGTAGAAAAGGAAATATCTTCGTAGAAAAACTAGACAGAATCATTCTCAGAAACTGCTCTGCGATGTGTGCGTTCAACTCTCAGAGTTTAACTTTTCTTTTCATTCAGCAGTTTGGAAACACTCTGTTTGTAAAGTCTGCACGTGGATAATTTGACCACTTAGAGGACTTCGTTGGAAACGGGTTTTTTTCATGTAAGGCTAGACAGAAGAATTCTCAGTAACTTCCTTGTGTTGTGTGTATTCAACTCACAGAGTTGAACGTTCCCTTAGACAGAGCAGATTTGAAACACTCTTTTTGTGCAATTGGCAAGTGGAGATTTCAAGCGCTTTAAGGTCAATGGCAGAAAAGGAAATATCTTCGTTTCAAAACTAGACAGAATGATTCTCAGAAACTTCTTTGTGATGTGTGCGTTCAACTCACAGAGTTTAACCTTTCTTTTCATAGAGCAGTTAGGAAACACTCTGTTTGAAAACTCTGCAAGTGGATGTTCAGACCTCTTTGAGGCCTTCGTTGGAAACGGGATTTCTTCATACTATGCTAGACAGAAGAATTCTCAGTAACTTCCTTGTGTTGTGTGTATTCAACTCACAGAGTTGAACGATCCTTTACACAGAGCAGACTTGTAACACTCTTTTTGTGGAATTTGCAAGTGGAGATTTCAGCCGCTTTGACGTCAAAGGTAGAAAAGGAAATATCTTCCTATAAAAACTAGACAGAATGATTCTCAGAAACTCCTTTGTGATGTGTGTGTTCAACTCACAGAGTTTAACCTTTCTTTTCATAGAGCAGTTAGTAAACACTCTGTTTATAAAGTCTGCAAGTGGATATTCAGACCCCTTTGAGGCCTTCGTTGGAAACGGGTTTTCTTCATATTCTGCTAGACAGAAGAATTCTCAGTAACTTCCCTTGTGTTGTGTGTATTCAACTCACAGAATTGAATGATCCTTTACACAGAGCGGACTTGAAACACTCTTTTTGTGGAATTTGCAAGTGGAGATTTCAGCCGTTTTGAGTTCAATGGTAGAATAGGAAATATCTTCCTATAGAAACTAGACAGAATCATTCTCAGAAACTGCTCTGCGATGTGTGCGTTCAACTCTCAGAGTTTAACTTTTCTTTTCATTCAGCAGTTTGGAAACACTCTGTTTGTAAAGTCTGCACGTGGATATTTTGACCATTTAGAGGCCTTCGTTGGAAACGGGTTTTTTTCTTGTAAGGCTAGACAGAAGAATTCCCAGTAACTTCCTTGTGTTGTGTACATTCAACTCACAGAGTTGAACGTTCCCTTAGACAGAGCAGATTTGAAACACTCTTTTTGTGCAATTGGCAAGTGGTGATTTCAGCCTCTTTGAGGTCAATGGTAGAAAAGGAAATATCTTCGTATAAAAACTAGACAGAACGATTCTCAGAAACTCCTTTGTGATGTGTGCGTTCAACTCACAGAGTTTAACTTTTCTTCTCATAGAGCAGTTAGGAAACACTCTGTTTGTAAAGTCTGCAAGTGGATATTCAGACCTCTTTGAGGCCTTCGTTGGAAACGGGATTTCTTCATATTTTGCTAGACAGAAGAATTCTCAGTAACTTCCTTGTGTTGTGTGTATTCAACTCACAGAGTTGAACGATCTCTTACACAGAGCAGAGTTGAAACACTCTTTTTCTGGAATTTGCAAGTGGAGATTTCAGCCGCTTTGAGGTCAATGGTAGAATAGGAAATATCTTCCTATAGAAACTAGACAGAATGATTCTCAGAAACTCCTTTGTGATGTGTGCGTTCAACTCACAGAGTTTAACCTTTCTTTTCATAGAGCAGTTAGGAAACACTCTGTTTGTAAAGTCTGCAAGTGGATACTCAGACCTCTTTGAGGCCTTCGTTGGAAACGGGTTTTTTTCATATAAGGCTAGACAGAAGAATTCCCAGTAACTTCCTTGTGTTGTGTGTGTTCAACTCACAGAGTTGAACTTTCATTTACACAGAGCAGATTTGAAACACTCTTTTTGTGGAATTTGCAAATGGAGATTTCAAGCGCTTTGAGGCCAAAGGCAGAAAAGGAAATGTCTTCGTTTCAAAAGTAGACAGAATCATTCTCAGAAACTGCTCTGCATTGTGTGTGTTCAACTCTCAGAGTTTAACTTTTCTTTTCATTCAGCAGTTTGAAAACACTCTGTTTGTAAAGTCTGTACGTGGATAATTTGACCACATAGAGGCCTTCGTTGGAAACGGGTTTTTTTCATGTAAGGCTAGACAGAAGAATTCTCAGTAACTTCCTTGTGTTGTGTGTATTCAACTCACAGAGTTGAACGATCCTTTACACAGAGCAGACTTGTAACACTCTTTTTGTGGAATTTGCAAGTGGAGATTTCAGCCGCTGTGAAGTCAGAGGTAGAAAAGGAAATATCTTCCTATAAAAACTAGACAGAATCATTCCCACAAACTGCGTTGTGATGTGTTCGTTCAACTCACAGAGTTTAACCTTTCCGTTCATAGAGCAGTTAGGAAACACTCTGTTTGTAAAGTCTGTAAGTGGATATTGTGACATCTTGTGGCCTTCGTTGGAAACGGGATTTCTTCATATTCTGCTAGACAGAAGAATTCTCAGTAACTGCCTTGTGTTGTGTGTATTCAACTCACAGAGTTGAACGATCCTTTACACAGAGCAGACTTGAAACACTCCTTTTGTGGAATTTGCAAGTGGAGATTTCAGCCGCTTTGAGGTCAATGGTAGAATAGGAAATATCTTCTTATAGAAACTAGACAGAATGATTCTCAGAAACTCCTTTGTGATGTGTGCATTCAACTCACAGAGTTTAACCTTTCTTTTCATAGAGTAGTTAGGAAACACTCTGTTTGTAAAGTCTGCAAGTGGATATTCAGACCTCCTTGAGGCCTTCGTTGGAAACGGGATTTCTTCATATTATGCTAGACAGAAGAATTCTCAGTAACTTCCTTGTGTTGTGTGTATTCAACTGACAGAGTTGAACTTTCATTTAGACAGAGCAGATCTGAAACACTCTTTTTGTGGAATTTGCAAGTGGAGATTTCAAGCGCTTTGAGGCCAAAGGCCGAAAAGGAAATATCTTCGTATAAAAACTAGACAGAATCATTCTCAGTAACTGCTCTGCGATGTGTGCGTTCAACTCTCAGAGTTTAACTTTTCTTTTCATTCAGCAGTTTGGAAACACTCTGTTTGTAAAGTCTGCACGTGGATATTTTGACCACTTAGAGGCCTTCGTTGGAATCGGGTTTTTTTCCTGTAAGGCTAGACAGAAGAATTCCCAGTAACTTACTTGTGTTGTGTACATTCAACTCACAGAGTTGAACGTTCCCTTAGACAGAGCAGATTTGAAACACTCTTTTTGTGCAATTGGCAAGTGGTGATTTCAGCTGCTTTGAGGTCTATGGTAGAAAAGGGAATATCTTCGTATAAAAACTAGACAGAATGATTCTCAGAAACTCCTTTGTGATGTGTGCGTTCAACTCACACAGTTTAACCTTTCTTTTCATAGAGCAGTTAGAAAACACTCTGTTTGTAAAGTCTGCAAGTGGATATTCAGACCTCCTTGAGGCATTCGTTGGAAACGGGATTTCTTCATATTATGCTAGACAGAAGAATTCTCAGTAACTTCCTTGTGTTGTGTGTATTCAACTCACAGAGTTGAACGATCCTTTACACAGAGCAGACTTGAAACACTCTTTTTGTGGAATTTGCAAGTGGAGATTTCAGCCGCTTTGAGGTCAATGTTAGAATAGGAAATATCTTCCTATAGAAACTAGACAGAGTGATTCTCAGAAACTCCTTTGTGATGTGTGCGTTCAACTCACAGAGTTTAACCTTTCTTTTCATAGAGCAGTTAGGAAACACTCTGTTTGTAAAGTCTGCAAGTGGATATTCAGAGCTCCTTGAGGCCTTCGTTGGAAACGGGATTTCTTCATATTCTGCTATACAGAATAATTCTCAGTAACTTCCTTGTGTTGTGTGTATTCAACTCACAGAGTTGAACAATCCTTTACACAGAGCAGACTTGAAACATTCTTTTTGTGGAATTTGCAAGTGGAGATTTCAGCCGCTTTGAGGTCAATGGTAGAATAGGAAATATCTTCCTATAGAAACTAGACAGAATCATTCTCAGAAACTGCTCTGTGATGTGTGCGTTCAACTCACAGAGTTTAACTTTTCTTTTCATTCAGCAGTTTGGAAGCACTCTGTTTGTATAGTCTGCAAGTGGATATATTGACCACTTTGAGGCCTTCGTTGGAAACGGTTTTTTTTCATGTAAGGCTAGACAGAAGAATTCCCAGTAACTTCCTTGTGTTGTGTACATTCAACTCACAGAGTTGAACGTTCCCTTAGAGAGAGCAGATTTGAAATACTCTTTTTGTGCAATTGGCAAGTGGAGATTTCAAGCGCTTTAAGGTCAATGGCAGAAAAGGAAATATCTTCGTTTCAAAACTAGACAGAATCATTCCCACAAACTGCGTTGTGATGTGTTCGTTCAACTCACAGAGTTTAACCTTTCTTTTCATAGAGCAGTTAGGAAACACTCTGTTGGTAAATTCTGTAAGTGGATATTCTGACATTTTGTGGCCTTCGTTGGAAACGGGATTTCTTCATATTCTGCTAGACAGAAGAATGCTCAGTAACTTCCTTGTGTTGTGTGTATTCAACTCACAGAGTTGAACGATCCTTTACACAGAGCAGACTTGAAACACTCTTTTTGTGGAATTTGCAAGTGGAGATTTCAGCCGCTTTGAGGTCAATGGTAGAAAAGGAAACTATCTTCATATAAAGATTAGACAGAATGATTCTCAGAAACTCCTTTGTGATGTGTGTGTTCAACTCACAGAGTTTAACCTTTCTTTTCATAGAGCAGTTAGGAAACACTCTGTTTGTAAAGTCTGCAAGTGGATATTCTGACCTCTTTGAGGCCTTCGTTGGAAACGGGTTTTTTTCATATAAGGCTAGACAGAAGAATTCTCAGTAACTTCCTTGTGTTGTGTGTATTCAAATGACAGAGTTGAATTTCATTTAGAGAGAGCAGATTTGAAACACTGTTTTTGTGGAATTTGCAAGTGGAGATTTCAAGCGCTTTGGGGCCAAAGGCAGAAAAGGAAATATCTTCGTATAAAAACTAGACAGAATCATTCTCAGAAACTGCTGCGTAATGTGTGCGTTCAACTCTCAGAGTTTAACTTTTCTTTTCATTCAGCGGTTTGGAAACACTCTGTTTGTAAAGTCTGCACGTGGATATTTTGACCACTTAGAGGCCTTCGTTGAAAACGGGATTTTTTCATGTAAGGCTAGACAGAAGAATTCCCAGTAACTTCCTTGTGTTGTGTGCATTCACCTCACAGAGCTGAACGTTCCCTTAGACAGAGCAGATTTGAAACACTCTATTTGTGCAATTTGCAAGTGTAGATTTCAAGCGCTTTAAGGTCAATGGCAGAAAAGGAAATATCTTCGTTTCAAAACTAGACAGAATGATTCTCAGAAACTCCTTTCTGACGTGTGCGTTCAACTCACAGAGTTTAACCTTTCTTTTCATAGAGCAGTTAGGAAACACTCTGTTTGTAAAGTCTGAAAGTGGATATTCAGACCTCTTTGAGGCCTTCGTTGGAAACGGGATTTCTTCATATTATGCCTGACAGAAGAATTCTCAGTAACTTACCTTGTGTTGTGTGTATTCAACTCACAGAGTTGAACGATCCTTTACACAGAGCAGACTTGAAACACTCTTTTTCTGGAATTTGCAAGTGGAGATTTCAGCCGCTTTGAGGTCAATGGTAGAATAGGAAATATCTTCTTATAGAAACTAGACAGAATGATTCTCAGAAACTCCTTTGTGATGTGTGCGTTCAACTCACAGAGTTTAACTTTTCTTTTCATAGAGCAGTTAGGAAACACTCTGTTTGTAAAGTCTGCAAGTGGATATTCAGACCTCTTTGAGGCCTTCTTTGGAAACGGGATTTCTTCATATTATGCTAGACAGAAGAATTCCCAGTAACTTCCTTGTGTTGTGTGTGTTCAACTCACAGAGTTGAACTTTCATTTACACAGAGCAGATTTGAAACACTCTTTTTGTGGAATTTGCAAATGGAGATTTCAGCCGCGTTGAGGTAAATGGTAGAAAAGGAAATATCTTCGTTTCAAAACTAGACAGAATCATTCTCAGAAACTGCTCTGCGATGTGTGCGTTCAACTCTCAGAGTTTAACTTTTCTTTTCATTCAACAGTTTGGAAACACTCTGTTTGTAAAGTCTGCACGTGGATATTTTGACCACTTAGAGGCCTTCGTTGGAAACGGGTTTTTTTCCTGTAAGGCTAGACAGAAGAATTCCCAGTAACTTCCTTGTGTTGTGTGCATTCAACTCAGAGAGTTGAACGTTCCCTTAGACAGAGCAGATTTGAAACACTCTATTTGTGCAATTTGCAAGTGTAGTTTTCAAGCTCTTTAAGGTCAATGGCAGAAAAGGAAATATCTTCGTTTCAAAACTAGACAGAATGATTCTCAGAGACTCCTTTGTGATGTGTGCGTTCAACTCACAGAGTTTAACCTTTCTTTTCATAGAGCAGTTGGGAAACACTCTGTTTGTAAAGTCTGCAAGTGGATATTCAGACATCCTTGAGGCTTTCGTTGGAAACGGGATTTCTTCATATTCTGCTAGAAAGAAAAATTCTCAGTAACTTCCTTGTGTTGTGTGTATTCAACTCACAGAATTGAACGATCCTTTACACAGAGCAGACTTGAAACACTCTTTTTGTGGAATTTGCAAGTGGAGATTTCAGCCGCTTTGAGGTCAATGGTAGAAAAGGAAATATCTTCGTATAAAGACTAGACAGATAGATTCTCAGAAACTCCTTTGTGATGTGTGCGTTCAACTCACAGAGTTTAACCTTTCTTTTCATAGAGCAGTTAGGAAACACTCTGTTTGTAAAGTCTGCAAGTGGATATTCAGCCCTCTTTGAGGCCTTCGTTGGAAACGGGTTTTTTTCATATAAGGCTAGACAGAAGAATTCTCAGTAACTTCTTTCTGTTGTGTGTATTCAACTGACAGAGTTGAACTTTCATTTAGAGAGAGCAGATTTGAAACACTGTTTTTGTGGAATTTGCAAGTGGAGATTATAAGCGCTTTGGGGCCAAAGGCAGAAAAGGAAATATCTTCGTATAAAAACTAGACAGAATCATTCTCAGAAACTGCTCTGTGATGTGTGCGTTCAACTCTCAGAGTTTAACTTTTCTTTTCATTCAGCAGTTTGGAAACCCTCTGTTTGTAAAGTCTGCACGTGGATATTTTGACCACTTAGAGGCCTTCGTTGGAAACGGGTTTCTTTCCTTTAAGGCTAGACAGAAGAATTCTCAGTAACTTCCTTGTGTTGTGTGCATTCAACTCACAGAGTTGAACGTTCCCTTAGACAGAGCAGATTTGAAACAGCCTATTTTTGCAATTTGCAAGTGTAGATTTCAAGCGCTTTAAGGTCAACGGCTGAAAAGGAAATATCTTCCTTTCAAAACTAGACAGAATCATTCCCACAAACTGCGTTGTGATGTGTTCGTTCAACTCACAGAGTTTAAGCTTTCTGTTCATAGAGCAGTTAGGAAACACTCTGTTTGTAAAGTCTGTAAGTGGATATTCTGACATCTTGTGGCCTTCGTTGGAAACGGGATTTCTTCATATTCTGCTAGACAGAAGAATTCTCAGGAACTTCCTTGTGTTGTGTGTTTTCAACTCACAGAGTTGAACGATCCTTTACACAGAGCAGACTTGAAACACTCTTTTGGTGGAATTTGCAAGTGGACATTTCAGCCGCTTTGAGGTCAATGGTAGAAAAGGAAATATCTTCGTATAAAAACTAGACAGAATGATTCTCAGAAACTCCTTTGTGATGTGTGCGTTCAACTCACAGAGTTTAACCTTTCTTTTCATAGAGCAGTTGGGAAACACTCTGTTTGTAAAGTCTGCAAGTGGATATTCAGACTTCTTTGAGGCCTTCGTTGGAAGCGGGGTTTCTTCATATTCTGCTAGACAGAAGAATTCTCAGTAACTTCCTTGTGTTGTGTGTATTCAACTCACAGAATTGAACGATCCTTTACACAGAGCAGACTTGAAACACTCTTTTTGTGGAATTTGCAAGTGGAGATTTCTGCCGCTTTGAGGTCAATGGTAGAAAAGGAAATATCTTCGTATAAAAACTAGACAGAATCATTCTAAGAAACTGCTCTGCGATGGGTGTGTTCAACTCTCAGAGTTTAACTTTTCTTTTCCTTCAGCAGTTTGGAAACACTCTGTTTGTAAAGTCTGCACGTGGATAATTTGACCACTTAGAGGCCTTCGTTGGAAACGGGTTTTTTTCATGTAAGTCTAGACAGAAGAATTCCCAGTAACTTCCTTGTGTTGTGTACATTCAACTCACAGAGTTGAACGTTCCCTTAGACAGAGCAGATTTGAAATACTCTTTTTGTGCAATTGGCAAGTGGAGATTTCAAGCGCTTTAAGGTCAATGGCAGAAAAGGAAATATCTTCGTTTCAAAACTAGACAGAATCATTCCCACAAACTGCGTTGTGATGTGTTCGTTCAACTCACAGAGTTTAACCTTTCTTTTCATAGAGCAGTTAGGAAACACTCTGTTGGTAAATTCTGTAAGTGGATATTCTGACATCTTGTGGCCTTCGTTGGAAACAGGATTTCTTCATATTCTGCTACACAGAAGAATTCTCAGTAACTTCCTTGTGTTGTGTGTATTCAACTCACAGAGTTGAACGATCCTTTACACAGAGCAGACTTGTAACACTCTTTTTGTGGAATTTGCAAGTGGAGATTTCAGCCGCTTTGAAGTCAAAGGTAGAAAAGGAAATATCTTCCTATAAAAAATAGACAGAAATGATTCTCAGAAACTTCTTTGTGATGTGTGCGTTCAACTCACAGAGTTTAACCTTTCTTTTCATAGAGCAGTTAGGAAACACTCTGTTTGTAAACTCTGCAAGTGGATATTCAGACCTCTTTGAGGCCTTCGTTGGAAACGGGATTTCTTCATACTATGCTAGACAGAAGAATTCCCAGTAACTTCCTTGTGTTGTGTGTGTTCAACTCACAGCAGTTGAACTTTCATTTACACAGAGCAGATTTGAAACACTCTTTTTGTGGAATTTGCAAGTGGAGATTTCAAGCGCTGTGAGGCCAAAGGCAGAAAAGGAAATATCTTCGTATAAAAACTAGACAGAATCATTCTCAGAAAGTGCTCTGCGATGTGTGCGTTCAACTCTCAGAGTTTAACTTTGCTTTTCATTCAGCAGTTTGGAAACACTCTGTTTGTAAAGTCTGCACGTGGATAATTTGACCACTTAGAGGCCTTCGTTGGAAACGGGTTTTTTTCATGTAAGGCTAGACAGAAGAATTCCCAGTAACTTCCTTGTGTTGTGTACATTCAACTCACAGAGTTGAACGTTCCCTTAGACAGAGCAGATTTGAAACACTCTTTTTGTGTAATTGGCAAATGGAGATTTCAAGCGCTTTAAGGTCAATGGCAGAAAAGGAAATATCTTCGTTTCAAAACTAGACAGAAGCATTCCCACAAACTGCGTTGTGATGTGTTCGTTCAACTCACAGAGTTTAACCTTTCTTTTCATAGAGCAGTTAGGAAACAGTCTGTTTGTGAATTCTGTAAGTGGATATTCTGACATCTTGTGGCCTTCGTTGGAAACGGGATTTCTTCATATTCTGCTAGACAGAAGAATTCTCAGAATCTTCCTTGTGTTGTGTGTATTCAACTCACAGAGTTGAACGATGGTTTACACAGAGCAGATTTGAAACACTCTTTTTGTGGAATTTTCAAGTGGAGATTTCAGCCGCTTTGAGGTCAATGGTAGAAAAGGAAATATCTTCGTATAAAAACTAGACAGAATGATTCTCAGAAACTTCTTTGTGATGTGTGCGTTCAACTCACAGAGTTTAACCTTTCTTTTCATAGAGCAGTTAGGAAACACTGTGTTTTTAAACTGTCCAAGTGGATATTCAGACCTCTTTGAGGCCTTCGTTGGAAACGGGATTTCTTCATACTGTGCTAGACAGAAGAATTCCCAGTAACTTCCTTGTGTTGTGTGTGTTCAACTCACAGAGTTGAACTTTCATTTACACAGAGCAGATTTGAAACTCTCTTTTTGTGGAATTTGCAAATGGAGATTTCAAGCGCTTTGAGGCCAAAGGCAGAAAAGGAAATGTCTTCGTTTCAAAACTAGACAGAATCATTCTCAGAAACTGCTCTGCGATGTGTGCGTTCAACTCTCAGAGTTTAACTTTTCTTTTCATTCAGCAGTTTGGAAACACTCTGTTTGTAAAGTCTGCACGTGGATAATTTGACCACTTAGAGGCCTTCATTGGAAACGGGTTTTTTTCATGTAAGGCTAGACAGAAGAATTCCCAGTAACTTCCTTGTGTTGTGTGCATTCAACTCACAGAGTTGAACGTTCCCTTAGACAGAGCAGAGTTGAAACACTCTATTTGTGCAATTTGCAAGTGTAGATTTCAAGCGCTTTAAGGTCAATGGCAGAAAAGGAAATATCTTCGTTTCAAAACTAGACAGAATGATTCTCAGAAACTCCTTTGTGATGTGTGCGTTCAACTCACACAGTTCAACCTTTCTTTTCATAGAGCAGTTGGGAAACACTCTGTTTGTAAAGTCTGCAAGTGGATATTCAGACTTCTCTGAGGCCTTCGTTGGAAGCGGGATTTCTTCATGTTCTGCTAGACAGAAGAATTCTCAGTAACTGCCTTGTGTTGTGTGTATTCAACTCACAGAGTTGAACGATCCTTTACACTCAGCAGACTTGAAACACTCTTTTTGTGGAATTTGCAAGTGGAGATTTCAGCCGCTTTGAGGTCAATGGTAGAATAGGAAATATCTTCCTATAGAAACTAGACAGAATGATTCTCATAAACTCCTTTGTGATGTGTGCATTCAACTCACAGAGTTTCACCTTTCTTTTCATAGAGCAGTTAGGAAACACTCTGTTTGTAAAGTCTGCAAGTGGATATTCAGACCTCCTTGAGGTCTTCGTTGGAAACGGGATTTCTTCATATTCTGCTAGATAGAAGAATTCTCAGTAACTTCCTTCTGTTGTGTGTATTCAACTCACAGAGTTGAACGATCCTTTACACAGAGCAGACTTGAAACACTCTTTTTGTGGAATTTGCAAGTGGAGATTTCAGCCGCTTTGAGGTCAATGGTAGAAAAGGAAACTATCTTCGTATAAAGACTAGACAGAATCATTCTCAGAAACTGCTGCGTGATGTGTGCGTTCAACTCTCAGAGTTTAACTTTTCTTTTCATTCAGCGGTTTGGAAACACTCTGTTTGTAAAGTTTGCACGTGGATATTTTGACCACTTAGAGGCCTTCGTTGGAAACGGGTTTTTTTCATGTAAGGCTAGACAGAAGAATTCCCAGTAACTTCCTTGTGTTGTGTGCATTCAACTCACAGAGTTGAACGTTCCCTTAGACAGAGCAGATTTGAAACAGCCTATTTGTGCAATTGCAAGTGTAGATTTCAAGCTCTTTAAGGTCAACGGCAGAAAAGGAAATATCTTCGTTTCAAAACTAGACAGAATCATTCCCACAAACTGCGTTGTGATGTGTTCGTTCAACTCACAGAGTTTAACCTTTGTTTTCATAGAGCAGTTAGGAAACAGTCTGTTTGTCAATTCTGTAAGTGGATATTCTGACATCTTGTGGCCTTCGTTGGAAACGGGATTTCTTCATATTCTGCTAGACAGAAGAATTCTCAGTAACTTCCTTGTGTTGTGTGTATTCAACTCACAGAGTTGAACGATCCTTTACACAGAGCAGACTTGAAACACTCTTTTTGTGAAATTTGCAAGTGGAGATTTCAGCCGCTTTGAGGTCAATAGTAGAAAAGGAAATATCTTCGTAGAAAAACTAGACAGAATGATTCTCAGAAACTCCTTTGTGATGTGGTGTTCAACTCACAGAGTTTAACCTTTCTTTTCATAGAGCAGTTAGTAAACACTCTGTTTATAAAGTCTGCAAGTGGATATTCAGACCCCTTTGAGGCCTTCGTTGGAAACGGGATTTCTTCATATTATGCTAGACAGAAGAATTCCCAGTAACTTCCTTGTGTTGTGTGTGTTCAACTCACAGAGTTGAACTTTCATTTACACAGAGCAGATTTGAAGCACTCTTTTTGTGGAATTTGCAGGTGGAGATTTCAAGCGCTTTGAGGCCAAAGGCAGAAAAGGAAATATCTTCGTATAAAAACTAGACAGAATCATTCTCAGAAACTGCTCTGCGATGTGTGCGTTCAAGTCTCAGAGTTTAACTTTTCTTTTCATTCAGCAGTTTGGAAACACTCTGTTTGTAAAGTCTGCACGTGGATAATTTGACCACTTAGAGGCCTTCGTTGGAAACGGGTTTTTTTCATGTAAGGCTAGACAGAAGAATTCTCAGTAACTTCCTTGTGTTGTGTGTATTCAACTCACACAGTTGAACGATCCTTTACACAGAGCAGACTTGTAACACTCTTTTTGTGGAATTTGCAAGTGGAGATTTCAGCCGCTTTGAAGTCAAAGTAGAAAGGGAAATATCTTCCTATAAAAACTAGACAGAATCATTCCCACAAACTGCGTTGGGATGTGTTCGTTCAACTCACAGAGTTTAACCTTTCTTTTCATAGAGCAGTTAGGAAACAGTCTGTTTGTCAATTCTGTAAGTGGATATTCTGACATCTTGTGGCCTTCGTTGGAAACGGGATTTCTTCATATTCTGCTAGACAGAAGAATTCTCAGTAACTTCCTTGTGTTGTGTGTATTCACTCACAGAGTTGAACGATCCTTTACACAGAGCAGACTTGTAACACTCTTTTTGTGGAATTTGCAAGTGGAGATTTCAGCCGCTTTGAAGTCAAAGGTAGAAAAGGAAATATCTTCCTATAAAAACTAGACAGAATGATTCTCAGAAACTCCTTTGTGATGTGTGCGTTCAACTCAAAGAGTTTAACTTTTCTTTTCATAGAGCAGTTAGGAAACACTCTGTTTGTATAGTCTGCAAGTGGATATTCAGACCTATTTGAGGCCTTCGTTGGAAACGGGATTTCTTCATATTATGCTAGACAGAAGAATTCCCAGTATCTTCCTTGTGTTGTGTGTGTTCAACTCACAGAGTTGAACTTTCATTTACACAGAGCAGATTTGAAACACTCTTTTTGTGGAATTTGCAAGTGGAGATTTCAAGCGCTGTGAGGCCAAAGGCAGAAAAGGAAATATCTTCGTATAAAAACTAGACAGAATCATTCTCAGAAACTGCTCTGCGATGCGTGCGTTCAACTCTCAGAGTTTAACTTTTGTTTTCATTCAGCAGTTTGGAAACACTCTGTTTGTAAAGTCTGCACGTGGATAATTTGACCACTTATAGGCCTTCGTTGGAAACGGGTTTTTTTCCTGTAAGGCTAGACAGAAGAATTCCCAGTAACTTCCTTGTGTTGTGTGCATTCAACTCACACAGATGAACGTTCCCTTAGACAGAGCAGATTTGAAACACTCTATTTGTGCAATTTGCAAGTGTAGATTTCAAGCGCTTTAAGGTCAATGGCAGAAAAGGAAATATCTTCGTTTCAAAACTAGACAGAATCATTCCCACAAACTGCGTTGTGATGTGTTCGTTCAACTCACAGAGATTAACCTTTCTGTTCATAGAGCAGTTAGGAAACACTCTGTTTGTAAAGTCCGTAAGTGGATATTCTGACATCTTGTGGCCTTGTTTGGAAACCGGACTTCTTCATATACTGCTAGACAGAATAATTCTCAGTAACTTCCTTGTGTTGTGTGTATTCCACTCACAGAGTTGAACGATCCTTTACAGAGAGCAGACTTGAAACACTCTTTTTGTGGAATTTGCAAGTGGAGATTTCAGCCGCTTTGAGGTCAATGGTAGAATAGGGAATATCTTCCTATAGAAACTAGACAGAATGATTCTCAGAAACTCCTTTGTGATGTGTGTGTTCAACTCACAGAGTTTAACCTTTCTTTTCATAGAGCAGTTAGTAAACACTCTGTTTATAAAGTCTGCAAGTGGATATTCAGGCCCCTTTGAGGCCTTCGTTAGAAACGGGATTTCTTCATATTATGCTAGACAGAAGAATTCTCAGTAACTTCCTTCTGTTGTGTGTATTCAAGTGACAGAGTTGAACTTTCATTTAGAGAGAGCAGATTTGAAACACTGTTTTTGTGGAATTTGCAAGTGGAGATTTCAAGCGCTTTGGGGCCAAAGGCAGAAAAGGAAATATCTTCGTATAAAAAGTAGACAGAATCATTCTCAGAAAATGCTCTGTGATGTGTGCGTTGAACTCTCAGAGTTTAACTTTTGTTTTCATTCAGCAGTTTGGAAATACTCTGTTTGTAAATTCTGCACGTGGATATTTTGACCACTTAGAGGCCTTCGTTGGAAACGGGTTTTTTTCATGTAAGGGTAGACAGAAGAATTCCCAGTAACTTCCTTGTGTTGTGTACATTCAACTCACAGAGTTGAACGTTTTCTTAGACAGAGCAGATTTGAAACACTCTTTTTGTGCAATTGGCAAATGGAGATTTCAAGCGCTTTAAGGTCAATGGCAGAAAAGGAAATATCTTCGTTTCAAAACTAGACAGAATCATTCCCACAAACTGCGTTGTGATGTGTTCGTTCAACTCACAGAGTTTTACCTTTCTTTTCATAGAGCAGTTAGGAAACAGTCTGTTTGTCAATTCTGTAAGTGGATATTCTGACATCTTGTGGCCTTCGTTGGAAACGGGATTTCTTCATATTCTGCTAGACAGAAGAATTCTCAGTAACTTCCTTGTGTTGTGTGTATTCAACTCACAGAGTTGAACGATCCTTTACACAGAGCAGACTTGAAACACTCTTTTTGTGGAATTTGCAAGTGGAGATTTCAGCCGCTTTGAGGTCAATGGTAGAAAAGGATATATCTTCGTATAAAGACTAGACAGAATGATTCTCAGAAACTCCTTTGTGTTGTGTGTGTTCAACTCACAGAGTTTAACCTTTCTTTCCATAGAGCAGTTAGGAAACACTCTGTTTGTAAAGTCTGCAAGTGGATATTCAGACCTCCTAGAGGCCTTCGTTGGAAACAGGATTTCTTCATATTATGCTAGACAGAAGAATTCCCAGTAACTTCCTTGTGTTGTGTGTGTTCAACTCACAGAGTTGAACTTTCATTTACACAGAGCAGATTTGAAACACTCTTTTTGTGGAATTTGCAAGTGGAGATTTCATGCGCTTTGAGGCCAAAGGCAAAAAAGGAAATATCTTCGTTTCAAAACTAGACAGAATCATTCTCAGAAACTGCTCTGCGATGTGTGCGTTCAACTCTCAGAGTTTAACTTTTCTTTTCATTCAGCAGTTTGAAAACACTCTGTTTGTAAAGTCTGCACGTGGATATTTTGACCACTTAGAGGCCTTCGTTGGAAACGGGTTTTTTTGCCTGTAAGGCTAGACAGAAGAATTCCCAGTAACTTCCTTGTGTTGTGTACATTCAACTCACAGAGTTGAACGTTCCCTTAGACAGAGCAGATATGAAACACTCTTTTTGTGCAATTGGCAAATGGAGATTTCAAGCGCTTTAAGGTCAATGGCAGAAAAGGAAATATCTTCGTTTCAAAACTAGACCGAGTGATTCTCAGAAACTCCTTTGTGATGTCTGCGTTCAACTCACAGAGTTTAACCTTTCTTTTCATAGAACAGTTAGGAAACACTCTGTTTGTAAAGTCTGCAAGTGGATATTCAGACCTCCTTGAGGCCTTCGTTGGAAACGGTATTTCTTCATATTCTGCTATACAGAAGAATTCTCAGAAACTTCCTTGTGTTGTGTGTATTCAACTCACAGAGTTGAACGATCGTTTACACAGAGCAGACTTGAGACACTCTTTTTGTGGTATTTGTAAGTGGAGATTTCAGCCGCTTTGAGGTCAATGGTAGAAAAGGAAATATCTTCGTATAAAAACTAGACAGAATGATTCTCAGAAACTCCTTTGTGATGTGTGTGTTCAACTCACAGAGTTTAACCTTTCTTTTCATAGAGCAGTTAGGAAACACTCTGTTTGTAAAGTCTGCAAGTGGATATTCAGACCTCTTTGAGGCCTTCGTTGGAAACGGGATTTTTCATATAAGGCTAGACAGAAGAATTCCCAGTAACTTCCCTTGTGTTGTGTGTGTTCAACTCACAGAGTTGAACTTTCATTTACACAGAGCAGATTTGAGACACTCTTTTTGTGGAATTTGCTAATGGAGATTTCAAGCGCTTTGAGGCCAAAGGCAGAAAAGGAAATATCTTCGTATAAAAACTAGACAGAATCATTCTCAGAAACTGCTGCGTGATGTGTGCGTTCAACTCTCAGAGTTTAACTTTTCTTTTCATTCAGCAGTTTGGAAACACTCTGTTTGTAAAGTCTGCACGTGGAAATTTTGACCACTTAGAGGCCTTCGTTGGAAACGGGTTTTTTTCATGTAAGGCTAGACAGAAGAATTCTCAGTAACTTCCTTGTGTTGTGTGTATTCAACTCACAGAGTTGAACGATCCTTTACACAGAGCAGACTTGAAACACTCTATTTGTGCAATTGGCAAGTGTAGATTTCAAGCGCTTTAAGGTCAATGGCAGAAAAGGGAATATCTTCGTTTCAAAACTAGACAGAATCATTCCCACAAACTGCGTTGTGATGTGTTCGTTCAACTCACAGAGTTTAACCTTTCTGTTCATAGAGCAGTTAGGAAACACTCTGTCTGTAAAGTCTGCAAGTGGATATTCAGACCTCCTTGAGGCCTTCGTTGGAAACGGGATTTCTTCATATTCTGCTAGACAGAAGAATTCTCAGTAACTTCCTTGTGTTGTGTGTATTCAACTCACAGACTTGAAGGATCCTTTACAGAGAGGAGGCTTGAAACCCTCTTTTTGTGGAATTTGCAAGTGGAGATTTCAGCCGCTTTGAGGTCAATGGTAGAATAGGAAATATCTTCTTATAGAAACTAGACAAAATGATTCTCATAAACTCCTTTGTGATGTGTGCGTTCAACTCACAGAAGTTTAACCTTTCTGTTCATAGAGCAGTTAGGAAACACTCTGTTTGTAAAGTCTGCAAGTGGATATTCAGACCTCCTTGAGGCCTTCGTTGGAAACGGGATTTCTTCATATTCTGCTAGACAGAAGAATTCCCAGTAACTTCCTTGTGTTGTGTGTGTTCAACTCACAGAGTTGAACTTTCATTTACACAGAGCAGATTTGAAACACTCTTTTTGTGGAATTTGGAAATGGAGATTTCAAGCGCTTTGAGGCCAAAGGCAGAAAAGGAAATATCTTCGTATAAAAACTAGACAGAATCATTCTCAGAAACTGCTGCGTGATGTGTTCGTTCAACTCTCAGAGTTTAACTTTTCTTTTCATTCAGCGGTTTGGAAACACTCTGTTTGTAAAGTCTGCACGTGGATATTTTGACCACTTAGAGGCCTTCGTTGGAAACGGGTTTTTTTCATGTAAGGCTAGACAGAAGAATTCCCAGTAACTTCCTTGTGTTGTGTGTGTTCAACTCACAGAGTTGAACTTTCATTTACACAGAGCAGATTTGAAACACTCTTTTTGTGCAATTGGCAAATGGAGATTTCAAGCGCTTTAAGGTCAATGGCAGAAAAGGAAATATCTTCGTTTCAAAACTAGACAGAATCATTCCCACAAACTGCGTTGTGATGTGTTCGTTCAAATCACAGAGTTTAACCTTTCTGTTCATAGAGCAGTTAGGAAACACTCTGTTTGTAAAGTCTGTAAGTGGATATTCTGACATCTTGTGGCGTTCGTTGGAAACGGGATTTCTTCATCTTCTGCTAGAGAGAAGAATTCTCAGTAACTTCCTTGTGTTGTGTGTATTCAACTCACAGAGTTGAACGTTCCTTTACACAGAGCAGACTTGAAACACTCGTTTTGTGGAATTTGCAAGTGGAGATTTCAGCCGCTTTGAGGTCAATGGTAGAAAAGGAAATATCTTCGTATAAAAACTAGACAGAATGATTCTCAGAAACTCCTTTGTGATGTGTGCGTTCAAATCACAGAGTTTAACCTTTCTTTTCATAGAGCAGTTAGGAAACACTCTGTTTGTAAAGTCTGCAAGTGGATATTCAGACCTCCTTGAGGCCTTCGTTGGAAACGGGATTTCTACATATTATGCTAGACAGAAGAATTCCCAGTAACTTCCCTTGTGTTGTGTGTGTTCAACTCACAGAGTTGAACTTTCATTTACACAGAGCAGATTTGAAACACTCTTTTTGTGGAATTTGCAAATGGAGATTTCAAGCGCTTTGAGGCCAAAGGCAGAAAAGGAAATGTCTTCGTTTCAAAACTAGACAGAATCATTCTCAGAAACTGCTCTGCGATGTGTGCGTTCAACTCTCAGAGTTTAACTTTTCTTTTCATTCAGCAGTTTGGAAACACTCTGGTTGTAAAGTCTGCACTTGGATAACTTGACCACTTAGAGGACTTCGTTGGAAACGGGTTTTTTTACCTGTAAGGCTAGACAGAAGAATTCTCAGTAACTTCCTTTTGTTGTGTGTATTCAACTCACAGAGTTGAACGATCCTTTACACAGAGCAGACTTGAAACACTCTTTTTGTGGAATTTGCAAGTGGAGATTTCAGCCGCTTTGAGGTCAATGGTAGAATAGGAAATATCTTCCTATAGAAACTAGACAGAATGATTCTGAGAAACTCCTTTGTGATGTGTGCGTTCAACTCACAGAGTTTAACCTTTCTTTTCATAGAGCAGTTAGGAAACACTCTGTTTGTAAAGTCTGCAAGTGGATATTCAGACATCTTTGAGGCCTTCGTTGGAAACGGGATTTCTTCATGTTCTGCTAGACAAAAGAATTCTCAGTAACTTCCTAGTGTTGTGTGTATTCAACTCACAGAGTTGAACGATCCTTTACACAGAGCGGACTTGAAACACTCTTTTTGTGGAATTTGCAAGTGGAGATTTCAGCCGCGTTGAGGTCAATGGTAGAAAAGGAAATATCTTCGTATAAAAACTAGACAGAATGATTCTCAGAAACTCCTTTGTGATGTGTGCGTTCAACTCACAGAGTTTAACCTTTCTTTTAATAGAGCAGTTAGGAAACACTCTGCTTGTAAAGTCTGCAAGTGGATATTCAGCCCTCTTTGAGGCCTTCGTTGGAAACGGGTTTTTTTCATATAAGGCTAGACAGAAGAATTCTCAGTAACTTCCTTGTGTTGTGTGTGTTCAACACACAGAGTTGAACTTTCATTTACCCAGAGCAGATTTGAAACACTCTTTTTGTGGAATTTGCAAGTGGAGATTTCAAGCGCTTTGAGGCCAAAGGCAGAAAAGGAAATATCTTCGTTTCAAAACTAGACAGAATCATTCTCAGAAACTGCTATGCGATGTGTGCGTTCAACTCTCAGAGTTTAACTTTTCTTTTCATTCAGCAGTTTGGAAACACTCTGTTTGTAAAGTCTGCACGTGGATATTTGACCACTTAGAGGCCTTCGTTGGAAACGGGTTTTTTTCCTGTAAGGCTAGACAGAAGAATTCTCAGTAACTTTCCTTGTGTTGTGTGTATTCAACTCACAGAGTTGAACGATCCTTTACACAGAGCAGACTTGTAACACTCTTTTTGTGGAATTTGCAAGTGGAGATTTCAGCCGCTTTGAAGTCAAAGGTAGAAAAGGGAATATCTTCCTATAAAAACTAGACAGAATTATTCTCAGAAACTCCTTTGTGATGTGTGTGTTCAACTCACAGAGTTTAACCTTTCTTTTCATAGAGCAGTTAGTAAACACTCTGTTTATAAAGTCTGCAAGTGGATATTCAGACCCCTTTGAGGCCTTCGTTGGAAAAGGGATTTCTTCATATTATGCTAGACAGAAGAATTCTCAGTAACTTCCTTGTGTTGTGTGTATTCAACTCACAGAGTTGAACGATCCTTTACAGAGAGTAGACTTGAAACACTCTTTTTTTGGAATTTGCAAGTGGAGATTTCAGCCGCTTTGAGGTCAATGGTAGAATAGGAAATATCTTCCTATAGAAACTAGACAGAATGATTCTCATAAACTCCTTTGTGATGTGTGCGTTCAACTCACAGAGTTTAACCTTTCTTTTCATAGAGCAGTTAGGAAACACTCTGTTTGTAAAGTCTGCAAGTGGATATTCAGACCTTTTTGAGGCCTTCGTTGGAAACGGGATTTCTTCATATTCTGCTAGACAGAAGAATTCTCAGTAACTTCCTTGTGTTGTGTGTATTCAACTGACAGAGTTGAACTATCATTTAGAGAGAGCAGATTTCAAACACTGTTTTTGTGGAATTTGCAAGTGGAGATTTCAAGCGCTTTGGGGCCAAAGGCAGAAAAGGAAATATCTTCGTATAAAAACTAGACAGAATCATTCTCAGAATCTGCTGCGTGATGTGTGCGTTCAACTCTCAGAGTTTAACTTTTCTTTTCATTCAGCGGTTTGGAAACACTCTGTTTGTAAAGTCTGCACGTGGATATTTTGACCACTTAGAGGCCTTCGTTGGAAACGGGTTTTTTTCATGTAAGGCTAGACAGAAGAATTCCCAGTCACTTCCTTGTGTTGTGTGCATTCAACTCACAGAGTTGAACGTTCCCTTCAGACAGAGCAGATTTGAAACACTCTATTTGTGCAATTTGCAAGTGTAGATTTCAAGCGCTTTAAGGTCAACGGCAGAAAAGGAAATATCTTCGTTTCAAAACTAGACAGAATGATTCTCAGAAACTCCTTTGTGATGTGTGCGTTCAACTCACAGAGTTTAACCTTTCTTTTTATAGAGCAGTTAGGAAACACTCTCTAAAGTCTGCAAGTGGATATTCAGACCTCTTTGAGGCCTTCGTTGGAAACGGGATTTCTTCATATTATGCTAGACAGAATAATTCTCAGTAACTTCCTTGTGTTGTGTGTATTCAACTCACAGAGTTGAACGATCCTTTACAGAGTGCAGACTTGAAACACTCTTTTTGTGGAATTTGCAAGTGGAGATTTCAGCCGCTTTGAGGTCAATGATAGAATAGGAAATATCTTCCTATAGAAACTAGACAGAATGATTCTCAGAAACTCCTTTGTGATGTGTGCATTCAACTCACAGAGTTTAACCTTTCTTTTCATAGAGCAGTTAGGAAACACTCTGTTTGTAAAGTCTGCAAGTGGATATTCAGACCTCTTTGAGGCCTTCGTTGGAAACGGGATTTCTTCATATTCTGCTAGAGAGAAGAATTCTCAGTAACTTCCTTGTGTTGTGTGTATTCAACTCAAAGAGTTCAACGATCCTTTATACAGAGCAGACTTGAAACACTCTTTTTGTGGAATTTGCAAGCGGAGATTTCAGCCGCTTTGAGGTCAATTGTAGAAAAGGAAATATCTTCGTATAAAAACTAGACAGAATCATTCTCAGAAACTGCTCTGCGATGTGTGCGTTCAACTCTCAGAGTTTAACATTTCTTTTCATTCAGCAGTTTGGAAACACTCTGTTTGTAAAGTCTGCACGTGGATAATTTGACCACTTAGAGGCCTTCGTTGGAAACGGGTTTTTTTCATGTAAGGCTAGACAGAAGAATTCCCAGTAACTTCCTTGTGTTGTGTGCATTCAACTCACAGAGATGAACGTTCCCTTAGACAGAGCAGATTTGAAACAGTCTATTTGTGCAATTTGCAAGTGTAGATTTCAAGCGCTTTAAGGTCAATGGCAGAAAAGGAAATATCTTCGTTTCAAAACTAGACAGAATCATTCCCACAAACTGCGTTGTGATGTGTTCGTTCAACCCACAGAGTTTAACCTTTCTGTTCATAGAGCAGTTAGGAAACACTCTGTTTGTAAAGTCTGCAAGTGGATATTCTGACATCTTGTGGCCTTCGTTGGAAACGGGATTTCTTCATATTCTGCTAGACAGAAGAATTCTCAGTAACTTCCTTGTGTTGTGTGTATTCAACTCACACAGTTGAACGATCCTTTACACAGAGCAGACTTGTAACACTCTTTTTGTGGAATTTGCAAGTGGAGATTTCAGCCGCTTTGAAGTCAAAGGTAGAAAAGGAAATATCTTCCTATAAAAACAAGACAGAATGATTCTTAGAAACTCCTTTGTGATGTGTGCGTTCAACTCACAGAGTTTAACCTTTCTTTTCATAGAGCAGTTAGGAAACACTCTGTTTGTAAAGTCTGCAAGTGGATATTCAGACCTCTTTGAAGCCTTCGTTGGAAACGGGATTTCTTCATATTATGCTAGACAGAAGAATTCTCAGTAACTTCCTTGTGTTGTGTGTATTCAACTGACAGAGTTGAACTATCATTTAGAGAGAGCAGATTTGAAACACTGTTTTTGTGGAATTTGCAAGTGGAGATTTCAAGCGCTTTGGGGCCAAAGGCAGAAAAGGAAATATCTTCGTATAAAAAATAGACAGAATCATTCTCAGAATCTGCTGCGTGATGTGTGCGTTCAACTCTCAGAGTTTAACTTTTCTTTTCATTCAGCGGTTTGGAAACACTCTGTTTGTAAAGTCTGCACGTGGATATTTTGACCACTTAGAGGCCTTCGTTGGAAACGGGTTTTTTTCATTTAAGGCTAGACAGAAGAATTCCCAGTAACTTCCTTGTGTTGTGTACATTCAACTCACAGCAGGTGAACGTTCCCTTAGACAGAGCAGATTTGAAACACTCTTTTTGTGCAATTGGCAAGTGGAGATTTCAAGCGCTTTAAGGTCAATGGCAGAAAAGGAAATATCTTCGTTTCAAAACTAGACAGAATCATTCCCACAAACTGCGTTGTGATGTGTTCGTTCAACTCACAGAGTTTAACCTTTCTTTTCATAGAGCAGTTAGGAAACACTCTGTTTGTAAAGTCTGCAAGTGGATATTCAGACCTCTTTGAGGCCTTCGTTGGAAACGGGATTTCTTCATACTGTGCTAGACAGAAGTATTCTCAGTAACTTCCTTGTGTTGTGTGTATTCAACTCACAGAGTTGAATCATCCTTTACACAGAGCAGACTTGAAACACTCTTTTTGTGGAATTTGCAAGTGGAGATTTCAGCCGCGTTGAGGTCAATGGTAGAAAAGGAAATATCTTCGTATAAAAACTAGACAGAATGATTCTCAGAAACTCCTTTGTGATGTGTGTGTTCAACTCACAGAGTTTAACATTTCTTTTCATAGAGCAGTTAGGAAACACTCTGTTTGTAAAGTCTGCAAGTGGATATTCAGACCTCTTTGAGGCCTTCGTTGGAAACGGGTTTTTTTCATATAAGGCTAGACAGAAGAATTCCCAGTAACTTCCTTGTGTTGTGTGTGTTCAACTCCCAGAGTTGAACTTTCATTTACACAGAGCAGATTTGAAACACTCTTTTTGTGGAATTTGCAAATGGAGATTTCAAGCGCTTTGAGGCCAAAGGCAGAAAAGGAAATATCTTCGTATAAAAACTAGACAGAATCATTCTCAGAAACTGCTCTGTGATGTGTGCGTTCAACTCTCAGAGTTTAACTTTTCTTTTCATTCAGCAGTTTGGAAACACTCTGTTTGTAAATTCTGCACGTGGATATTTTGACCACTTAGAGGCCTTCGTTGGAAACGGGTTTTTTTCATGTAAGGGTAGACAGAAGAATTCCCAGTAACTTCCTGTGTTGTGTACATTCAACTCACAGAGTTGAACGTTCCCTTAGAGAGAGCAGATTTGAAATACTCTTTTTGTGCAATTGGCAAGTGGAGATTTCAAGCGCTTTAAGGTCAATGGCAGAAAAGGAAATATCTTAGTTTCAAAACTAGACAGAATGATTCTCAGAAACTCCTTTGTGATGTGTGCGTTCAACTCACAGAGTTTAACCTTTCTTTTCATAGAGCAGTTAGGAAACACTCTGTTTGTAAAGTCTGCAAGTGGATATTCAGACCTCTTTGAGGCCTTCGTTGGAAACGGGATTTCTTCATATTATGCTAGACACAAGAATTCTCAGTAACTTCCTTGTGTTGTGTGTATTCAACTCACAGAGTTGAACGATTTCTTACACAGAGCAGAGTTGAAACACTCTTTTTCTGGAATTTGCAAGTGGAGATTTCAGCCGCTTTGAGGTCAATGGTAGAATAGGAAATATCTTCCTATAGAAACTAGACAGAATGATTCTCAGAAACTCCTTTGTGATGTGTGCGTTCAACTCACAGAGTTTAACCTTTCTTTTCATAGAGCAGTTAGGAAACACTCTGTTTGTAAAGACTGCAAGTGGATATTCAGACCTCCTTGAGGCCTTCGTTGGAAACGGGATTTCTTCATATTATGCTAGACAGAAGAATTCCCAGTAACTTCCTTGTGGTGTGTGTGTTCAAGTCACAGAGTTGAACTTTCATTTACACAGAGAAGATTTGAAACACTCTTTTTGTGGAATTTGCAAGTGGAGATTTCAAGCGCTTTGAGGCCAAAGGCAGAAAAGGAAATATCTTCGTTTCAAAACTAGACAGAATCATTCTCAGAAACTGCTGCGTGATGTGTGCGTTCAACTCTCAGAGTTTAACTTTTCTTTTCATTCAGCGGTTTGGAAACACTCTGTTTGTAAAGTCTGCAAGTGGATATTTTGACCACTTAGAGGCCTTCGTTGGAAACGGGTTTTTTTCATGTAAGGCTAGACAGAAGAATTCCCAGTAACTTCCTTGTGTTGTGTACATTCAACTCACAGAGTTGAACGTTCCCTTAGACAGAGCAGATTTGAAACACTCTTTTTGTGCAATTGGCAAATGGAGATTTCAAGCGCTTTAAGGTCAATGGCAGAAAAGGAAATATCTTTGTTTCAAAACTAGACAGAATGATTCTCAGAAACTCCTTTGTGATGTGTGTGTTCAACTCACAGAGTTTAACTTTTCTTTTCATAGAGCAGTTAGGAAACACAATGTTTGTAAAGTCTGCAAGTGGATATTCAGACCTCCTTGAGGCCTTCGTTGGAAACGGGATTTCTTCATATTATGCTAGACTGAAGAATTCTCAGTAACTTCCCTTGTGTTGTGTGTATTCAACTCACAGAGTTGAACGATCCTTTACACAGAGCAGACTTGAAACACTCTTTTTGTGGAATTTGCAAGTGGAGATTTCAGCCGCTTTGAGGTCAACGGTAGAATAGGAAATATCTTCCTATAGAAACTAGACAGAAATGATTCTCAGAAACTCCTTTGAGATGTGTGTGTTCAACTCACAGAGTTTAACCTTTCTTTTCATAGAGCAGTTAGGAATCACTCTGTTTGTAAAGTCTGCAAGTGGATATTCAGACCTCTTTGAGGCCTTCGTTGGAAACGGGTTTTTTTCATATAAGGCTAGACAGAAGAATTCTCAGTAACTTCCTTGTGTTGTGTGTATTCAACTGACAGAGTTGAACTTTCATTTAGAGAGAGCAGATTTGAAAAACTGTTTTTGTGGAATTTGCAAGTGGAGATTTCAAGCGCTTTGGGGCAAAA
The DNA here is from genome assembly GCF_000001405.40 of Homo sapiens. Lineage (NCBI taxonomy): Eukaryota > Metazoa > Chordata > Mammalia > Primates > Hominidae > Homo > Homo sapiens. The sequence continues at coordinate 48,563,944 of NC_000005.10, forward strand.
GGCAGGAAAGGAAATATCTTCGTATAAAAACTAGACAGAATCACTCTCAGAAACTGCTCTGCGATGTGTGCGTTCAACTCTCAGAGTTTAACTTTTCTTTTCATTCAGCAGTTTGGAAACACTCTGTTTGTAAAGTCTGCACGTGGATATTTTTACCACTCAGAGGCCTTCGTTGGAAACGGGTTTTTTTCCTGTAAGGCTAGACAGAAGAATTCCCAGTAACTTCCTTGTGTTGTGTACATTCAACTCACAGAGTTTAACGTTCCCTTAGACAGAGCAGATTTGAAACACTCTTTTTGTGCAATTGGCAAGTGGTGATTTCATCCGCTTTGAGGTCAATGGTAGAAAAGGAAATATCTTCGTATAAAAACTAGACAGAATCATTCCCACAAACTGCGTTGTGATGTGTTCGTTCATCTCACAGAGTTTAACCTTTCTTTTCATAGAGCAGTTAGGAAACACTATGTTTGTAAATTCTGTAAGTGGATATTCTGACATCTTGTGGCCTTCGTTGGAAACGGGATTTCTTCATATTCTGCTAGACAGAAGAATTCTCAGTAACTCCCTTGTGTTGTGTGTATTCAACTCACAGAGTTGAACGATCCTTTACACAGAGCAGACTTGTAACACTCTTTTTGTGTAATTTGCAAGTGGAGATTTCAGCCGCTTTGAAGTCAAAGGTAGAAAAGGAAATATCTTCCTATAAAAACTAGACAGAATGATTCTCAGAAACTCCTTTGTGATGTGTGCGTTCAACTCACAGAGTTTAACCTTTCTGTTCATAGAGCAGTTAGGAAACACTCTGTTTGTAAAGTCTGCAAGTGGATATTCAGACCTCCTTGAGGCCTTCGGTGGAAACGGGATTTCTTCATATTCTGCTAGACAGAAGAATTCTCAGTAACTTCCTTGGGTTGTGTGTATTCAACTCACAGAGTTGAACGATCCTTTACACAGAGCAGACTTGAAACACTCTTTTTGTGGAATTTACAAGTGGAGATTTCAGCCGTTTTGAGGTCAATGGTAGAAAAGGAAATATCTTCGTATAAAGACTAGACAGAATCATTCTCAGAAACTGCTGCGTGATGTGTGCGTTCAACTCTCAGAGTTTAACTTTTCTTTTCATTCAGCGGTTTGGAAACACTCTGTTTGTAAAGTCTGCACGTGGATATTTTGACCACTTAGAGGCCTTCGTTGGAAACGGGTTTTTTTCATGTAAGGCTAGACAAAATAATTCTCAGTAACTTCCTTGTGTTGTGTGTATTCAACTCACATAGTTGAACGATCCTTTACAGAGAGCAGACTTGAAACACTCTTTTTGTGGAATTTGCAAGTGGAGATTTCAGCCGCTTTGAGGTCAATGGTAGAATAGGAAATATCTTCCCATAGAAAATAGACAGAATGATTATCATAAACTCCTTTGTGATGTGTGCCTTCAACTCACAGAGTTTAACCTTTCTTTTCATAGAGCAGTTAGGAAACACTCTGTTTGTAAAGTCTGCAAGTGGATATTCAGACCTCCTTGAGGCCTTCGTTGGAAACGGGATTTCTTCATATTCTGCTAGACAGAAGAATTCTCAGTAACTTCCTTGTGTTGTGTGTATTCAACTCACAGAGTTGAACGATCCTTTACACCGAGCAGACTTGAAACACTTTTTTTGTGGAATTTGCAAGTGGAGATTTCAGCCGGTTTGAGGTCAATAGTAGAAAAGGAAATATCTTCGTAGAAAAACTAGACAGAATGATTCTCAGAAACTCCTTTGTGATGTGTGCGTTCAACTCACAGGAGTTTAACCTTTCTGTTCATAGAGCTGGTAGGAAACACTCTGTTTGTAAACTCTGCAAGTGGATATTCAGACCTCCTTGAGGCCTTCGTTGGAAACGGGATTTCTTCATATTCTGCTAGACAGAAGAATTCTTAGTAACTTCCTTGTGTTGTGTGTATTCAACTGACAGAGTTGAACTTTCATTTAGAGAGAGCAGATTTGAAACACTGTTTTTGTGGAATTTGCAAGTGGAGATTTCAAGCGCTTTGGGGCCAAAGGCAGAAAAGGAAATATCTTCGTATAAAAACTAGGCAGAATCATTCTCAGAAACTGCTGCGTGATGTGTGCGTTCAACTCTCAGAGTTTAACTTTTCTTTTCATTCAGCTGTTTGGAAACACTCTGTTTGTAAAGTCTGCACGTGGATATTTTGACCACTTAGAGGCCTTCGTTGGAATCGGGTTTTTTTCATGTAAGGCTAGACAGAAGAATTCCCAGTAACTTCCATGTGTTGTGTGCATTCAACTCACAGAGTTGAACGTTCCCTTAGACAGAGCAGATTTGAAACACTCTATTTGTGCAATTTGCAAGTGTAGATTTCAAGCGCTTTAAGGTCAATGGCAGAAAAGGAGATATCTTCGTTTCAAAACTAGACAGAATCATTCCCACAAACTGCGTTGTGATGTGTTCGTTCAACTCACAGAGTTTAACCTTTCTGTTCATAGAGCAGTTAGGAAACACTCTGTTTGTAAAGTCTGTAAGTGCATATTCTGACATCTTGTGGCCTTCGTTGGAAACGGGATTTCTTCATATTCTGCTAGACAGAAGAATTCTCAGTAACTTCTTTGTGTTGTGTGTATTCAACTCACAGAGTTAAACGATCCTTTACACAGAGCAGACTTGAAACACTCTTTTTGTGGAATTTTCAAGTGGAGATTTCAGCCGCTTTGAGGTCAATGGTAGAATAGGAAATATCTTCCTATAGAAACTAGACAGAATGATTCTCAGAAACTCCTTTGTGATGTGTACGTTCAACTCACAGAGTTCAACCTTTCTTTTCATAGAGCAGTTAGGAAACACTCTGTTTATAATGTCTGCAATTGGATATTCAGACCTCTTTGAGGCCTTCGTTGGAAACGGGATTTCTTCATATTCTGCTAGACAGAAGAATTCCCAGTAACTTCCTTGTGTTGTGTGTGTTCAACTCACAGAGTTGAACTTTCATTTACACAGAGCAGATTTGAAACACTCTTTTTGTGGAATTTGCAAGTGGAGATTTCAAGCGCTTTGAGGCCAAAGGCAGAAAAGGATATATCTTCGTATAAAAACTAGACAGAATCATTCTCAGAAACTGCTCTGCGATGTGTGCGTTCAACTCTCAGAGTTTAACTTTTCTTTTCATTCAGCAGTTTGGAAACACTCTGTTTGTAAAGTCTGCACGTGGATAACTTGACCACTTAGAGGCCTTCGTTGGAAACGGGTTTTTTTCACGTAAGGCTAGACAGAAGAATTCTCAGAAACTTCCTTGTGTAGTGTATATTCAACTCACAGAGTTGAACGATCCTTTACACAGAGCAGACTTGAAACACTCTTTTTGTGGATTTTGCAAGTGGAGATTTCAAGCGCTTTTGGGGCCAAAGCCAGAAAAGGAAATATCTTCATATAAAAACTAGACAGAATCATTCTCAGAAACTGCTCTGCGATGTGTGCGTTCAACTCTCAGAGTTTAACTTTTCTTTTCATTCAGCAGTTTGGAAACACTCTGTTTGTAAAGTCTGCACGTGGATAATTTGACCACTTAGAGGCCTTCGTTGGAAACGGGTTTTTTTCATGTAAGGCTTGACAGAAGAATTCTCAGTAACTTCCTTGTGTTGTGTGTATTCAACTCACAGAGTTGACCGATCCTTTACACAGAGCAGACTTGTAACACTCTTTTTGTGGAATTTGCAAGTGGAGATTTCAGCCGCTTTGAAGTCAAAGGTAGAAAAGGGAATATCTTCTAATAAAAACTAGACAGAATGATTCTCAGAAACTCCTTTGTGATGTGTGTGTTCAACTCACCGAGTTTAACCTTTCTTTTCATAGAGCAGTTAGTAAACACTCTGTTTATAAAGTCTGCAAGTGGATATTCAGACCCCTTTGAGGCCTTCGTTGGAAACGGGATTTCTTCATATTATGCTAGACAGAAGAATTCTCAGTAACTTCCCTTGTGTTGTGTGTATTCAACTGACATAGTTGAACTTTCATTTAGAGAGAGCAGATTTGAAACTCTGTTTTTGTGGAATTTGCAAGTGGAGATTTCAAGCGCTTTGGGGCCAAAGGCAGAAAAGGAAATATCTTCGTATAAAAACTAGACAGAATCATTCTCAGAAACTGCTCTGTGATGTGTGCATTCAGCTCTCAGAGTTTAACTTTTCTTTTCATTCAGCAGTTTGGAAACACTCTGTTTGTAAAGTCTGCACTGGATATTTTGACCACTTAGAGGCCTTCGTTGGAAACGGGTTTTTTTCATGTAAGGCTAGACAGAAGAATTCCCATTAACTTCCTTGTGTTGTGTGCATTCAACTCACAGAGATGAAAGATCCCTTAGACAGAGCAGATTTGAAACACTCTATTTGTGCCATTTGCAAGTGTAGATTTCAAGCGCTTTAAGGTCAATGGCAGAAAAGGAAATATCTTCGTTTCAAAACTAGACAGAATCATTCCCACAAACTGCGTTGTGATGTGTTCGTTCAACTCACAGAGTTTAACCTTTCTGTTCATAGAGCAGTTAGGAAACACTCTGTTTGTAAAGTCTGTAAGTGGATATTCTGACATCTTGTGGCCTTCGTTGGAAACGGGATTTCTTCATATTCTGGTAGACAGAAGAATTCTCAGTAACTTCCTTGTTTTGTGTGTATTCAACTCACAGAGTTGAACGATCCTTTACAGAGAGCAGACTTGAAACACTCTTTTTGTGGAATTTGTAAGTGGAGATTTCAGCCGCTTTGAGGTCAACGGTAGAATAGGAAATATCTTCCTATTGAAACTAGACAGAATGATTCTCATAAACTCCTTTGTGATGTGTGCGTTCAACTCACAGAGTTTAACCTTTCTTTTCATAGAGCAGTTAGGAAACACTCTGTTTGTAAAGTCTGCAAGTGGATATTCAGACCTCCTTGAGGCCTTCTTTGGAAACGGGATTTCTTCATATTCTGATAGACAGAAGAATTCTCAGTAACTTCCTTGTGTTGTGTGTATTCAACTCACAGAGTTGAACGATCCTTTACAGAGAGCAGACTTGAAACACTCTTTTTGTGGAATTTGCAAGTGGAGATTTCAGCCGCTTTGAGGTCAATGGTAGAAAAGGAAACTATGTTCGTATAAAGACTAGACAGAATGATTCTCAGAAACTGCTTTGTGATGTGTGCGTTCAACTCACAGAGTTTAACCTTTCTTTTCATAGAGCAGTTAGGAAACACTCTGTTTGTAAAGTCTGCAAGTGGATATTCAGACCTCTTTCAGGACTTCTTTGGAAACGGGATTTCTTCATATTCTGCTAGACAGAAGAATTCTCAGTAACTTCCTTGTGTTGTGTGTATTCAACTCATAGAGTTGAACGATCCTTTAGAGGAGAGCAGTCTTGAAACACTCTTTTTGTGGAATTTGCAAGTGGAGATTTCTGCCGCTTTGAGGTCAATGGTAGAATAGGAAATATCTTCCTATAGAAACTAGACAGAATGATTCTCAGAAACTTCTTTGTGATGTGTGCGTTCAACTCACAGAGTTTAACCTTTCTTCTCATAGAGCAGTTAGGAAACACTCTGTTTGTAAAGTCTGCAATTGGATATTCAGACCTCTTTGAGGCCTTCTTTGGAAACGGGATTTCTTCATACTGTGCTAGACAGAAGAATTCTCAGTAACTTCCTTGTGTTGTGTGTATTCAACTCACAGAGTTGAACGATCCTTTACACAGAGCGGACTTGAAACACTCTTTTTGTGGAATTTGCAAGTGGAGATTTCAGCCGCTTTGAAGTCAAAGGTAGAAAAGGAAATATCTTCCTATAAAAACTAGACAGAAATGATTCTCAGAAACTCCTTTGTGATGTGTGCGTTCAACTCACAGAGTTTAACCTTTCTTTTCATAGAGCAGTTAGGAAACACTCTGTTTGTAAAGTCTGCAAGTGGATATTCAGACCTCTTTGAGGCCTTCGTTGGAAACGGGTTTTTTTCATATAAGGCTAGATAGAAGAATTCCCAGTAACTTCCTTGTGTTGTGTGTGTTCAACTCACAGAGTTGAACTTTCATTTACACAGAGCAGATTTGAAACACTCTTTTTGTGGAATTTGCAAATTGAGATTTCAAGCGCTTTGAGGCCAAAGGCAGAAAAGGAAATATCTTCGTATAAAAACTAGACAGAATCATTCTCAGAAACTGCTCTGCGATGTGTGCGTTCAACTCTCAAGAGTTTAACTTTTCTTTTCATTCAGCAGTTTGGAAACACTCTGTTTGTAAAGTCTGCACGTGGATATTTTGACCACTTAGAGGCCTTCGTTGGAAACGGGTTTTTTTCCTGTAAGGCTAGACAGTAGAATTCCCAGTAACTTCCTTGTGTTGTGTACATTCAACTCACAGAGTTGAACGTTCCCTTAGACAGAGCAGATTTGAAACACTCTTTTTGTGCAATTGGCAAATGGAGATTTCAAGCGCTTTAAGGTCAATGGCAGAAAAGGAAATATCTTCGTTTCAAAAGTAGACAGAATCATTCCCACAAACTGCGTTGTGATGTGTTCGTTCAACTCACAGAGTTTAACCTTTCTGTTCATAGAGCAGTTAGGAAACACTCTGTTTGTAAAGTCTGTAAGTGGATATTCTGACATCCTTGTGGCCTTCGTTGGAAACGGGATTTCTTCATATTCTGCTAGACAGAAGAATTCTCACTAACTTCCTTGTGTTGTGTGTATTCAACTCACAGAGTTGAACGATCCTTTACACAGAGCAGACTGGAAACACTCTTTTTGTGGAATTTGCAAGTGGAGATTTCAGCCGCTTTGAGGTCAATGGTAGAAAAGGAAATATCTTCGTATAAAGACTAGACAGAGTGATTCTCAGAAACTCCTTTGTGATGTCTGCGTTCAACTCACAGAGTTTAACCTTTCTTTTCATAGAGCAGTTAGGAAACACTCTGTTTGTAAAGTCTGCAAGTGGATATTCAGACCTCCTTGAGGCCTTCGTTGGAAACGGGATTTCTTCAAATTCTGCTATACAGAAGAATTCCCAGTAACTTCCTTGTGTTGTGTGTGTTCAACTCACAGAGTTGAACTTTGATTTACACAGAGCAGATTTGAAACACACTTTTTGTGGAATTTGCAAGTGGAGATTTCAAGCGCTTTGAGGCCAAAGGCAGAAAAGGAAATATCTTCGTATAAAAACTAGACAGAATCATTCTCAGAAACTGCTGCGTGATGTGTGCGTTCAACTCTCAGAGTTTAACTTTTCTTTTCATTCAGCGGTTTGGAAACACTCTGTTTGTAAAGTCTGCACGTGGAAATTTTGACCACTTAGAGGCCTTCGTTGGAAACGGGTTTTTTTCATGTAAGGTTAGACAGAAGAATTCCCAGTAACTTCCTTGTGTTGTGTACATTCAACTCACAGAGTTGAACGTTCCCTTAGACAGAGCAGATTTGAAACACTCTTTTTGTGCAATTGGCAAATGGAGATTTCAAGCACTTTAAGGTCAATGGCAGAAAATGAAATATCTTCGTTTCAAAACTAGACAGAATGATTCTCAGAAACTCCTTTGTGATGTGTGCGTTCAACTCACAGAGTTCAACCTTTTTTTTCATAGAGCAGTTGGGAAACACTCTGTTTGTAAAGTCTGCAAGTGGATATTCAGACTTCTTTGAGGCCTTCGTTGGAAGCGGGATTTCTTCATATTCTGCTAGACAGAGGAATTCTCAGTAACTTCCTTGTGTTGTGTGTATTCAACTCACAGAGTTGAACGATCCTTTACACAGAGCAGACTTGTAACACTCTTTTTGTGGAATTTGCAAGTGGAGATTTCAGCCACTTTGAAGTCAAAGGCAGAAAAGGAAATAACTTCCTATAAAAACTAGACAGAATGATTCTCAGAAACTCCTTTGTGATGTGTGCGTTCAACTCACCGAGTTTACCCTTTCTTTTCATAGAGCAGTTGGGAAACACTCTGTTTGTAAAGTCTGCAAGTGGATATTCAGACCTCCTTGAGGCTTTCGTTGGAAACGGGATTTCTTCATATTCTGCTAGAAAGAAGGATTCCCAGTAACTTCCTTGTGTTGTGTGTGTTCAACTCACAGAGTTGAACTTTCATTTACACAGAGCAGATTTGAAACACTCTTTTTGTGGAATTTGCAAGTGGAGATTTCAAGCGCTTTGAGGCCAAAGGCAGAAAAGGAAATATCTTCGTTTCAAAACTAGACAGAATCATTCTCAGAAACTGCTCTGCGATGTGTGCGTTCAACTCTCAGAGTTTAACTTTTCTTTTCATTCAGCAGTTTGGAAACACTCTGTTTGTAAAGTCTGCACGTGGATAACTTGACCACTTAGAGGCCTTCGTTGGAAACGGGTTTTTTTCACGTAAGGTTAGACAGAAGAATTCCCAGTAACTTCCTTGTGTTGTGTACATTCAACTCACAGAGTTGAACGTTCCCTTAGACAGAGCAGATTTGAAACACTCTTTTTGTGCAATTGGCAAATGGAGATTTCAAGCGCTTTAAGTTCAATGGCAGAAAAGGAAATATCTTCGTTTCAAAACTAGACAGAATCATTCCCACAAACTGCGTTGTGATGTGTTCGTTCAACTCACAGAGTTTAACCTTTCTTTCATAGAGCAGTTAGGAAACAGTCTGTTTGTCAATTCTGTAAGTGGATATTCTGACATCTTGTGGCCTTCGTTGGAAACGGGATTTCTTCATATTCTGCTAGACAGAAGAATTCTCAGTAACTTCCTTGTGTTATGTGTATTCAACTCACAGGGTTGAACGATCCTTTACACAGAGCAGACTTGAAACACTCTTTTTGTGGAATTTGCAAGTGGAGATTTCAGCCGCTTTGAGGTCAATGGTAGAAAAGGAAATATCTTCGTATAAAGACTAGACAGAATGATTCTCAGAAACTCCTTTGTGATGTGTGCGTTCAACTCACAGAGTTTAACCTTTCTTTTCATAGAGCAGTTAGGAAACACTCTGTTTGTAAAGTCTGCAAGTGGATATTCAGACCTCCTTGAGGCCTTGGTTGGAAATGGGATTTCTTCATATTCTGCTAGACAGAAGAATTCCCAGTAACTTCCTTGTGTTGTGTGTGTTCAACTCACAGATTTGAACTTTCATTTACACAGAGCAGATTTGAAACACTCTTTTTGTGGAAGTTGCAAGTGGAGATTTCAAGCGCTTTGAGGCCAAAGGCAGAAAAGGAAATATCTTCGTTTCAAAACTAGACAGAATCATTCTCAGAAACTGCTGCGTGATGTGTGTGTTCAACTCTCAGAGTTTAACTTTCCTTTTCATTCACCGGTTTGGAAACACTCTGTTTGTAAAGTCTGCACGTGGATATTTTGACCACTTAGAGGCCTTCGTTGGAAACGGGTTTTTTTCATGTAAGGCTAGACAGAAGAATTCCCAGTAACTTCCTTGTGTTGTGTACATTCAACTCACAGAGTTGAACGTTCCCTTAGACAGAGCAGATTTGAAACACTCTTTTTGTGCAATTGGCAAATGGAGATTTCAAGCGCTTTAAGTTCAATGGCAGAAAAGGAAATATCTTCGTTTCAAAACTAGACAGAATCATTCCCACAAACTGCGTTGTGATGTGTTCGTTCAACTCACAGAGTTTAACCTTTCTGTTCATAGAGCAGTTAGGAAACACTCTGTTTGTAAAGTCTGTAAGTGGATATTCTGACATCTTGTGGCCTTCGTTGGAAACGGGGTTTCTTCATATTCTGCTAGACAGAAGAATTCTCAGTAACTTCCTTGTGTTGTGTGTATTCAACTCACAGAGTTGAAAGATCCTTTACACAGAGCAGACTTGAAACACTCTTTTTGTGGAATTTGCAAGTGGAGATTTCAGCCGCTTTGAGGTCAATGGTAGAAAAGGAAATATCTTCGTATAAAGACTAGACTGAATGATTCTCAGAAACTCCTTTGTGATGTGTGCGTTCAACTCACAGAGTTTAACCTTTCTTTTCATAGAGCAGTTAGGAAACACTCTGTTTGTAAAGTCTGCAAGTGGATATTCAGACATCCTTGAGGCTTTCGTTGGAAAGGGGATTTCTTCATATTCTGCTAGAAAGAAGAATTCTCAGTAACTTCCTTGTGTTGTGTGTATTCAACTCACAGAGTTGAACGATCCTTTACACAGAGCAGACTTGAAACACTCTTTTTGTGGAATTTGCAAGTGGAGATTTCAGCCGCTTTGAGTTCAATGGTAGAATAGGATATATCTTCCTATAGAAACTAGACAGAATGATTCTCAGAAAATCCTTTGTGATGTGTGCGTTCAACTCACCGAGTTTAACTTTTCTTTTCATAGAGCAGTTAGGAAACACTCTGTTTGTAAAGTCTGCAAGTGGATATTCAGACCTCTTTGAGGCCTTCTTTGGAAACGGGATTTCTTCATATTATGCTAGACAGAAGAATTCTCAGTAACTTCCTTGTGTTGTGTGTATTCAACTGACAGAGTTGAACTTTCATTTAGAGAGAGCAGGTTTGAAACACTGTTTCTGTGGAATTTGCAAGTGGGGATTTCAAGCGCTTTGGGGCCAAAGGCAGAAAAGGAAATATCTTCGTATAAAAACTAGACAGAATCATTCTCAGAAACTGCTGCGTGATGTGTGCGTTCAACTCTCAGAGTTTAACTTTTCTTTTCATTCAGCGGTTTGGAAACACTCTGTTTGTAAAGTCTGTACGTGGACATTTTGACCACTTAGAGGCCTTCGTTGGAAACGGGTTTTTTTCATGTAAGGCTAGACAGAAGAATTCCCAGTAACTTCCTTGTGTTGTGTACATTCAACTCACAGAGTTGAACGTTCCCTTAGACAGAGCAGATTTGAAACACTCTTTTTGTGCAATTGGCAAGTGGAGATTTCAAGCGCGTTGAGGTCAATGGCAGAAAAGGAAATATCTTCGTTTCAAAACTAGACAGAATCATTCCCAGAAACTGCGTTGTGATGTGTTCGTTCAACTCACAGAGTTTAACCTTTCTTTTCATAGAGCAGTTAGGAAACAGTCTGTTTGAAAATTCTGTAAGTGGATATTCTGACATCTTGTGGCCTTCGTTGGAAACGGGATTTCTTCATATTCTGCTAGACAGAAGAATTCTCAGAAACTTCCTTGTGTTGTGTGTATTCAACTCACAGAGTTGAACGATCCTTTACACAGAGCAGACTTGAAACACACTTTTTTTGGAATTTTCAAGTGGAGATTTCAGCCGCTTTGAGGTCAATGGTAGAAAAGGAAATATCTTCGTATAAAGAATAGACAGAATGATTCTCAGAAACTCCTTTGTGATGTGGGCGTTCAACTCACAGAGTTTAACCTTTCTTTTCATAGAGCCGTTAGGAAACACTCTGTTTGTAAAGTCTGCACGTGGATATTTGGACTTCTTTGAGGCCTTCGTTGGAAACGGGTTTTTTTCATGTAAGGCTAGTCGGAAGAGTTCCCACTAACTTCCATGTGTTGTGTGTGTTCAATTCACAGAGTTGAACTTTCATTTACACAGAGCAGATTTGAAACACTCTTTTTGTGGAATTTGCAAATGGAGATTTCAAGCGCTTTGAGGCCAAAGGCAGAAAAGGAAATATCTTCGTATAAAAACTAGACAGAATCATTCTCAGAAACTGCTGCGTGATGTGTGCGTTCAACTCTCAGAGTTTAACTTTTCTTTTCATTCAGCTGTTTGGAAACACTCTGTTTGTAAAGTCTGCACGTGGATATTTTGACAACTTAGAGGCCTTCGTTGGAAACGGGTTTTTTTCATGTAAGGCTAGACAGAAGAATTCTCAGTAACTTCCTTGTGTTGTGTGTATTCAACTCACAGAGTTGAACGATCCTTTACACAGAGCAGACTTGTAACACACTTTTTGTGGAATTTGCAAGTGGAGATTTCAGCCGCTTCGAAGTCAAAGGTAGAAAAAGAAATATCTTCCTATAAAAACAAGACAGAATCATTCCCACAAACTGCGTTGTGATGTGTTCATTCAACTCACAGAGTTTAACCTTTCTTTTCATAGGGCAGTTAGGAAACAGTCTGTTTGTCAATTCTGTAAGTGGATATTCTGACATCTTGTGGCCTTCGTTGGAAACGGGATTTCTTCATATTCTGCTAGACAGAAGAATTCTCAGTAACTTCCGCGTGTTGTGTGTATTCAACTCACAGAGTTGAACGATCCTTTACACAGAGCAGAGTTGAAACACTCTTTTTGTGGAATTTGCAAGTGGAGATTTCAGCCGCTTTGAGGTCAATGGTAGAAAAGGAAATATCTTCGTATAAAAAGTAGACAGAATGATTCTCATAAACTCCTTTGTGATGTGTGCGTTCAACTCACAGAGTTTAACCTTTCTTTTCATAGAGCAGTTAGGAAAAACTCTGTTTGAAAAGTCTGCAAGTGGATATTCAGACCTCCTTGAGGCCTTCGTTGGAAACGGGATTTCTTCATATTCTGCTAGACAGAACAATTCTCAGTAATTTCCTTGTGTTGCGTGTATTCAACTCACAGAGTTGAACGATCCTTTACACAGAGCGGACTTGAAACACTCTTTTTGTGGAATTTGCAATTGGAGATTTCAGCCGCGTTGAGGTCAATGGTAGAAAAGGAAATATCTTCGTATAAAAACTAGACAGAATCATTCTCAGAAACCGCTCTGTGATGTGTGCGTTCAACTCTCAGAGTTTAACTTTTCTTTCCATTCAGCAGTTTGGAAACACTCTGTTTGTAAAGTCTGCACGTGGATATTTTGACTACTTAGAGGTCTCGGTTGGAAACGGGTTTTTTTCATGTAAGGCTAGACAGAAGAATTCCCAGTAACTTCCTTGCGTTGTGTACATTCAACTCACAGAGTTGAACGTTCCCTTAGACAGAGCAGATTTGAAACACTCTTTTTGTGCAATTGGCAAGTGGAGATTTCAAGCGCTTTGAGGTCAATGGCAGAAAAGGAAATATCTTCGTTTCAAAACTAGACAGAATCATTCCCACAAACTGCGTTGTGATGTGTTCGTTCAACTCACAGAGTTTAACCTTTCTTTTCATAGAGCAGTTAGGAAACAGTCTGTTTGTAAATTCTGTAAGTGGATATTCTGACATCTTGTGGCCTTCGTTGGAAACGGGATTTCTTCACATTCTGCTAGACAGAAGAATTCTCAGTAACTTCCTTGTGTTGTGTGTATTCAACTCACAGAGTTGAACTGATCCTTTACACAGAGCAGACTTGAAACACTCTTTTTGTGGAATTTGCAAGCGGAGATTTCAGCCGCTTTGAGTTCAATGGTAGAATAGGAAATATCTTCCTATAGAAACTAGACAGAATGATTCTCAGAAACTCCTTTGTGATGTGGGCGTTCAACTCACAGAGTTTAACCTTTCTTTTCATAGAGCAGTTAGGAAACACTCTGTTTGTAAAGTCTGCAAGTGGATATTCAGACATCTTTGAGGCTTTCGTTGGAAACGGGATTTCTTCATATTCTGCTATACAGAAGAATTCTCAGAAACTTCCTTGTGTTGTGTGTATTCAACTCACAGAGTTGAACGTTCGTTTACACAGAGCAGACTTGAGACACTCTTTTTGTGGAATTTGTAAGTGGACATTTCAGCCGCTTTGAGGTCAATGGTAGAAAAGGAAATATCTTCATATAAAAACTAGACAGAATCATTCTCAGAAACTGCTGCGTGATGTGTGCGTTCAACTCTCAAGAGTTTAACTTTTCTTTTCATTCAGCGGTTTGGAAACACTCTGTTTGTAAAGTCTGCACGTGGATATTTTGACCACTTAGAGGCCTTCGTTGGAAACGGGTTTTTTTCATGTAAGGCTAGACAGAAGGATTCCCAGGAACTTCCTTGTGTTGTGTACATTCAACTCACAGAGTTGAACGTTCCCTTAGACAGAGCAGATTTGAAACACTCTTTTTGTGCAATTGGCAAGTGGTGATTTCAGCCGCTTTGAGGTCAATGGTAGAAAAGGAAATATCTTCGTATAAAAACTAGACAGAATCATTCCCACAAACTGCGTTGTGATGTGTTCGTTCAACTCACAGAGTTTAACCTTTCTGTTCATAGAGCAGTTAGGAAACACTCTGTTTGTAAACTCTGCAAGTGGATATTCTGACATCTTGTGGCCTTCGTTGGAAACGGGATTTCTTCACATTCTGCTAGACAGAAGAATTCTCAGTAACTTCCTTGTGTTGTGTGTATTCAACTCACAGAGTTGAACGATCCTTTACAGAGAGCAGACTTGAAACACTCTTTTTGTGGAATTTGCAAGTGGAGATTTCAGCCGCTTTGAGGTCAAGAGTAGAAAAGGAAATATCTTCGTAGAAAAACTAGACAGAATTATTCTCCTAAACTCCTTCGTGATGTGTGCGTTCAAATCACAGAGTTGAACTTTTCTTTTCATAGAGCAGTTAGGAAACACTCTGTTTATATAGTCTGCAAGTGGATATTCAGACCCCTTTGAGGCCTTCGTTGGAAACGGGATTTCTTCATATTATGCTAGACAGAAGAATTCTCAGTAACTTCCTTGTGTTGTGTGTATTCAACTGACAGAGTTGAACTTTCTTTTAGAGAGAGCAGATTTGAAACACTGTTTTTGTGGAATTTTCAACTGGAGATTTCAAGCGCTTTGGGGCCAAAGGCACAAAAGGAAATATCTTCGTATAAAAACTAGACAGAATCATTCTCAGAAACTGCTCTGCGATGTGTGCGTTCAACTCTCAGAGTTTAACTTTTCTTTTCATTCAGCAGTTTGGAAACACTCTGTTTGTAAAGTCTGCACGTGGATATTTTGACCACTTAGAGGCCTTCGTTGGAAACGAGTATTTTTTCCTGTAAGGCTAGACAGAAGAATTCCCAGTAACTTCCTTGTGTTGTGTACATTCAACTCACAGAGTTGAACGTTCCCTTAGACAGAGCAGATTTGAAAGACTCTTTTTCTGCAATTGGCAAATGGAGATTTCAAGCGCTTTAAGGTCAATGGCAGAAAAGGAAATATCTTCGTTTCAAAACTAGACAGAATCATTCCCACAAACTGCGTTGTGATGTGTTCGTTCAACTCACAGAGTTTAACCTTTCTTTTCATAGAGCAGTTAGGAAACAGTCTGTTTGTCAATTCTGTAAGTGGATATTCTGACATCTTATGGCCTTCGTTGGAAACGGGATTTCTTCATATTCTGCTAGACAGAAGAATTCTCAGAAACTTCCTTGTGTTGTGTGTTTTCAACTCACAGAGTTGAACGATCCTTTACACAGAGCAGACTTGAAACATTCCTTTTGTGGAATTTGCAAGTGGAGATTTCAGCCGCTTTGAGGTCAATGGTAGAATAGGAAATATCTTCCTATAGAAACTAGACAGAATGATTCTCAGAAACTCCTTTGTGATGTCTGCGTTCAACTCACAGAGTTTAACCTTTCTTTTCATAGAGCAGTTAGGAAACACTCTGTTTGTAAAGTCTGCAAGTGGATATTCAGACCTCCTTGAGGCCTTCGTTGGAAACGGGATTTCTTCATATTATGCTAGATAGAAGAATTCTCAGTAACTTTCCTTGTGTTGTGTGTATTCAACTGACAGAGTTGAACGTTCATTTAGAGAGAGCAGATTTGAAACACTGTTTTTGTGGAATTTGCAATTGGAGATTTCAAGCGCTTTGGGGCCAAAGGCAGAAAAGGAAATATCTTCGTATAAAAACTAGACAGAATCATTCTCAGAAACTGCTGCGTGATGTGTGCGTTCAACTCTCAGAGTTTAACTTTTCTTTGCATTCAGCGGTTTGGAAACACTCTGTTTGTAAAGACTGCACGTGGATATTTTGACCACTTAGAGGCCTTCGTTGGAAACGGGTTTTTTTCATGTAAGGCTAGACAGAAGAATTCCCAGTAACTTCCTTGTGTTGTGTGCATTCCACTCACAGAGTTGAACGTTCCCTTAGACAGAGCAGATTTGAAACACTCTATTTGTGCAATTTGCAAGTGTAGATTTCAAGCGCTTTAAGGTCAATGGCAGAAAAGGAAATATCTTCGTTTCAAAACTAGACAGAATCATTCCCACAAACTGCGTTGTGATGTGTTCGTTCATCTCACAGAGTTTAACCTTTCTTTTCATAGAGCAGTTAGGAAACAGTCTGTTTGTAAATTCTGTAAGTGGATATTCTGACATCTTGTGGCCTTCGTTGGAAACGGGATTTCTTCATATTCTGCTAGACAGAAGAATTCTCAGTAACTTCCTTGTGTTGTGTGTATTCAACTCACAGAGTTGAACGATCCTTTACAGAGAGCAGACTTGAAACACTCTTTTTGTGGAATTTGCAAGTGGAGATTTCAGCCGCTTTGAGGTCAATGGTAGAAAAGGAAATATCTTCGTATAAAGAATAGACAGAATGATTCTCAGAAACTCCTTTGTGATGTGTGTGTTCAACTCACAGAGTTTAACCTTTCTTTTCATAGAGCAGTTAGGAAACACTCTGTTTGTAAAGTCTGCAAGTGGGTATTCAGACCTCTTTGAGGCCTTCGTTGGAAACGGGTTTTTTTCATATAAGGCTAGACAGAAGAATTCCCAGTAACTTCCTTGTGTTGTGTGTGTTCAACTCACAGTAGTTGAACTTTCATTTACACAGAGCAGATTTGAAACACTCTTTTTGTGGAATTTGCAGGTGGAGATTTCAAGCGCTTTGAGGCCAAAGGCAGAAAAGGAAATATCTTCGTATAAAAACTAGACAGAATCATTCTCAGAAACTGCTGCGTGATGTGTGCGTTCAATTCTCAGAGTTTAACTTTTCTTTTCATTCAGCGGTTTGGAAACACTCTGTTTGTAAAGTCTGCACGTGGAAATTTTGACCACTTAGAGGCCTTCGTTGGAAACGGGTTTTTTTCATGTAAGGCTAGACAGAAGAATTCCCAGTAACATCCTTGTGTTGTGTACATTCAACTCACAGAGTTGAACGTTCCCTTAGACAAAGCAGATTTGAAACACTCTTTTTGTGGAATTTGCAAATGGAGATTTCAAGCGCTTTAAGGTCAATGGCAGAAAAGGAAATATCTTCGTTTCAAAACTAGACAGAATCATTCCCACAAATGGCGTTGTGATGTGTTCGTTGAACTCACAGAGTTTAACCTTTCTGTTCATAGAGCAGTTAGGAAACACTCTGTTTGTAAAGTCTGTAAGTGGATATTCTGACATCTTGTGGCCTTCGTTGGAAACGGGATTTCCTCATATTCTGCTAGACAGAAGAATTCTCAGAATCTTCCTTGTGTTGTGTGTATTCAACTCACAGAGTTGAACGATCCTTTACACAGAGCAGACTTGAAACACTCTTTTTATGGAATTTGCAAGTGGAGATTTCAGCCGCTTTGAGGTCAATGGTAGAAAAGGAAATATCTTCCTATAAAAACTAGACAGAATGATTCTCAGAAAATCTTTTGTGATGTGTGCGTTCAACTCACAGAGTTTAACTTTTCTTCTCATAGAGCAGTTAGGAAACACTCTGTTTGTAAAGTGTGCAAGTGGATATTCAGACCTCTTTGAGGCCTTCGTTGGAAACGGGATTTCTTCATATTATGCTAGACAGAATAATTCTCAGTAACTTCCTTGTGTTGTGTGTATTCAACTCACAGAGTTGAACGATCCTTTACAGAGAGCAGGCTTGAAACACTCTTTTTGTGGAATTTGCAAGTGGAGATTTCAGCCGCTTTGAGGTCAATGGTAGAATAGGAAATACCTTCTTATAGAAACTAGACAGAATCATTCTCAGAAAATGCTCTGTGATGTGTGCGTTCAACTCTCAGAGTTTAACTTTTCTTTTCATTCAGCAGTTTGGAAACACTCTGTTTGTAAAGTCTGCACGTGGATATTTTGACCACTTAGAGGCCTTCGTTGGAAACGGGTTTTTTTCATGTAAGGGTAGACAGAAGAATTCCCAGTAACTTCCTTGTGTTGTGTGCATTCAACTCACAGAGTTGAACATTCCCTTAGACAGAGCAGATTTGAAACACTCTATTTGTGCAATTTGCAAGTGTAGATTTCAAGCGCTTTAAGGTCAATGGCAGAAAAGGAAATATCTTCATTTCAAAACTAGACAGAATCATTCCCACAAACTGCGTTGTGATGTGTTCGTTCAACTCACAGAGTTTAACCTTTCTTTTCATAGAGCAGTTAGGAAACACTCTGTTGGTAAATTCTGTAAGTGGATATTCTTACATCTTGTGGCCTTCGTTGGAAACGGGATTTCTACATATTCTGCTAGACAGAAGAATTCTCAGTAACTTCCCTTGTGTTGTGTGTATTCAACTCACAGAGTTGAACGATCCTTTACACAGAGCAGACTTGTAACACTCTTTTTGTGTAATTTGCAAGTGGAGATTTCAGCCGCTTTGAAGTCAAAGGTAGAAAAGGAAATATCTTCCTATAAAAACTAGACAGAATGATTCTCATAAACTCCTTTGTGATGTGTGCGTTCAACTCACAGAGTTTAACCTTTCTGTTCATAGAGCTGGTAGGAAACACTCTGTTTGTAAAGTCTGCAAGTGGATATTCAGACCTCCTTGCGGCCTTCGTTGGAAACGGGATTTCTTCATATTCTGCTAGACAGAAGAATTCCCAGTAACTTCCTTGTGTTGTGTGTGTTCAACTCACAGAGTTGAACTTTCATTTACACAGAGCAGATTTGAAGCACTCTTTTTGTGGAATTTGCAAATGGAGATTTCAAGCGCTTGGAGGCCAAAGGCAGAAAAGGAAATATCTTCGTATAAAAACTAGACAGAATCATTCTCAGAAACTGCTCTGTGATGTGTGCGTTCAACTCTCAGAGTTTAACTTTTCTTTTCATTCAGCAGTTTGGAAACACTCTGTTTGTAAAGTCTGCACGTGGATAATTTGACCACTTAGAGGCCTTCGTTGGAAACGGGTTTTTTTCATGTAAGGCTACACAGAAGAATTCCCAGTAACTTCCTTGTGTTGTGTACATTCAACTCACAGAGTTGAACGTTCCCTTAGACAGAGCAGATTTGAAACACTCTTTTTGTGCAATTGGCAAGTGGTGATTTCAGCCGCTTTGTGGTCAATGGTAGAAAAGGAAATATCTTCGTATAAAAACTAGACAGAATCATTCCTACAAACTGCGTTGTGATGTGTTCGTTCAACTCACAGAGTTTAACCTTTCTGTTCATAGAGCAGTTAGGAAACACTCTGTTTGTAAAGTCTGTAAGTGGATATTCTGACATCTTGTGGCCTTCGTTGGAAACGGGATTTCTTCATATTCTGCTAGACAGAAGAATTCTCAGTAACTTCCTTGTGTTGTGTGTATTCAACTCACAGAGTTGAACGATCCTTTACACAGAGCAGACTTGAAACACTCCTTTTGTGGAATTTGCAAGTGGAGATTTCAGCCGCTTTGAGGTCAATGGTAGAAAAGGAAACTATCTTCGTATAAAGACTAGACAGAATGATTCTCATAAACTCCTTTGTGATGTGTGCGTTCAACTCACAGAGTTTAACCTTTCTTTTCATAGAGCAGTTAGGAAACACTCTGTTTGTAAAGTCTGCAAGTGGATATTCAGACCTCTTTGAGGCCTTCGTTGGAAACTGGATTTCTTCATATTATGCTAGACAGAAGAATTCCCAGTAACTTCCTTGTGATGTGTGTGTTCAACTCACAGAGTTGAACTTTCATTTACACAGAGCAGATTTGAAACACTCTTTTTGTGGAATTTGCAAGTGGAGATTTCAAGCGCTTTGAGGCCAAAGGCAGAAAAGGAAATATCTTCGTATAAAAACTAGACAGAATCATTCTCAGAAACTGCTGCGTGATGTGTGCGTTCAACTCTCAGAGTTTAGCTTTTCTTTTCATTCAGCGGTTTGGAAACACTCTGTTTGTAAAGTCTGCACGTGGATATTTTGACCACTTAGAGGCCTTCGTTGGAAACGGGTTTTTTGCATGTAAGGCTAGACAGAAGAATTCCCAGTAACTTCCTTGTGTTGTGTGCATTCAACTCACAGAGTTGAACGTTCCCTTAGACAGAGCAGATTTGAAACACTCTATTTGTCCAATTTGCAAGTGTAGATTTCAAGCGCTTTAAGGTCAACGGCAGAAAAGGAAATATCTTCGTTTCAAAACTAGACAGAATCATTCCCACAAACTGCGTTGTGAGGTGTTCGTTCAACTCACAGAGTTTAACCTTTCTTTTCATAGAGCAGTTAAGAAACAGTCTGTTTGTAAATTCTGTAAGTGGATATTCTGACATCTTGTGGCCCTCGTTGGAAACGGGATTTCTTGATATTCTGCTAGACAGAAGAATTCTCAGTAACTTCCTTGTGTTGTGTGTATTCAACTCACAGAGTTGAACGATCCTTTACACAGAGCAGACTTGAAACACTGTTTTTGTGGAATTTGCAAGTGGAGATTTCAGCCGCTTTGAGTTCAATGGTAGAATAGGAAATATCTTCCTATAGAAACTAGACAGAATGATTCTCAGAAACTCCTTTGTGATGTGTGTGTTCAACTCACAGAGTTTAACCTTTCTTTTCATAGAGCAGTTAGTAAACACTCTGTTTATAAAGTCTGCAAGTGGATATTCAGACCCCTTTGAGGCCTTCGTTGGAAACGGGATTTCTTCATTTTATGCTAGACAGAAGAATTCTCAGTAACTTCCTTGTGTTGTGTGTATTCAACTGACAGAGTTGAACTTTCATTTAGAGAGAGCAGATTTGAAACACTGTTTTTGTGGAATTTGCAAGTGGAGATTTCAAGCGCTTTGGGGCCAAAGGCAGAAAAGGAAATATCTTCGTGTAAAAACTAGACAGAATCATTCTCAGAAACTGCTCTGCGATGTGTGCGTTCAACTCTCAGAGTTTAACTTTGCTTTTCATTCAGCAGTTTGGAAACACTCTGTTTGTAAAGTCTGCACGTGGATAATTTGACCACTTAGAGGCCTTCGTTGGAAACGGGTTTTTTTCATGTAAGGCTAGACAGAAGAATTCTCAGAAACTTCATTGTGTTGTGTGTATTGAACTCACAGAGTTGAACAATCCTTTACACAGAGCGGACTTGAAACACTCTTTTTGTGGAATTTGCAAGTGGAGATTTCAGCCGCTTTGAGGTCAATGGTAGAAAAGGAAATATCTTCGTATAGAAACTAGACAGAATGATTCTCAGAAACTCCTTTGTGATGTGTGCGTTCAACTCACAGAGTTTAACCTTTCTTTTCATAGAGCAGTTAGGAAACACTCTGTTTGTAAAGTCTGCAAGTGGAAATTCAGACCTCTTTGAGACCTTCGTTGGAAACGGGATTTCTTCATATTCTGGTAGACAGAAGAATTCTCAGTAACTTCCCCTGTGTTGTGTGTATTCAACTCACAGAGTTGAACGATCCTTTACAGAGAGCAGACTTGAAACACTCTTTTTGTGGAATTTGCAAGTGGAGATTTCAGCCGCTTTGAGGTCAATGGTAGAATAGGAAATATCTTCCCATAGAAACTAGACAGAATGATTCTCAGAAACTCCTTTGTGATGTGTGTGTTCAACTCACAGAGTTTAACCTTTCTTTTCATAGAGCAGTTAGTAAACACTCTGTTTATAAAGTCTGCAAGTGGATATTCAGACCCCTTGGAGGCCTTCGTTGGAAACGGGATTTCTTCATATTTTGCTAGACAGAAGAATTCTCAGTAACTTCCTTGTGTTGTGTGTATTCAACTGACAGAGTTGAACTTTCATTTAGAGAGAGCAGATTTGTAACACTGTTTTTGTGGAATTTGCAAGTGGAGATTTCAAGCGCTTTGGGGCCAAAGGCAGAAAAGGAAATATCTTCGTATAAAAACTAGACAGAATCATTCTCAGAAACTGCTCTGTGATGTGTGCGTTCAACTCTCAGAGTTTAACATTTCTTTTCATTCAGCAGTTTGGAAACACTCTGTTTGTAAAGTCTGCACGTGGATATTTTGACCACTTAGAGGCCTTCGTTGGAAACGGGTTTTTTTCATGTAAGGCTAGACAGAAGAATTCCCAGTGACTTCCTTGTGTTGTGTGCATTCAACTCACAGAGTTGAACGTTCCCTTAGACAGAGCAGATTTGAAACACTCTATTTGTGCAATTTGCAAGTGTAGTTTTCAAGCTCTTTAAGGTCAACGGCAGAAAAGGAAATATCTTCGTTTCAAAACTAGACAGAATCATTCCCACAAACTGCGTTGTGATGTGTTCGTTCAAGTCACAGAGTTTAACCTTTCTTTTCATAGAGCAGTTAGGAAACAGTCTGTTTGTCAATTCTGTAAGTGGATATTCTGACATCTTGTGGCCTTCGTTGGAAACGGGATTTCTTCATATTCTCCTAGACAGAAGAATTCCCAGTAACTTCCTTGTGTTGTGTGCATTCAACTCACAGAGTTGAACGATCCTTCACACAGAGCAGATTAGAAACACTCTTTTTATTGGAATTTGCAAGTGGAGATTTCAGCCGCTTTGAGGTCAACGGTAGAAAAGGAAATATCTTCGTATAAAAACTAGACAGAATGATTCTCAGAAACTCCTTTGTGATGTGTGTGTTCAACTCACAGAGTTTAACCTTTCTTTTCATAGAGCAGTTAGTAAACACTCTGTTTATAAAGTCTGCAAGTGGATATTCAGACCCCTTTGAGGCCTTCGTTGGAAACGGGGTTTCTTCATATTCTGCTAGACAGAAGAATTCCCACTAACTTCCTTGTGTTGTGTGTGTTCAACTCACAGAGTTGAACTTTCATTTACACAGAGCAGATTTGAAACACTCTTTTTGTGGAATTTGCAAGTGGAGATTTCAAGCGCTTTGAGGCCAAAGGCAGAAAAGGAAATATCTTCGTTTCAAAACTAGACAGAATCATTCTCAGAAACTGCTCTGCGATGTGTGAGTTCAACTCTCAGAGTTTAACTTTTCTTTTCATTCAGCAGTTTGGAAACACTCTGTTTGTAAAGTCTGCACGTGGATATTTTGACCACTTAGAGGCCTTCGTTGGAAACGGGTTTTTTTCCTGTAAGGCTAGACAGAAGAATTCCCAGTAACTTCCTTGTGTTGTGTGTGTTCAACTCACAGAGTTGAACTTTCATTTACACAGAGCAGATTTGAAACACTCTTTTTGTGGAATTTGCAAGTGGAGATGTCAAGCGCTTTAAGGTCAATGGCAGAAAAGGAAATATCTTAGTTTCAAAACTAGACAGAATCATTCCCACAAACTGCGTTGTGATGTGTTCGTTCAACTCACAGAGTTTAACCTTTCTTTTCATAGAGCAGTTAGGAAACAGTCTGTTTTTAAATTCTGTAAGTGGATATTCTGACATCTTGTGGCCTTCGTTGGAAACGGGATTTGTTCATATTCTGCTAGACAGAAGAATTCTCAGTAACTTCCTTGTGTTGTGTGTATTCAACTCACAGAGTTGAACGATCCTTTACACAGAGCAGTCTTGAAACACTCTTTTTGTGGAATTTGCAAGTGGAGATTTCAGCCGCTTTGAGGTCAATGGTAGAATAGGAAATATCTTCCTATAGAAACTAGACAGAATGATTCTCAGAAACTTCTTTGTGATGTGTGCGTTCAACTCACAGAGTTTAACCTTTCTTTTCATAGAGCAGTTAGGAAACACTCTGTTTGTAAACTCTGCAAGTGGATATTCAGACCTCTTTGAGGCCTTCGTTGGAAACGGGATTTCTTCATACTATGCTAGACAAGAAGAATCCTCAGTAACCTCCTTGTGTTGTGTGTATTCAACTGACAGAGTTGAACTTTCATTTAGACAGAGCAGATTTGAAACACTCTTTTTGTGGAATTTGCAAGTGGACATTTCAAGCGCGTTGAGGCCAAAGGCAGAAAAGGAAATATCTTCGTATAAAAACTAGACAGAATCATTCTCAGAAACTGCTCTGTGATGTGTGCGTTCAACTCTCAGAGTTTAACTTTTCTTTTCATTCAGCAGTTTGGAAACACTCTGTTTGTAAAGTCTGCACGTGGATAATTTGACCACTTAGAGGCCTTCATTGGAAACGGGTTTTTTTCATGTAAGGCTAGACAGAAGAATTCCCAGTAACTTCCTTGTGTTGTGTGCATTCAACTCACAGAGTTGAACGTTCCCCTAGACAGAGCAGATTTGAAACACTCTATTTGTGCAATTTGCAAGTGTAGTTTTCAAGCTCTTTTAGGTCAACGGCAGAAAAGGAAATATCTTGGTTTCAAAACTAGACAGAATGATTCTCATAAACTCCTTTGTGATGTGTGCGTTCAACTCACAGAGTTTAACCTTTCTTTTCATAGAGCAGTTAGGAAACACTCTGTTTGTAAAGTCTGCAAGTGGATATTCAGACCTCTTTGAGGCCTTCGTTGGAAACGGGATTTCTTCATATTCTGCTAGACAAAAGAATTCTCAGTAACTTCCTTGTGTTGTGTGCATTCAACTCACAGAGTTGAACGATCCTTTACACAGGGCAGACTTGAAACACTCTTTTTGTGGAATTTGCAAGGGGAGATTTCAGCCTCATTGAGGTTAATGGTAGAAAATGAAATATCTTCGTATAGAAACTAGACAGAATGATTCTCAGAAACTCCTTTGTGATGTGTGCGTTCAACTCACAGAGTTCAACCTTTCTTTTCATAGAGCAGTTGGGAAACACTCTGTTTGTATAGTCTGCAAGTGGATATTCAGACTTCTTTGAGGCCTTCGTTGGAAGCGGGATTTCTTCATATTCTGCTAGACAGAAGAATTCTCAGTAACTTCCTTGTGCTGTGTGTATTCAACTGACAGAGTTGAACTTTCATTTAGAGAGAGCAGATTTGAAACACTGTTTTTGTGGAATTTGCAAGTGGAGATTTCAAGCGCTTTGGGGCCAAAGGCAGAAAAGGAAATATCTTCGTATAAAAACTAGACAGAATCATTCTCAGAAACTGCTGCGTGATGTGTGCGTTCAACTCTCAGAGTTTAACTTTTCTTTTCATTCAGCGGTTTGGAAACACTCTGTTTGTAAAGACTGCACGTGGATATTTTGACCCCTTAGAGGCCTTCGTTGGAAACGGGTTTTTTTCATGTAAGGCTAGACAGAAGAATTCCCAGTAACTTCCTTGTGTTGTGTACATTCAACTCACAGAGTTGAACGTTCCCTTAGACAGAGCAGATTTGAAACACTCTTTTTGTGCAATTGGCAAGTGGTGATTTCAGCCGCTTTGAGGTCAATGGTAGAAAAGGAAATATCTTCGTATAAAAACTAGACAGAATGATTCTCAGAAACTTCATTGTGACGTGTGCGTTCAACTCACAGAGTTTAACATTTCTTTTCATAGAGCAGTTAGGAAACACTCTGTTTGTAAAGTCTGCAAGTGGATATTCAGACCTCTTTGAGGCCTTCGTTGGAAACGGGATTTCTTCATACTGTGCTAGACAGAAGAATTCTCAGTAACTTCCTTGTGTTGTGTGTATTCAACTCACAGAGTTCAACGATCCTTTACACAGAGCAGACTTGAAACACTCTTTTTGTGGAATTTGCAAGTGGAGATTTCAGCCGCTTTGAGGTCAATGGTAGAATAGGGAATATCTTCCTATAGAAACTAGACAGAATGATTGTCAGAAACTCCTTTGTGATGTGTGCGTTCAACTCACAGACTTTAACCTTTCTTTTCATAGAGCAGTTAGGAAACACTCTGTTTGTAAAGTCTGCAAGTGGATATTCAGACCTCCTTGAGGCCTTCGTTGGAAACGGGATTTCTTCATATTATGCTAGACAGAAGAATTCTCAGTAACTTCCTTGTATTGTGTGTATTCAACTCACAGAGTTGAACGATCCTTTACACAGAGCAGACTTGAAACACTCTTCTTGTGGAATTTGCAAGTGGAGATTTCAGCCGCTTTGAGGTCAATGGTAGAATAGGAAATATCTTCCTATAGAAACTAGACAGAATCATTCTCAGAAACTGCTCTGCGATGTGTGCGTTCAACTCTCAGAGTTTAACTTTTCTTTTCATTCAGCAGTTTGGAAACACTCTGTTTGTAAAGTCTGCACGTGGATATTTTGACCACTTAGAGGCCTTCGTTGGAAACGGGTTTTTTTCCTGTAAGGCTAGACAGTAGAATTCCCAGTAACTTCCTTGTGTTGAGTACATTCAACTCACAGAGTTGAACGTTCCCTTAGACAGAGCAGATGTGAAACACTCTTTTTGTGCAATTGGCAAGTGGAGATTTCAAGCGCTTTAAGGTCAATGGCAGAAAAGGAAATATCTTCGTTTCAAAACTAGACAGAATCATTCCCACAAACTGCGTTGTGATGTGTTCGTTCAACTCACAGAGTTTAACCTTTCTTTTCATAGAGCAGTTAGGAAACAGTCTGTTTGTAAATTCTGTAAGTGGATATTATGACATCTTGTGGCCTTCGTTGGAAACGGGATTTCTTCATATTCTGCTAGACAGAAGAATTCTCAGTAACTTCCTTGTGTTGTGTGTTTTCAACTCACAGAGTTGAACGATCCTTTACACAGAGCAGACTTGAAACACTCCTTTTGTGGAATTTGCAAGTGGAGATTTCAGCCGCTTTGAGGTCAATGGTAGAATAGGAAATATCTTCCTATAGAAAGTAGACAGAATGATTCTCAGAAACTCCTTTGTGATGTGTGTGTTCAACTCACAGAGTTTAACATTTCTTTTCATAGAGCAGTTAGGAAACACTCTGTTTGTAAAGTCTGCAAGTGGATATTCAGACCTCTTTGAGGCCTTCGTTGGAAACGGGTTTTTTTCATATAAGGCTAGAGAGAATAATTCTCAGTAACTTCCTTGTGTTGTGTGTATTCAACACACAGAGTTGAACGATCCTTTACACAGAGCAGACTTGAAACACTCTATTTGTAGAATTTGCAAGTGGAGATTTCAGCCGCTTTGAGGTCAATAGTAGAAAAGGAAATATCTTCGTAGAAAAACTAGACAGAATGATTCTCATAAACTCCTTTCTGATGTGTGCATTCAACTCACAGAGTTTCACCTTTCTTTTCATAGAGCAGTTAGGAAACACTCTGTTTGTAAAGTCTGCAAGTGGATATTCAGACCTCCTTGAGGCCTTCGTTGGAAACGGGATTTCTTCTTATTCTGCTAGACAGAAGAATTCCCAGTAACTTCCTTGTGTTGTGTGTGTTCAACTCACAGAGTTGAACTTTCATTTACACAGAGCAGATTTGAAACACTCTTTTTGTGGAATTCGCAAGTGGAGATTTCAAGCGCTTTGAGGCCAAAGGCAGAAAAGGAAATATCTTCGTATAAAAACTAGACAGAATCATTCTCAGAAACTGCTCTGCGATGTGTGCGTTCAACTCTCAGAGTTTAACTTATCTTTTCATTCAGCAGTTTGGAAACACTCTGTTTGTAAAGTCTGCACGTGGATAATTTGACCACTTAGAGGTCTTCGTTGGAAACGGGTTTTTTTCATGTAAGGCTAGACAGAAGAATTCCCAGTAACTTCCTTGTGTTGTGTGTGTTCAACTCACAGAGTTGAACTTTCATTTACACAGAGCAGATTTGAAACACTCTTTTTGTGGAATTTGCAAATGGAGATTTCAAGCGCTTTGAGGCCAAAGGCAGAAAAGGAAATATCTTCGTATAAAAAGCTAGACAGATAATCATTCTCAGAAACTGCTGTGCGATGTGTGTGTTCAACTCTCAGAGTTTAACTTTGCTTTTCATTCAGCAGTTTGGAAACACTCTGTTTGTAAAGTCTGCACGTGGATAATTTGACCACTTAGAGGCCTTCGTTGGAAACGGGTTTTTTTCATGTAAGGCTGGACAGAAGAATTCTCAGTAACTTCCTTGTGTGGTGTGTATTCAACTCACAGAGTTGAACGATCCTTTACACAGAGCAGACTTGTAAAACTCTTTTTGTGGAATTTGCAAGTGGAGATTTCAGCCGCTTTGAAGTCAAAGGTAGAAAAGGAAATATCTTCCTATAAAAACTACACAGAATGATTCTCAGAAACTCCTTTGTGATGTGTGCGTTCAACTCACAGAGTTTAACCTTTCTTTTCATAGAGCAGTTAGGAAACACTCTGCTTGTAAAGTCTGCAAGTGGATATTCAGCCCTCTTTGAGGCCTTCGCTGGAAACGGGTTTTTTTCATATAAGGCTAGACAGAAGAATTCTCAGTAACTTCCTTGTGTTGTGTGTATTCAACTCACAGAGTTGAACGATCCTTTACACAGAGCAGACTTGAAACACTCTTTTTGTGGAATTTGCAAGTGGAGATTTCAGCCGCTTTGAGTTCAATGGTAGAATAGGAAATATCTTCCCTATAGAAACTAGACAGAATGATTCTCAGAAACTCCTTTGTGATGTGTGCGTTCAACTCACAGAGTTTAACCTTTCTTTTCATAGAGCAGTTAGGAAACACTCTGTTTGTAACGTCTGCAAGTGGATATTCAGACCTCCTTGAGGCCTTCGTTGGAAACGGGATTTCTTCATATTCTGCTACAGAGAAGAATTCCCGGTAACTTCCTTGTGTTGTGTGTGTTCAACTCACAGAGTTGAACTTTCATTTACACAGAGCAGATTTGAAACACTCTTTTTGTGGAATTTGCAAATGGAGATTTCAAGCGCTTTGAGGCCAAAGGCAGAAAAGGAAATATCTTCGTATAAAAACTAGACAGAATCATTCTCAGAAACTGCTCTGCGATGTGTGCGTTCAACTCTCAGAGTTTAACTTTTCTTTTCATTCAGCAGTTTGGAAACACTCTGTTTGTAAAGTCTGCATGTGGATAACTTGACCACTTAGAGGCCTTCGTTGGAAACGGGTTTTTTTCCTGTAAGGCTAGACAGAAGAGTTCCCAGTAACTTCCTTGTGTTGTGTGCATTCAACTCACAGAGTTGAACGTTCCCTTAGACAGAGCAGATTTGAAACACTCTATTTGTGCAATTTGCAAGTGTAGATTTCAAGCGCTTTAAGGTCAATGGCAGAAAAGGAAATATCTTCGTTTCAAAACTAGACAGAATCATTCCCACAAACTGCGTTGTAATGTGTGCGTTCAACTCACAGAGTTTAACCTTTCTTTTCATAGAGCAGTTAGGAAACACTCTGTTTGTAAAGTCTGTAAGTGGATATTCTGACATCTTGTGGCCTTCGTTGGAAACGGGATTTCTTCATATTCTGCTAGACAGAAGAATTCTCAGTAACTTCCGCGTGTTGTGTGTATTCAACTCACACAGTTGAACGATCCTTTACACAGAGCAGACTTGAAACACTCTTTTTGTGGAATTTGCAAGTGGAGATTTCAGCCGCTTTGAGGTCAATGGTAGAAAAGGAAATATCTTCCTATAAAAACTAGACAGAATGATTCTCAGAAACTCCTTTGTGATGTGTGCGTTCAACTCACAGAGTTTAACCTTTCTTTTCATAGAGCAGTTAGAAACACTCTGTTTGTAAAGTCTGCAAGTGGATATTCAGACCTCCTTGAGGCCTTCGTTGGAAGCGGGATTTCTTCATGTTCAGGTAGACAGAAGAATTCCCAGTAACTTTCCTTGTGTTGTGTGTGTTCAACTCACAGAGTTGAACTTTCATTTACACAGAGCAGATTTGAAACACTCTTTTTGTGGAATTTGCAAGAGGAGATTTCAAGCGCTTTGAGGCCAAAGACAGAAAAGGAAATATCTTCGTATAAAAACTAGACAGAATCATTCTCAGAAACTGCTGCGTGATGTGTGCGTTCAACTCTCAGAGTTTAACTTTTCTTTTCATTCATCGGTTTGGAAACACTCTGTTTGTAAAGTCTGCACGTGGATATTTTGACCACTTAGAGGCCTTCATTGGAAACGGGTTTTTTTTCATGTAAGGCTAGACAGAAGAATTCCCAGTAACTTCCTTGTGTGGGGTGCATTCAACTCACAGAGTTGAACGTTCTCTTAGACAGAGCAGATTTGAAACACTCTATTTGTGCAATTTGCAAGTGTAGATTTCAAGCGCTTTAAGGTCAATGGCAGAAAAGGAAATATCTTCGTTTCAAAACTAGACAGAATCATTCCCACAAACTGCGTTGTGATGTGTTCGTTCAACTCACAGAGTTTAACCTTTCTTTTCATAGAGCAGTTAGGAAACAGTCTGTTTGTCAATTCTGTAAGTGGATATTCTGACATCTTGTGGTCTTCGTTGGAAACGGGATTTCTTCATATTCTGCTAGACAGAAGAATTCTCAGTAACTTCCTTGTGTTGTGTGTATTCAACTCACAGAGTTGAAGGATCCTTTACAGAGAGCAGACTTGAAACACTCTTTTTGTGGAATTTGCAAGTGGAGATTTCAGCCGCTTTGAGGTCAATGGTAGAAAAGGAAATATCTTCGTATAAAGGCTAGACAGAATGATTCTCAGAAACTCCTTTGTGATGTGTGCGTTCAACACACAGAGTTTAACTTTTCTTTTCATAGAGAAGTTAGTAAACACTCTGTTTATACAGTCTGCATGTGGATATTCAGACCCCTTTGAGGCCTTCGTTGGAAACGGGATTTCTTCATATTATGCTAGACAGAAGAATTCCCAGTAACTTTCCTTGTGTTGTGTG
Source organism: Homo sapiens (assembly GCF_000001405.40). Classification (NCBI taxonomy): domain Eukaryota; kingdom Metazoa; phylum Chordata; class Mammalia; order Primates; family Hominidae; genus Homo; species Homo sapiens. Next base: position 48,594,444 of record NC_000005.10, read on the forward strand.
TGTTCAACTCACAGAGTTGAACTTTGATTTACACAGAGCAGATTTGAAACACTCTTTTTGTGGAATTTGCAAGTGGAGATTTCAAGCGCTTTGTGGCCAAAGGCAGAAAAGGAAATATCTTCGTATAAAAACTAGACAGAATCATTCTCAGAAACTGCTCTGTGATGTGTGCGTTCAACTCTCAGAGTTTAACTTTTCTTTTCATTCAGCAGTTTGGAAACACTCTGTTTGTAAAGTCTGCACGTGGATAATTTGACCACTTAGAGGCCTTCGTTGGAAACGGGTTTTTTTCATGTAAGGCTAGAGAGAAGAATTCCCAGTAACTTCCTTGTGTTGTGTGTATTCAACTCACAGAGTTGAACGTTCCCTTAGACAGAGCAGATTTGAAACACTCTATTTGTGCAATTTGCAAGTGTAGATTTCAAGCGCTTTATGTTCAATGGCAGAAAAGGAAATATCTTCGTTTCAAAACTAGACAGAATCATTCCCACAAACTGCGTTGTGATGTGTTCGTTCAACTCACAGAGTTTAACCTTTCTGTTCATAGAGCAGTTAGGAAACACTGTGTTTGTAAAGTCTGTAAGTGGATATTCTGACATCTTGTGGCCTTCGTTGGAAAAGGGATTTCTTCATATTCTGCTAGACAGAAGAATTCTCAGTAACTTCCTTGTGTTGTGTTTATTCAACTCACAGAGTTGAACGATCCTTTACACAGAGCAGACTTGAAACACTCTTTTTGTGGAATTTGCAAGTGGAGATTTCTGCCGCTTTGAGGTCAATGGTAGAATAGGAAATATCTTCCTATAGAAACTAGACAGAGTGATTCTCATAAACTCCTTTGTGATGTGTGCATTCAACTCACAGAGTTTAACCTTTCTTTTCATAGAGCAGTTAGGAAACACTCTGTTTGTAAAGTCTGCAAGTGGATATTCAGACCTCCTTGAGGCCTTCTTTGGAAACGGGATTTCTTCATATTCTGATAGACAGAAGAATTCCCAGTAACTTCCTTGTGTTGTGTGTGTTCAACTCACAGAGTTGAACTTTGATTTACACAGAGCAGATTCGAAACACTCTTTTTGTGGAATTTGCAAGTGGAGATTTCAAGCGCTTTGAGGCCAAAGGCAGAAAAGGAAATATCTTCGTATAAAAACTAGACAGAATCATTCTCAGAAAATGCTCTGTGATGTGTACGTTCAACTCTCAGAGTTTAACTTTTCTTTTCATTCAGCAGTTTGGAAACACTCTGTTTGTAAAGTCTGCACGTGGATATTTTGACCACTTAGAGGCCTTCGTTGGAAACGGGTTTTTTTCATGTAAGGGTAGACAGAAGAATTCCCAGTAACTTCCTTGTGTTGTGTGCATTCAACTCACAGAGTTGAACGTTCCCTTAGACAGAGCAGATTTGAAACACTCTATTTGTGCAATTTGCAAGTGTAGATTTCAAGCGCTTTAAGGTCAACGGCAGAAAAGGGAATATCTTCGTTTCAAAACTAGACAGAATCATTCCCACAAACTGCGTTGTGATGTGTTCGTTCAACTCACAGAGTTTAACCTTTCTGTTCATACAACAGTTAGGAAACACTCTGTTTGTAAAGTCTGCAAGTGGATATTCAGACCTCCTTGAGGCCTTCGTTGGAAACGGGATTTCTTCATATTCTGCTAGACCGAAGAATTCTCAGTAACTTCCCTGTGTTGTGTGTATTCAACTCACAGAGTTGAACGATCCTTTACACAGAGCAGACTTGAAACACTCTTTTTGTGGAATTTGCAAGTGGAGATTTCAGCCGCTTTGAGGTCAATGGTAGAATAGGAAATATCTTCCTATAGAAACTAGACAGAATGATTCTCAGAAACTCCTTTGTGATGTGTGCGTTCAACTCACAGAGTTTAACCTTTCTTTTCATAGAGCAGTTAGGAAACACTCTGTTTGTAAATTCTGCAAGTGGATATTCAGACATCTTTGAGGCTTTCGTTGGAAACGGGATTTCTTCATATTCTGCTAGACAGAAGAATTCTCAGTAACTTCCTTGTGTTGTGTGTATTCAACTGACAGAGTTGAACGATCCTTTACACAGAGCAGACTTGAAACACTCTTTTTGTGGAATTTGCAAGTGGAGATTTCTGCCGCTTTGAGGTCAATGGTAGAATAGGAAATATCTTCCTATAAAAACTAGACAGAATCATTCTCAGAAACTGCTCTGTGATGTGTGCGTTCAACTCTCAGAGTTTAACTTTTCTTTTCTTTCAGCAGTTTGGAAACACTCTGTTTGTAAAGTCTGCACGTGGATATTTTGACCACTTAGAGGCCTGCGTTGGAAACGGGTTTTTTTCATGTAAGGCTAGACAGAAGAATTCCCAGTAACTTCCTTGTGTTGTGTACATTCAACTCACAGAGTTGAACGTTCCCTTAGAGAGAGCAGATTTGAAATACTCTTTTTGTGCAATTGGCAAGTGGAGATTTCAAGCGCTTTAAAGTCAATGGCAGAAAAGGAAATATCTTCGTTTCAAAACTAGACAGAATGATTCTCAGAAACTTCATTGTGATGTGTGCGTTCAACTCACAGAGTTTAACCTTTCTTTTCATAGAGCAGTTAGGAAACACTGTTTTTGTAAACTCTGCAAGTGGTTATTCAGACCTCTTTGAGGCCTTCGTTGGAAACGGGATTTCTTCATACTGTGCTAGACAGAAGAATTCTCAGTAACTTCCTTGCGTTGTGTGTATTCAACTCACAGAGTTGAACGATCTTTTACAGAGAGCAGACTTGAAACACTCTTTTTGTGGAATTTGCAAGTGGAGATTTCAGCCGCTTTGAGGTCAATGGTAGAATAGGAAATATCTTCCTATAGAAACTAGACAGAATGATTCTCAGAAACTCCTTTGTGATGTGTGCGTTCAACTCACAGAGTTTAACCTTTCTGTTCATAGAGCAGTTAGGAAACACTCTGTTTGTAAAGTCTGCAAGTGGATATTCAGACCTCCTTGAGGCCTTCGTTGGAAACAGGATTTCTTCATATTATGCTAGACAGAAGAATTCCCAGTAACTTCCTTGTGTTGTGTGTGTTCAACTCACAGAGTTGAACTTTGATTTACAAAGAGCAGATTTGAAACACTCTTTTTGTGGAATTTGCAAGTGGAGATTTCAAGCGCTTTGAGGCCAAAGGCAGAAAAGGAAATATCTTCGTATAAAAACTAGACAGAATCATTCTCAGAAACTGCTGCGTGATGTGTGCGTTCAACTCTCAGAGTTTAACTTTTCTTTTCATTCAGCGGTTTGGAAACACTCTGTTTGTAAAGTCTGCACGTGGAAATTTTGACCACTTAGAGGCCTTCGTTGGAAACGGGATTTTTTCATGTAAGGCTAGACAGAAGAATTCCCAGTAACTTCCTTGTGTTGTGTACATTCAACTCACAGAGTTGAACGTTCCCTTAGACAGAGCAGATTTGAAACACTCTTTTTGTGCAATTGGCAAGTGGAGATTTCAAGCGCTTTGTGGTCAATGGCAGAAAAGGAAATATCTTCGTTTCAAAACTACACAGAATCATTCCCACAAACTGCGTTGTGATGTGTTCGTTCAACTCACAGAGTTTAACCTTTCTGTTCATAGAGCAGTTAGGAAACACTCTGTTTGTAAAGTCTGTAAGTGGGTATTCTGACATCTTGTGGCCTTCGTTGGAAACGGGATTTCTTCATATTCTGCTAGACAGAATAATTCTCAGTAACTTACCTTGTGTTGTGTGTATTCAACTCACAGAGTTGAACGATCCTTTACACAGAGCAGACTTGAAACACTCTTTTTGTGGAATTTGCAAGTGGAGATTTCAGCCGCTTTGAGGTCAATGGTAGAATAGGAAATATCTTCCTATAGAAACTAGACAGAATGATTCTCAGAAAATCCTTTGTGATGTGTGCGTTCAACTCACAGAGTTTAACATTTCTTTTCATAGAGCAGTTAGGAAACACTCTGTTTGTAAAGTCTGCAAGTGGATATTCAGACCTCTTTGAGGCCTTCGTTGGAAACGGGATTTCTTCATATTCTGCTAGACAGAAGAATTCTCAGTAACTTCCTTGTGTTGTGTGTATTCAACTGACAGAGTTGAACTTTCATTTAGAGAGAGCAGATTTGAAACACTGTTTTTGTGGAATTTGCAAGTGGTGATTTCAAGCGCTTTGGGGCCAAAGGCAGAAAAGGAAATATCTTCGTATAAAAACTAGACAGAATGATTCTCAGAAACTGCTCTGCGATGTGTGCGTTCAACTCTCAGAGTTTAACTTTTCTTTTCATTCAGCAGTTTGGAAACACTCTGTTTGTAAAGTCTGCACGTGGATATTTTGACCACTTAGAGGCCTTCGTTGGAAACGGGTTTTTTTCCTGTAAGGCTAGACAGAAGAATTCCCAGTAACTTCCTTGTGTTGTGTGCATTCAACTCACAGAGTTGAACGTTCCCTTAGACAGAGCAGATTTGAAACACTCTATTTGTGCAATTTGCAAGTGTAGATTTCAAGCGCTTTAAGGTCAATGGCAGAAAAGGAAATATCTTCGTATAAAAACTAGTCAGAATCATTCCCACAAACTGCGTTGTGATGTGTTCGTTCAACTCACAGAGTTTAACCTTTCTTTTCATAGAGCAGTTAGGAAACAGTCTGTTTGTCAATTCTGTAAGTGGATATTCTGACATCTTGTGGCCTTCGTTGGAAACGGGTTTTCTTCATATTCTCCTAGACAGAAGAATTCTCAGTAACTTCCTTGTGTTGTGTTTATTCAACTCACAGAGTTGAATGATCCTTTACACAGAGCAGACTTGAAACTCTCTTTTTGTGGAATTTGCAAGTGGAGATTTCAGCCGCTTTGAGGTCAATGGTAGAAAAGCAAATATCTTCGTATAAAGACTAGACAGAGTGATTCTCAGAAACTCCTTTGTGATGTCTGCGTTTAACTCACAGAGTTTAACCTTTCTTTTCATAGAGCAGTTAGGAAACACTCTGTTTGTAAAGTCTGCAAGTGGATATTCAGACCTCCTTGAGGCCTTCGTTGGAAACGGGATTTCTTCATATTATGCTAGACACAAGAATTCTCAGTAACTTCCTTGTGTTGTGTGTATTCAACTGACAGAGTTGAACTTTCATTTAGAGAGAGCAGATTTGAAACACTGTTTTTGTGGAATTTGCAAGTGGAGATTTTAAGCGCTTTGGGGCCAAAGGCAGAAAAGGATATATCTTCGTATAAAAACTAGACAGAATCATTCTCAGAAACTGCTGCGTGATGTGTGCATTCAACTCTCAGAGTTTAACTTTTCTTTTCATTCAGCGGTTTGGAAACACTCTGTTTGTAAAGTCTGCACGTGGAAATTTTGACCACTTAGAGGCCTTCGTTGGAAACGTGTTTTTTTCATGTAAGGCTAGACAGAAGAATTCCCAGTAACTTCCTTGTGTTGTGTGCATTCAACTCACAGAGTTGAACGTTCCCTTAGACAGAGCAGATTTGAAACACTCTATTTGTGCAATTTGCAAGTGTAGTTTTCAAGCTCTTTAAGGTCAACGGCAGAAAAGGAAATATCTTCGTTTCAAAACTAGACAGAATCATTCCCACAAACTGCGTTGTGATGTGTTCGTTCAACTCACAGAGTTTAAACTTTCTTTTCATAGAGCAGTTAGGAAACAGTCTGTTTGTCAATTCTGTAAGTGGATATTCTGACATCTAGTGGCCTTCGTTGGAAACGGGATTTCTTCATATTCTGCTAGACAGAAGAATTCTCAGTAACTTCCTTGTGTTGTGTGTATTCAACTCACAGAGTTGAACGATCGTTTACACAGAGCAATCATGAAACACTCTTTTTGTGGAATTTGCAAGTGGAGATTTCTGCCGCTTTGAGGTCAATGGTGGAATAGGAAATATCTTCCTATAGAAACTAGACAGAATGATTCTCAGAAACTCCTTTGTGAAGTGTGCGTTCAACTCACAGAGTTTAACCTTTCTTTTCATAGAGCAGTTAGGAAACACTCTGTTTGTAAAGTCTGCAAGTGGATATTCAGACCTCTTTGAGGCCTTCGTTGGAAACGGGTTTTTTTCATATAAGGCTAGACAGAAGAATTCCCAGTAACTTCCTTGTGTTGTGTGTGTTCGACTCACAGAGTTGAACTTTCATTTACACAGAGCAGATTTGAAACACTCTTTTTGTGGAATTTGCAAGTGGAGATTTCAAGCGCTTTGAGGCCCAAGGCAGAAAAGGAAATATCTTCGTTTCAAAACTAGACAGAATCATTCTCAGAAACTGCTCTGCGATGTGTGCGTTCAACTCTCAGAGTTTAACTTTTCTTTTCATTCAGCAGTTTGGAAACACTCTGTTTGTAAAGTCTGCACGTGGATAATTTGACCACTTAGAGGCCTTCGTTGGAAACGGGTTTTTTCATGTAAGGCTAGACAGAAGAATTCCCAGTAACTTCCTTGTGTTGTGTACATTCAACTCACAGAGTTGAACGTTCCCTTAGACAGAGCAGATTTGAAACACTCTTTTTGTGCAATTGGCAAGTGGAGATTTCAAGTGCTTTAAGGTCAATGGCAGAAAAGGAAATATCTTCGTTTCAAAACTAGACAGAATCATTCCCACAAACTGCGTTGTGATGTGTTCGTTCAACTCACAGAGTTTAACCTTTCTTTTCATAGAGCAGTTAGGAAACAGTCTGTTTGTAAATTCTGTATGTGGATATTCTGACATCTTGTGGCCTTCGTTGCAAACGGGATTTCTTCATATTCTGCTTGACAGAAGAAATCTCAGAATCTTCCTTGTGTTGTGTGTATTCAACTCACAGAGTTGAACGATGGTTTACAAAGAGCAGATATGAAACACTCTATTTGTGGAATTTGCAAGTGGAGATTTCAGCCGCTTTGAGGTCCATGGTAGAAAAGGAAATATCTTCGTATAAAAACTAGACAGAAAGATTCTCAGAAATTCCTTTGTGATGTGTGCGTTCAACTCACAGAGTTTAACCTTTCTTTTCATAGAGCAGTTAGGAAACACTCTGTTTGTAAAGTCTGCAAGTGGATATTCAGACCTCTTTGAGGCCTTCGTTGGAAACGGGTTTTTTTCATATAAGGCTAGACAGAAGAATTCTCAGTAACTTCCTTGTGTTGTGTGTATTCAACTGACAGAGTTGAACTTTCATTTAGAGAGAGCAGATTTGAAACACTGTTTTTGTGGAATTTGCAAGTGGAGATTTCAAGCGCTTTGGGGCCAAAGGCAGAAAACGAAATATCTTCTTATAAAAACTAGACAGAATCATTCTCAGCAAACTCCTTTGTGATGTGTGCGTTCAACTCTCAGAATTTAACTTTTCTTTTCATTCAGCGGTTTGGAAACACTCTGTTTGTAAAGTCTGCACGTGGAAATTTTGACCACTTAGGGGCCTTCGTTGGAAACGGGTTTTTTTCATGTAAGGCTAGACAGAAGAATTCCCAGTAACTTCCTTGTGTTGTGTGCATTCAACTCACAGAGTTGAAAGTTCCCTTAGACAGACCAGATTTGAAACACTCTATTTGTGCAATTTGCAAGTGTAGATTTCATGCGCTTTGAGGTCAATGGCAGAAAAGGAAATATCTTCGTTTCAAAACTAGACAGAATCATTCCCACAAACTGCGTTGTGATGTGTTCGTTCAACTCACAGAGTTTAACCTTTCTGTTCATAGAGCAGTTAGGAAACACTCTGTTTGTAAAGTCTGCAAGTGGATATTCAGACCTCCTTGAGGCCTTCGTTGGAAACGGGATTTCTTCATATTCTGCTAGACCGAAGAATTCTCAGTAACTTCCTTGTGTTGTGTGTATTCAACTCACAGAGTTGAACGATCCTTTACACAGAGCAGACTTGAAACACTCTTTTTGTGGAATTTGCAAGGGGAGATTTCAGCCGCTTTGAGGTCAATGGTAGAAAAGGAAATATCTTCGTATAAAAACTAGACAGAATGATTCTCAGAAACTTCATTGTGATGTGTGCGTTCAACTCACAGAGTTTAACCTTTCTTTTCATAGAGCAGTTAGGAAACACTCTGTTTGTGAACTCTGCAAGTGGATATTCAGACGTCTTTGAGGCCTTCGTTGGAAACGGGATTTCTTCATACTATGCTAGACAGAAGAATTCTCAGTAACTTCCCTTGTGTTGTGTGTATTCAACTCACAGAGCTGAACTTTCATTTACACAGAGCAGATTTGAAACACTCTTTTTGTGGAATTTGCAAATGGAGATTTCAAGCGCTTTGAGGCCAAAGGCAGAAAAGGAAATATCTTCGTATAAAAACTAGACAGAATCATTCTCAGAAACTGCTCTGCGATGTGTGCGTTCAACTCTCAGAGTTTAACTTTTCTTTTCATTCAGCAGTTTGGAAACACTCTGTTTGTAAAGTCTGCACGTGGATATTTTGACCACTTAGAGGCCTTTGTTGGAAACGGGTTTTTTCCTGTAAGGCTAGACAGAAGAATTCCCAGTAACTTCCTTGTGTTGTGTACGGTTCAACTCACAGAGTTGAACGTTCCCTTAGACAGAGCAGATTTGAAACACTCTTTTTGTGCAATTGGCAAGTGGAGATTTCAAGCGCTTTAAGGTCAATGGCAGAAAAGGAAATATCTTCGTTTCAAAACTAGACAGAATGATTCTCAGAAACTTCTTTGTGATGTGTGCGTTCAACTCACAGAGTTTAACCTTTCTTTTCATAGAGCAGTTAGGAAACACTCTGTTTGTAAAGTCTGCAAGTGGATATTCAGATCTCTTTGAGGCCTTCGTTGGAAATGGGATTTCTTCATACTATGCTAGACAGAAGAATTCTCAGTAACTTCCTTGTGTTGTGTGTATTCAACTCACAGAGTTGAACGATCCTTTACACAGAGCAGACTTGTAACACTCTTTTTGTGGAATTTGCAAGTGGAGATTTCAGCCGCTTTGAAGTCAAAGGTAGAAAAGGAAATATCTTCCTATAAAAAATAGACTGAATGATTCTCATAAACTCCTTTGTGATGTGTGCGTTCAACTCACAGAGTTTAACCTTTCTTTTCATAGAGCAGTTAGGAAACACTCTGTTTGTAAAGTCTGCAAGTGGATATTCAGACCTCCTTGAGGCCTTCGTTGGAAAAGGGATTTCTTCATATTCTGCTAGACAGAAGAATTCTCAGTAACTTCCTTGTGTTGTGTGTATTCAACTCACAGAGTTGAACGATCCTTTACACAGAGCAGACTTGAAACACTCTTTTTGTGGAATTTGCAAGTGGAGATTTCAGCCCGCTTTGAGGTCAATGGTTGAAAAGGAAATATCTTCGTATAATAAACTAGACAGAATCATTCTCAGAATCTGCTGCGTGATGTGTGCATTCAACTCTCAGAGTTTAACTTTTCTTTTCATTCAGCGGTTTGGAAACACTCTGTTTGTAAAGTCTGCACGTGGATATTTTGACCACTTAGAAGCCTTCTTTGGAAACGGGTTTTCTTCATGTAAGGCTAGACAGAAGAATTCCCAGTAACTTCCTTGTGTTGTGTTCATTCAACTCACAGAGTTGAACGTTCCCTTAGACAGAGCAGATTTGAAACACTCTTTTTGTGCAATTGGCAAGTGGAGATTTCAAGCGCTTTAAGGTCAATGGCAGAAAAGGAAATATCTTCGTTTCAAAACTAGACAGAATCATTCCCACAAACTGCGTTGTGATGTGTTCGTTCAACTCACAGAGTTTAACCTTTCTTTTCATAGAGCAGTTAGGAAACAGTCTGTTTGTAAATTCTGTAAGTGGATATTCTGACATCTTGTGGCCTTCGTTGGAAACGGGATTTCTTCATATTCTGCTAGTCAGAAGAATTCTCAGTAACTTCCTTGTGTAGTGTGTATTCAACTCACAGAGTTGAACGATCCTTTACACAGAGCAGACTTGAAACACTCTTTTTGTGGAATTTGCAAGTGGAGATTTCAGCCGCTTTGAGGTCAATGGTAGAAAAGGAAATATCTTCGTATAAAGACTAGACAGAATGATTCTCAGAAACTCCTTTGTGATGTGTGCGTTCAACTCACAGAGTTTAACTTTTCTTTTCATAGAGCAGTTAGGAAACACTCTGTTTGTAAAGTCTGCAAGTGGATATTCAGACCTCTTTGAGGCCTTCGTTGGAAACGGGATTTCTTCATATTATGGTAGACAGAAGAATTCTCAGTAACTTCCTTGTGTTGTGTGTATTCAACTCACAGAGTTGAACGATCCTTTACACAGAGCAGACGTGAAACACTCTTTTTGTGGAATTTGCAAGTGGAGATTTCAGCCGCTTTGAGGTCAATAGTAGAAAAGGAAATATCTTCGTAGAAAAACTAGACAGAATCATTCTCAGAAACTGCTCTGCGATGTGTGCGTTCAACTCTCAGAGTTTAACTTTTCTTCTCATTCAGCAGTTTGGAAACACTCTGTTTGTAAAGTCTGCACGTGGATATTTTGACCACTTAGAGGCCTTCGTTGGAAACGGGTTTTTTTCCTGTAAGGCTAGACAGAATCATTCTCAGAAACTGCTCTGCGATGTGTGCATTCAACTCTCAGAGTTTAACTTTTCTTTTCATTCAGCAGTGTGGAAACACTCTGTTTGTAAAGTCTGCACGTGGATATTTTGACCACTTAGAGGCCTTCGTTGGAAACGGGTTTTTTTCCTGTAAGGCTAGACAGAAGAATTCTCAGTAACTTCCTTGTGTTGTGTGTATTCAACTCACAGAGTTGAACGACGCTTTACAGAGAGCAGACTTGAAACACTCTTTTTGTGGAATTTGCAAGTGGAGATTTCAGCCGCTTGAGGTCAATGGTAGAAAAGGAAACTATCTTCGTATAAAGACTAGACAGAATGATTCTCAGAAACTCCTTTGTGATGTGTGTGTTCAACTCACAGAGTTGAACCTTTCTTTTCATAGAGCAGTTAGTAAACAATCTGTTTATAAAGTCTGCAAGTGGATATTCAGATCCCTTTGAGGCCTTCGTTGGAAACGGGATTTCTTCATATTATGCTAGACAGAAGAATTCTCAGTAACTTCCTTGTGTTGTGTGTATTCAACTGACAGAGTTGAACTTTCGTTTAGAGAGAGCAGATTTGAAACACTGTTTTTGTGGAATTTGCAAGTGGAGATTTCAAGCGCTTTGGGGCCAAAGGCAGAAAAGGAAATATCTTCGTATAAAAACTAGACAGAATCATTCTCAGAAACTGCTCTGCGATGTGTGCGTTCAACTCTTAGAGTTTAACTTTTCTTTTCATTCAGCAGTTTGGAAACACTCTGTTTGGAAAGTCTGCACGTGGATAATTTGACCACATAGAGGCCTTCGTTGGAAACGGGTTTTTTTCATGTAAGGCTAGACAGAAGAATTCCCAGTAACTTCCTTGTGTTGTGTACATTCAACTCACAGAGTTGAGACGTTCCCTTAGACCGAGCAGATTTGAAACACTCTTTTTGTGCAATTGGCAAGTGGAGATTTCAAGCGCTTTAAGGTCAATGGCAGAAAAGGAAATATCTTCGTTTCAAAACTAGACAGAATGATTCTCATAAACTCCTTTGTGATGTGTGCGTTCAACTCACAGAGTTTAACCTTTCTTTTCATAGAGCAGTTAGTAAACACTCTGTTTGGAAAGTCTGCAAGTGGATATTCAGACCTCTTTGAGGCCTTCGTTGGAAACGGGATTTCTTCATATTCTGCTAGACAGAAGAATTCTCAGTAACTTCCCTTGTGTTGTGTGTATTCAACTCACAGAGTTGAACGATCCTTTACACAGAGCAGACTTGAAACACTCTTTTTGTGGAATTTGCAAGTGGAGATTTCAGCCGCTTTGAGGTCAATAGTAGAAAAGGAAATATCTTCGTAGAAAAACTAGACAGAATGATTCTCAGAAACTCCTTTGTGATGTGTGCGTTCAACTCACAGAGTTTAACCTTTCTTTTCATAGAGCAGTTAGGAAACACTCTGTTTGTAAAGTCTGCAAGTGGATATTCAGACCTCCTTGAGGCCTTCGTTTGAAACGGGATTTCTTCATATTATGCAAGACAGAAGAATTCCCAGTAACTTCTTGTGTTGTGTGTGTTCAACTCACAGAGTTGAACTTTCATTTACCCAGAGCAGATTTGAAACACTCTTTTTGTGGAATTTGCAAGTGGAGATTTCAAGCGCTTTGAGGCCAAAGGCAGAAAAGGAAATATCTTCGTTTCAAAACTAGACAGAATCATTCTCAGAAACTGCTGCGTGATGTGTGCGTTCAACTCTCAGAGTTTAACTTTTCTTTTCATTCAGCGGTTTGGAAACACTCTGTTTGTAAAGTCTGCACGTGGATATTTTGACCACTTATAGGCCTTCGTTGGAAACGGGTTTTTTTCATGTAAGGCTAGACAGAAGAATTCTCAGTAACTACCTTGTGTTGTGTGTATTCAACTCACAGAGTTGAACGATCCTTTACACAGAGCAGACTTGAAACACTCTATTTGTGCAATTTGCAAGTGTAGATTTCAAGCGCTTTAAGGTCAATGGCAGAAAAGGAAATATCTTCGTTTTAAAACTAGACAGAATCATTCCCACAAACTGCGTTGTGATGTGTTCGTTCAACTCACAGAGTTTAACCTTTCTGTTCATAGAGCAGTTAGGAAACACTCTGTTTGTAAAGTCTGTAAGTGGATATCCTGACATCTTGTGGCCTTCGTTGGAAACGGGATTTCTTCATATTCTGCTAGACAGAAGAATTCTCAGTAACTTCCTTGTGTTGTGTGTATTGAACTCACAGAGTTGAACGATCCTTTACACAGAGCAGACTTGAAACACTCTTTTTGTGGAATTTGCAAGTGGAGATTTCAGCCGCTTTGAGGTCAATGGTAGAATAGGAAATATCTTCCTATAGAAACTAGACAGAATGATTCTCAGAAAGTCCTTTGTGATGTGTTTGTTCAACTCACAGAGTTTAACCTTTCTTTTCATAGAGCAGTTAGGAAACACTCTGTTTGTAAAGTCTGCAAGTGGATATTCAGACCTCTTTGAGGACTTCGTTGGAAACGGGATTTCTTCATATTCTGCTAGACAGAAGAATTCCCAGTAACTTCCTTGTGTTGTGTGTGTTCAACTCACAGAGTTGAACTTTCATTTACACAGAGCAGATTTGAAACACTCTTTTTGAGGAATTTGCAAGTGGAGATGTCAAGCGCTTTGAGGCCAAAGGCAGAAAAGGAAATATCTTCGTTTCAAAATTAGACAGAATCATTCCCACAAACTGCGTTGTGATGTGTTCGTTCAACTCACAGAGTTTAATCTTTCTTTTCATAGAGCAGTTAGGAAACACTCTGTTGGTAAATTATGTAAGTGGATATTCTGACATCTTGTGGCCTCCGTTGGAAACGGGATTTCTTCATATTCTGCTAGACAGAAGAATTCTCAGAATCTTCCTTGTGTTGTGTGTATTCAACTCACAGAGTTGAACGATCCTTTACACAGAGCAGACTTGAAACACTCTTTTTATGGAATTTGCAAGTGGAGATTTCAGCCGCTTTGAGGTCAATGGTAGAAAAGGAAATATCTTCGTATAAAAACTAGACAGAATCATTCTCAGAAACTGCTCTGCGATGTGTGCGTTCAACTCTCAGAGTTTAATTTTTCTTTTCATTCAGCAGTTTGGAAACACTCTCTTTGTAAAGTCTGCACGTGGATATTTTGACCACTTAGAGGCCTTCGTTGGAAACGGGTTTTATTCCTGTAAGGCTAGACAGAAGAATTCCCAGTAACTTCCTTGTGTTGTGTGCAGTCAACTCACAGAGATGAACGTTCCCTTTGACAGAGCAGATTTGAAACACTCTATTTGTGCAATTTGCAAGTGTAGATTTCAAGCGCTTTAAGGTCAATGGCAGAAAAGGAAATATTTTCGTTTCAAAACTAGACAGAATCATTCCCACAAACTGCGTTGTGATGTGTTCATTCAACTCACAGAGTTTAACCATTCTTTTCATAGAGCGGTTAGGAAACACTCTGTTTATAAAGTCTGCAAGTGGATATTCAGACCTTTTGAGGCCTTCGTTGGAAACGGGATTTCTTCATATGATGCTAGACAGAAGAATTCCCAGTAACTTCCTTGTGTTGTGTGTGTTCAACTCACAGAGTTGAAATTTCATTTACACAGAGCAGACTTGTAACACTCTTTTTGTGGAATTTGCAAGTGGAGATTTCAGCCGCTTTGAAGTCAAAGGTAGAAAAGGAAATATCTTCGTATAAAAACTAGACAGAATGATTCTCAGAAACTCCTTTGTGATGTGTGCGTTCAACTCTCAGAGTTCAACTTTTCTTTTCATTCAGCAGTTTGGAAACACTCTGTTTGTAAAGTCTGCACGTGGATATTTTGACCACTTAGAGGCCTTCGTTGGAAACGGGTTTTTTTCCTGTAAGGCTAGACAGAAGAATTCCCAGTAACTTCCCTTGTTTTGTGTACATTCAACTCACAGAGTTGAACGTTCCCTTAGATAGAGCAGATTTGAAACACTCTTTTTGTGCAATTGGCTAGTGGTGATTTCAGCCGCTTTGAGGTCAATGGTAGAAAAGGAAATATCTTCGTATAAAAACTAGACAGAATCATTCCCACAAACTGCGTTGTGATGTGTTCGTTCAACTCACAGAGTTTAACCTTTCTGTTCATAGAGCAGTTAGGAAACACTCTGTTTGTAAAGTCTGCAAGTGGATATTCAGACCTCCTTGAGGCCTTCGTTGGAAATGGGATTTCTTCATATTCTGCTAGACAGAATAATTCTCAGTAACTTCCTTGTGTTGTGTGTATTCAACTCACAGAGTTGAAGGATCCTTTACAGCGAACAGGCTTGAAACACTCTTTTTGTCGAATTTGCAAGTGGAGATTTCAGCCGCTTTGAGGTCAATGGTAGAATAGGAAATATCTTCTTATAGAAACTAGACAAAATGATTCTCAGAAACTTCTTTGTGATGTGTGCGTTCAACTCACAGAGTTTAACCTTTCTTTTCATAGAGCAGTTAGGAAACACTCTGTTTGTAAACTCTGCAAGTGGATATTCAGACCTCTTTGAGGCCTTCATTGGAAACGGGATTTCTCCATACTATGCTAGACAGAAGAATTCTCAGTAACTTCCTTGTGTTGTGTGTATTCAACTCACAGAGTTGAACGATCCTTTACACAGAGCAGACTTGAAACACTCTTTTTGTGGAATTTGCAAGTGGAGATTTCAACCGCTTTGAGGTCAATGGTAGAAAAGGAAATATCTTCGTATAAAGACTAGACAGAATGATTCTCATAAACTCCTTTGTGATGTGTGCGGTCAACTCACAGAGTTTAACTTTTCTTTTCATAGAGCAGTTAGGAAACACTCTGTTTGTAAAGTGTGCAAGTGGATATTCAGACCTCTTTGAGGCCTTCGTTGGAAACAGGATTTCTTCATATTATGCTAGACAGAAGAATTCCCAGGAACTTCCTTGTGTTGTGTACATTCAACTCACAGAGTTGAACGTTCCCTTAGACAGAGCAGATTTGAAACGCTCTTTTTGTGCAATTGGCAAGTGGTGATTTCAGCCTCTTTGAGGTCAATGGTAGAAAAGGAAATATCTTCGTATAAAAACTAGACAGAATCATTCCCACAAACTGCGTTGTGATGTGTTCGTTCAACTCACAGAGTTTAACCTTTCTTTTCATAGAGCAGTTAGGAAACACTCTGTTGGTAAAATCTGTAAGTGGATATTCTGACATCTTGTGGCCTTCGTTGGAAACGGGATTTCTTCATATTCTGCTAGACAGAAGAATTCTCAGAAACTTCCTTGTGTTGTGTGTATTCAACTCATAGAGTTGAACGATCGTTTACACAGAGCAGACTTGAGAAATTCTTTTTGTGGAATTTGCAAGTGGAGATTTCAGCCGCTTTGAGGTCAATGGTAGAAAAGGAAATATCTTCATATAAAAACTAGACAGAATGATTCTCAGAAACTCCTTTGTGATGTGTGAGTTCAACTCACAGAGTTTAACCTTTCTTTTCATAGAGCAGTTAGGAAACACTCTGTTTGTAAAGTCTGCAAGTGGATATTCAGACCTCTTTGAGGCCTTCGTTGGAAACGGGATTTCTTCATATTCTGCTGAGACAGAAGAATTCTCAGTAACTTCCTTGTTTTGTGTGTATTCAACTCACAGTTAAACGATCCTTTACACAGAGCAGACTTGAAACACTCTTTTTGTGGAATTTGCAAGTGGAGATTTCAGCCGCTTTGAGGTCAATAGTAGAAAAGGAAATATCTTCGTAGAAAAACTAGACAGAATCATTCTCAGAAACTGCTCTGTGATGTGTGCGTTCAACTCTCAGAGTTTAACTTTTCTTTTCATTCAGCAGTTTGGAAACACTCTGTTTGTAAAGTCTGCATGTGGATATTTTGAGCACTTGGAGGCCTTCGTTGGAAACGGGTTTTTTTCATGTAAGGCTAGACAGGAGAATTCCCAGTAACTTCCTTGTGTTGTGTGCATTCAACTCACAGAGTTGAACGTTCCGTTAGACAGAGCAGATTTGAAATACTCTATTTGTGCAATTTGCAACTGTAGATTTCAAGCGTTTTAAGGTCAATGGCAGAAAAGGAAATATCTTCGTATAAAAACTAGTCAGAATCATTCCCACAAACTGCGTTGTGATGTGTTCGTTCAACTCACAGAGTTTAACCTTTCTTTTCATAGAGCAGTTAGGAAACACTCTGTTGGTAAATTCTGTAAGTGGATATTCTGACATCTTGTGGCCTCCGTTGGAAACGGGATTTCTTCATATTCTGCTAGACAGAATAATTCTCAGTAACTTCCTTGTGTTGTGTGTATTCAACTCACAGAGTTGAACGATCCTTTACAGAGAGCAGACTTGAAACACGCTTTTTGTGGAATTTGCAAGTGGAGATTTCAGCCGCTTTGAGGTCAATGGTAGAATAGGAAATATCTTCCTATAGAAACAAGACAGAATGATTCTCAGAAACTCCTTTGTGATGTTTGCGTTCAACTGACAGAGTTTAACCTTTCTTTTCATAGAGCAGTTAGGAAACACTCTGTTTGTAAAGTCTGCAAGTGGATATTCAGACCTCTTTGAGTCCTTCGTTGGAAACGGGATTTCTTCATATTCTGCTAGACAGAAGAATTCCCAGCAACTTCCTTGTGTTGTGTGTGTTCAACTCACAGAGTTGAACTTTCATTTACACAGAGCAGATTTGAAACACTCTTTTTGTGGAATTTGCAAGTGGAGATTTCAAGCGCTTTGAGGCCAAAGGCAGAAAAGGAAATATCTTCGTATAAAAACTAGACAGAATCATTCTCAGAAACTGCTGCGTGATGTGTGCGTTCAACTCTCAGAGTTTAACTTCTCTTTTCATTCAGCGGTTTGGAAACACTCTGTTTGTAAAGTCTGCACGTGGATATTTTGACCACTTAGAGGCCTTCGTTGGAAACGGGTTTTTTTCATGTAAGGCTAGACAGAAGAATTCCCAGTAACTTCCTTGTGTTGTGTGCATTCAACTCACAGAGTTGAACGTTCCCTTAGACAGAGCAGATTTGAAACACTCTATTTGTGCAATTTGCAAGTGTAGATTTCAAGCGCTTTAAGGTCAATGGCAGAAAAGGAAATATCTTCGTTTCAAAACTAGACAGAATCATTCCCACAAGCTGCGTTGTGATGTGTTCGTTCAACTCACAGAGTTTAACCTTTCTGTTCATAGAGCAGTTAGGAAACACTCTGTTTGTAAAGTCTGTAAGTGGATATTCTGACATCTTGTGGCCTTCGTTGCAAACGGGATTTCTTCATATTCTGCTAGACAGAAGAATTCTCAGTAACTTCCTTGTATTGTGAGTATTCAACTCACAGAGTTAAACGATCCTTTACACAGAGCAGACTTGAAACACTCTTTTTGTGGAATTTGCAAGTGGAGAATTCAGCCGCTTTGAGGTCAATGGTAGAATAGTAAATATCTTCCTATAGAAAATTGACAGAATGATTCTCAGAAACTCCTTTGTGATGTGTGCGTTCAACTCACAGAGTTTAACCTTTCTTTTCATAGAGCAGTTAGGAAACACTCTGTTTGTAAAGTCTCCAAGTGGATATTCAGACCTCTTTGAGGCCTTCGTTGGATACGTGTTTTTTTCATATAAGGCTAGACAGAAGAATTCCCAGTAACTTCCTTGTGATGTGTGTGTTCAACTCACAGAGTTGAACTTTCATTTACACAGAGCAGATTTGAAACACTCTTTTTGTGGAATTTGCAAGTGGAGATTTCAAGCGCTTTGAGGCCAAAGGCAGAAAAGGAAATATCTTCGTTTCAAAACTAGACAGAATCATTCTCAGAAACTGCTCTGCGATGTGTGCGTTCAACTCTCAGAGTTTAACTTTTCTTTTCATTCAGCAGTTTGGAAACACTGTGTAAAGTCTGCACGTGGATAATTTGACCACTTAGAGGCCTTCGTTGGAAACGGGTTTTTTTCATGTAAGGCTAGACAGAAGAATTCCCAGTAACTTCCTTGTGTTGTGTGCATTCAACTCACAGAGTTGAACGTTCCCTTAGACAGAGCAGATTTGAAACACTCTATTTGTGCAATTTGCAAGTGTAGATTTCAAGCGGTTTAAGGTCAACGCCAGAAAAGGAAATATCTTCGTTTCAAAACTAGACAGAATCATTCCCACAAACTGCGTTGTGATGTGTTCGTTCAACTCACAGAGTTTAAACTTTCTGTTCATAGAGCAGTTAGGAAACACTCTGTTTTTAAAGTCTGCCAGTGGATATTCAGACCTCTTTGAGGCCTTCGTTGGAAACGGGATTTCTTCATATTCTGCTAGACAGAAGAATTCTCAGAAACTTCC